>NC_000004.12:184072896-184375926 GCF_000001405.40 Homo sapiens | reverse complement strand
TAGTGAGTGAGTTCTCATGAGATCTGATGCTTTTATAAGGGGCTTTTCCCACTTTGCTTGGCACTTCTCTCTCCTGCCACCATGTCAGGAAGGACATGTTCACTTCCCCTTCTGCCATGATTGTAAGTTTCCTGAGGCCTCCCCAGCCATGTGGAACGGTGAGTCAATTAGACCTCTTTCCTTTATAAATTACCCAGTCTCAAGTATTTCTTCATAACAGCATGAAATGAGCTAATACAGTGGAGTATATTGCATGGTGAAAATTTAATATTTTTAATTGTATAGTTAAAACACGGGCGAGGACATGGATTAAAGAGTAGTATATATATATTATATGTTCTGAAAAGCAAAAATTATGCAATCAAAAAGAAAAGAGAGGGGAAGAGAGAAAGAAAGGAGAAAGCAGAGAAGTAGAATTAACAGTTAGGTAGATAATGGGTGAAGGAGAAGAGTATAAATGGTCATACCAGACAATAGAATGTTCAGTAAGAAGAAAAGGAAGTTAGAAGGGATTAAAATGGAATAAATACAACCACTGGAACAAACATACAAACATTCTGAAATGCCAAAAGAAATGAAAAAAAAAAAATAGCAAATACAATATGGCAATTAAAGAAGGAAATATGGTAAGTATGACACATGCAGTAATTATAAAATAATATGATACTTGAGACCAAATATATGAGTCATACCAATAAGTGGATTGGGCTTCAGTGGTTTCTTCTCTTTTCTTGTTATAGCGATGAATAAGCCAATTCTCAAACTGGCCCACAAGGCAAAACCTGACCTCATGCTATATTTAATAGACATACATCAAACATGGTGATTTAAAAGGCCAAAAATGTAAAAAACTGGCAAATATATACCAGAAAAATAAAAACAATAAGAAGGTAGGATAGTGATTATTATATCAGATGAGTTAATTCAGGCCAAAAAGCCTTAAATGAGACAATGAAATATACTATGCAATATTGAAAACCAGGTTTCACAGTTCATGTACAATAATTATGACCATGCACCAAATAACACAGCAACCACCAATATAAAACAGAAATCACACAACGTGAGAATAGGAATAGAATATTAAACACATTAATAGGAGACTTTAACATCACAGCCAGTACAAGACAGATTGAATGGGAAGAAAATAAACAAAGTTGTTTAAATAACTTAATAATAAAGTAGACCTTATGCATATTCAACACTATGCCCTAGTAATAGAGAATGTATTTTCTTTTCAAATATACATTGATCATTTTGAAAAATTGGCCATATAAGGCCGGGTATGATGGCTAACATCTGTAATCCCAGCACTTTGGGAGGCCAAAGTGGGAGGATCACTTAAGCCTAGGAGTCCAAGATTGCCAATATAGTGGGACCTTGTCTCTACAAAAAAAATACAAAAATTAGCCAGGTGTGGTGGGTGCATCTGCAGTCCTGGCTACTCGGGAGGCTGAGGTAGGAGGATAGCTTGAGCCCAGGAGGTTGAGAGTGCAGTGATCTGTGACCACGCATTGCATGATTAGCCTGGGCAACAGAGTGAGACCCTATCTTAAAAAGAAAATTCATCATATATTTGTATTTATGGTTGCATTAAATTAACCTGGATAGGCTTGGTAGACCTCTGCTTTTACTCTAGCTTCTGCCATGGTCTTTTCTAGTATAGTCTGAGTTGCATGCACAAGAAAAACAGTTCTCACTTCAATGTGTGATTAAATCCAAAAGTTGACAAGTTATTCTCTCTGACCTTTTCCAGACACAGCATAACAAGTATCTCCTTTTTAAGCACAGGATGTGGGATGATTGCAAATAAAATGTGCTTTCAGACACAAGTTTCAAGGGATAGATAACTCCTTCACATCTGCAGGCCTAGTTGGAGAAGTATTAATATTTGATGCTTCTGCTCCTGCAAGCCATTTGGTATGCCAGTCAGCTGGGCTGTGTGTTCCGTGCTATGGCCTGTGAGATGTACAATGTCATCACATGGCTATTCGGCAGGGTCAGTGGGAAACATGAGAAATGATAAGTTAGTTGCATATGAAATATGTGCAGAAAAGAAAAGCTGAGCAGTCCTTCCACAGAGCATGCACAAAGTACTGCTGCTTGTGCTACAACAGTTATGTCATTTATTGTAAAGTATATGTTATGGTTAATACTGAACGTCAACTTGATTGGATTGAAGGATATGAAGTATTGATCCTGGGTGTGTCTGCTGAGGGTGTTGCCAAAGGAGACTAACATTTGAGTCAGTGGGCTGGAAAGGCAGACCCACCCTTAATCTGGGTGGGCACAATCTAATCAGCTGCCAGCACGGCCAAAATAAAAAGCAGGCAGAGAAATGTGAAAAGACTAGACTGGCTTAGCCTCCCAGCCTACATCTTTCTCCTGTGCTGGATGCTTCCTGCCCTTGAACATCAGACTCCAAGTTCTTCAGCTTTCGGACTTAGGCTGGCTTCCTTGTTCCTCAGCTTGCAGACGGCATATTGTGGGACCTTGTGATCCTGTAAGTGAATACTCCTTAATAAACTCCCCTTCATATATATATATATATACACATATATGTATACGTGCATATATAGGTATATATATACGTGCATATATATAGGTATATATATACGTGCATATATATAGGTATATATATACGTGCATATATATAGGTGTATATATACGTGCATATATAGGTATATATATACTTGCATATATATATAGGTATATATATACGTGCATATATAGGTATATATATACGTGCATATATATAGGTGTATATATATGTGCATATATATAGGTGTATATATACGTGCATATATATAGGTGTATATATACGTGCATATATATAGGTGTGTATATATACGTGTATATATATAGGTGTATATATACGTGTATATATAGGTGTATATATATAGACCTATATATATACACCTATATATACCTATATATACACCTATATATACACCTATATATAATATATACCTATATACACGTATATATACCTATATATGTATATATACACCTATATACACCTATATATACCTATATATACCTATATATACCTATATATATACCTATATATACCTATGTATATACGTATATATATACACATATATATACCTATGTATATACATATATACATACCCATATATATACCTATGTATATACGTGTATATATATATACATATATATATATACATATATATATGTATATATATATACACACACCATTAGTTCTGTCCCTCTAGAGAACCCTAATATGGTATATACCTACACCATTTATTTTGTTATTTAGTAATTCCTTTTTTCTTTTATGAGAAACAATTTTGGCAAAATGAGCTTTTAAAAAAATGCATGCATGCTCAATGAAAAAGTATTACTGTCTTTTGGCACTCAAGTAGTTCATAATAAATAATGTAATTTGCACAAAATGTTTGAAGATGTTTGCCATCCAACAGGGACTGTGGCTATATCGCTGACCTCAAGAAAACCTGCGGACAAAATCTGCTAAAGAAGTATCAGCATCTATTTCAAAAGTTAGCCATTATTTTAAGAAGACTGTGCTGGAAGACGGGTATTTAACACAAACAGATGCAAAAGGTACATTTACGTGTCACTGTGAAGCAGTGATGGCTCCTTATTTAATCAGACATCTGCTCTTCCAAGTGCATTTTTTCTGCTTGCAATAGTGGCTCCCAGGGAAGGGGTGGGGGTACTGATGGGCCTGACGGTGGGTGGAAAAACCCAGGCCTTCTGTGTGCCATGCAGCAATGTTCAGCAATGTAAAAAATGAGGCCTTTTCCTATTAAGGAAATCAACCCAGGTAAGTCAGGTTTATCTGAAAGTCTTTGTGCTGAGAGAGGGGTTACATGTGGAGGATTTCATGGCCAGAAATGAGAGGAAAGGGTTTCTAGCTGACCCAGTAGGCGGGGGTGGGGGGTGGTATTCTTGTTTTCTTTTGGAAGGGACAGGGTCTCACTCTGTCACCCAGGCTGGAGTGCAGTGGCGCCATCTCGACTCACTGCAACCTTCGCCTCCCAAGCTCAAGCAATCCTTCGACCTCAGCCTCCAGAGTAGCTGGGATTACAGATGCACGCTACCATGCCCGGTTAATTTTTGTATTTTTTGTAGATACGGGGTTTCACCGTGTTGACCAGACTGATTTTGAACTTCTGGGCTCAATCAGTCCACCTGCCTCGGCCTCCCAAAGTGCTGAGATTATAGGTGTGAGCCCCTGCGCCTGGCCAGGGATGCCGTTCTTCACTCTCCAGTAAGCAGAATGGCTCCAGAAGGGAGGGCGAGGGCTAAGGGGCAGAGGCCTGAAGTCCTGTTTGCTTTATCTTCTGGTTTCAGTGTGTGTGCAGGGCTGCGAGCGCTGGCAGGGGCATCTGGCTGCCCGAGGCACACACGGGTCATGCTCACTCTCATCCTGGGGCTCTGAGCGAGGGTGACACTGAGCCCAGATGCGGTGACTCTTTCTTCCACAGCTTTGAGTAAATTTCTTCCAGAGACATCTGCATCTTGGCGCGGCTTGGCTTTGCCCTCCTGTATAGGTTCTTATTATTTATTTCCGGAATTTCCGGAGTGGGGCATTTACTCTTCATTTTAAAGGACTGGCTGTGTGGGAATTGTTTCAGAGGCGGCAAGGCACAGCTCTTACTGGTAAAACAGAAAGGGAAGGGCATTTGTGTGGGGACTTTTAACCACAATGAAAAGGTTGTTTGCTTTATAGCCATTAAAAAGAAGGGGAAAACCTCCCACCAAAAGGCAAAATAACCACACACATGAGCACACAAAGCTGCAAAATTCTTGGATAGGATTAATTTCGAATTCCTTGATTAGATTCAAGTTGGTGTTTCACAATAGCCACATCATTACTAATTCAAAGGAAGTTCAAGGCCTTGGGAAAGAAAGCCTCCATCTCTTAGCACAGCCGTGAAAATATGCATTTTCCTGTAAGCCTTCAGAAAATGACGTCTGAGCTAGAAGAAATTAACCTAATGGCAGTTCAGGCAGGAAGCTTAAAATAAGCTTAACTGTTGTCTTCTTCCTTTTTAGGTTGGTTTCCCTCCAAGCTGGGATTTGAACTCTCTTATCTCCAGGGTTAGGGTTGCAGACGGAGTTGTAAGGACAGAAAGGGAAGAGGAATACACACATTTTTAGCTGACGGACTTGGCCCCAGCTTTGCAGGCTAACTGAAACTCCCAAGGCCTTGAGATTTTTGAAAACTGCCATATTTCCTCTAGTTGAAGACTCATTTTATATTTTTTCACATGTTAACATTTATGAAATTGGGATGTGTAATGTACGCCCTGTCAAAAAATTTTCCAGCAGCCATTTAGAGGAGTGACACGTCCACGTGGCCTACCTGGCCTGTGGCCACACCTCCTTAGCCAGCTTCGTGGAAGTATCTGTTCATCCATTTTGTCACTTTGTTTTGTTATTTTCATTGGTGGCACAGCACACTGTTAACTTAGATTCATGTCCCTAATTGCCACTGAAAGTGTCTTTCACAAAGATAACTCTGCTTTACAGCATTGGAGCAAAAGTCACCATGCGTGCAAAAGATTGCCTGGCACATGCCAGGCATTAGGCATCGCCCCCACTGCACAGAGTAAATGACACACTTTTCAAAGCAAGGGGAAATTGGTATGACTACTTCATGCACCATTAAAAAAAAAAACTATTATTCAGGCTCCAAAATCTTTAAAAGCTTCTAGTGATTTTCAAAAGAAGCTGCTTAATGTTTATCTTTAAAATAAGGAAAAACAGAATTATAAGTTTGGCCAAAGAGGAAATGCCAATAAACCACTAGGATTCTCTATGATGCCCTCAAATTACATTGTCAATCTTAAGTGTGCTGACGAGGCCAAGCTCATAAGCATGGCCGGAAACTGGCATTCTCCATACCGCTGTGAGTAACTGTGGGTGTCCAAAATCATGTGGAAGAGTATTTAGTCTCTGATAATGAAACAGGCCAGAGTTAAACTTTGGTAATGAAAGCAGCATATAATGGCATGGATAAGTGAATTCTAAAGTCATTTAAGAAGACACACAGTAAGATGTGCCTCTCTCTCTCTCTCTCTCTCTCTCTCTTTCTCTGTCTCTTCCTTTCTTTTCCTCCCGTTTTTCTTTCTTTTTTTTTGGCGGGGGACAGAGTTTCATTCTTGTTGCTCAGGCTGGAGTTCAATGGCACGATCTTGGCTCACCGCAACCTCTGCCTACTGGATTCAAGTGATTCTCCTGCCTCAGCCTCCCGAGTAGCTGGGATTACAGGCATGTGCCACCACGCCCGGCTAATTTTGTATTTTTAGTAGAGACGGGGTTTCTCCATGTTGGTCAGCCTGGTCTTGAACTCTTGACCTCAGGTGATCCACCTGCCTCAGCCTCCCAAAGTGCTGGGATTACAGGCGTGAGCCACCGCGCCAGGCCCCTCCCTTCTTTGTTTCTAATCTCTCTTCCTTCCTTCTTTTCTTTCTTTCTCCCACTGAAATGCTGCTATTAAATTGATAGAGTATCTTATAATTGATGGTATCTTGGAATTGGGGAAATAGAGTGTTTGTCAGGCTGCTTGACTTAGCAGCTGAGGGTTGAAGGGATGGAGATAATTTCAAATCAGCGAGATTACTGGATTTCTTTTTAAAAGGTGCTGGTGAGATAGAATCACCATAACAGAGTCAAGCGCAGATAAAAAAGATCAGCAAAGGCCAGATTCCCTCAACTTATTTTGAATGGATGGAGAAATGGTGAATCTTCGGTTTGTGAGTATGACCAGTGGGTCATATGGGCAGAAAAGCAAGCGGCAGTCTCAAAAGCAGAGGGCATTTAGAATCCAAGGTTCAAGCTGGAAGAGATCTTGGTCACCTCCTTGTTGAATGCCTTAATTGAATGGATGAGGAAAATGGGCTCATATGGCAGAAATAATCTGTAGAGCTAGGACAGGATCCTAGGTGTCCAGCCCCCTGTTCTATGGATTTTCATTTGGAGAAGTCAGTCATGTACCTGCCTCAGGGCCTTTGCACCTCTTTTCTCTTTGCCCAGATCATTCTTCCCCTAAATAGCCACATGGCTTTCTTCCTCATCTCCTTCAAGTTTTTGCTTAAATTTCAGTTTGTCAGTGAGGTCTTCTCTGACCATTTAGACCAGAATATGCCATCTTAAAATATGAGTATGGAAGACAAGAATATGCCACCCCAAAATATGCTTCTTGGGCATAAGGATTATTTTGAGCTGATTATTTTGAGAAACTGCAGACACAGGAGTTCTAATCTGAAAACAGATCCCTGTGCAGGGGAAATCTATACCTATCACGGAAGTCTCTGCTTGTAAGAGTGTCTCCCTCTCAGTATCAGGGCAAGAAGGATGCGTGGAAGTCACTGGAGACTTTTGTCAATGAAGCAGGTGCTGACTTAATTCTCCAAAACAAACCTTACCCTTGTCTACCCTGAGTTTCCTGTTGACTTCCCCACAGCACTCCAACCAGCAATGAAGGAGATCTGAGGTCTCGGCATCCTCATTCACACCTGGTATTGCCAGTTCTTTCTTTTTAATGTTAGCCATTCTCATAGGTGTTTGTATTTTCAACTTACACTTCCTTAATTACTGATGATGTTGATCTTTTCATGTTTAATAGGGTGGAAACAAAGTTAAACAGATTTCTCTACGGCAGCAGGACTCAGAGCTTTTTTGAATTGTCTGACGGGCAGATTGCTGGGAATTCTTTTTCTATGGTCAAGTAAAGATTACAAGGCTAGAATTCCAGCGAAGCTATTTTGGCAAATACTGACCTACATGATTGAAGGGGTCCAGAATATGCCACCCCAAAATATGCCACTTTGACATACGGCTTATTTTGGGCTGCAAGCGATTGAAAATGAGCAGATGCAGGATGAATCCTCTGCTCTCTTTTTCTACCTGAAACCAGGGCGTAACATTCCCTTTGTGGAAGGTGTTCCTCGACTCCCATAGCAGGAAGTGTAGAGCAACTCTTACCATCAAAGATGGACAGTCAGCATTGAGATGAGTCTGCATAAACAAACTTTTTTTTTTAAAGTTTGTTCCATTAATCTCCCCCATGTATTTGCTAGTCACTTTCCCACAATTTATCATCCCTTTCCTTTGTTAAAATGATATATACGTCCCTGAGCCTAATCACTTTGCATTTCACTACTTTTCTGTGAACTCCTATGCACGTAAAAATATAAATACATTTGTATTCCTTTTCTCCTGTTAACCTGTCTTGCGTCAGTGAAATTTACAGGCTCCAGCCATTCAACTTATGGGACAGAAGAAAGTTTTTCCTCCCTAACGTGATCAAACACATATTCTTCTAGAGAGCATTTCATCCCTTTCCGACCAATTCATTTCATATTACTTCCTTCTGATTCCTCTTCATAACAGAAACATTTTGGGGTTATCAACTATGCTACCTTCAAGCCTTTGCTCATGCTATTCTACCTGCTTGGAATGCCTTTCCCTTTTTCCTCTTCTCACTTAATCTACCCAGCCTTTCCAGTCTTCCTCCTGCCTCTTCTGTCAGAAATGAGGCAGGAATAATACAGGGTGGTCGCAGAAGAATAGAAAATTCTAGGCAGGCATTTCACATGACTAGCAAAAGGAAACTGTTGAAATAGCCACAGGAGCTAGGGGCTGATAGGACCCTGAAAAACTAGGGTGTGGGCCAAGCTGGCTAAGACCGACTAGACCCAACATGGTGCTGGATTTGACTCAGGTTTCTCTTAGGCCCTCATTTTTCATTCATTAACATACAAATCACATACCCACCAGTGCCATGACCGTTCCAGGAGCACCCATATTTGGTGTAAAAGTGGGTGGCACCACAGTTCTGAGAAATATCCACCTTTTTCGAGGAATTTTCATGAATATTCCACCCCTTGGTTAAAGAAACTCATAAAAGTAGCAGCTCCAAACACCCTTGCGCACAACTTTCTCTGGAGTCCGCTTGCCCTCCCCTATCTTGAGTGTGTACTTTCACTTTGCAACAAATCTCTGTACTTTCACTATTTTCTGACTCATCCTTGAATTTCTTCTCCCGATGATATCAAGCACCTGGGCACTGGCTGGAGTCAAGGTCCCACTTGTGTTTGGGGACCTGCCTAGCCCACCGGTATCATGACTGGGCCACTCATGGGACTCATGATCAGATCCTGACTAGCTTTTTTCTATATTTTCCCAAAGGAGTTCTGCTCCATTTTTCTAACTAAATAGTTAGTGGAAGGCCCTAGTACCCTAGACCTTTTAAAAAGTCCCTTGATACATTGAGCTGAGCATAGCTATTGCTTACAAACATTTACTGAATTCGTACACCGTAAATCAACAGGCATTTATGTCAGCTCACTTAAATGTTAGCTCTTCATTTAGCCAGCTACCAAGAATAAATGTCAAAAAGAGAACTTTGTAATTCCTGGCTAAAAGGGGAGAAGACATTTAATTGGAAATTATGGAGCTCACAGCTGGCTTTCTTGGAACTTATAGATGAAATTAAAAGTGTATGGCCAAGCCTACCAACAAAACCCCCAAACCATTACTTCTCCTTTGACACATCATTCATGAAATGAAGGAATTAGAGAGATCACCCAGTCCACACTTATCTCCAAGCTGAATTGCACCCAAGGCTGGAAGAAACAAATGGAGCCCATGGCATTCAAATTTCTGTGCCCTTCTCTCCTCTCCTTGGTTCTCTCCCATGTTTTGTCAAACTTCCCACACCCAGCTCCTTAACCAAAGGGACTGGCTAGGTCAGGCAGAGGTTGAGTCAAGAGTGCTCAGGTGTCCCAGGATGACTGTCAAGAGTGGTGGCAGCTCTCCTATGTCTCAGCCCCCCAGGAGCACCTCAGCCCTGCAACGGCATCAAACTGGGTGGCACACACTAGTATGGAGCCAGAAATCAGTCAGTGGGAATATGATGCACCCAATTTTACAGTGACTGTGTCCTGAAACTCCCTGTCCTTTGTTCTTTCAACAAATATAGATTGAGCAGCCATTATATATCAGGCACTATAGGAGTTCCTGGAGGATACTGGTCTGAAGTTAGCATGATCTTGACTCAAGAAACTTATAGTCCTGATAAGAACTTCCACCAGAATTCCAGATGTAAGTCATGTTTCCTAGGTTATGCTATTGGTGGTGATGGTGGGTGAGGGAAGGAGGGTGGGTTGAAATAAGAGCCTACGAGTAGTCACAGATTTGTATGGCTTTGACTCCCAGGCATAGGAGTTGGGAGTTTTGAGGGTCATCAGTATATGAAGTTCTTTGATCTTCTTGGCTTCCAGAAGGCAGCACAGGCCTTGCTGTTTGCCCATGCCCATGCGGTCAGCTCTCTTGGGTACCGTGGCATGCAGATGCAGACACTCACCCAAGACACCCTGTAGTGCTGATTACTGGCTGAAGACACTGAATATCTGATATAGTTTGGATGTTTGACCCCTCCAAATCTCATGTTGAAACTAGATTCCCAGTGTTGGAGGTGGGGCCCGGTGGGAGGTGTTTGGATTGTGGGATTGGATCCCTTATGGCCATCTTGGTGCCATCCTTGTGGTAATGAGCAAGTTCTTTATCTACTAGTTCCTGAGCGATCTGGTTGCTAAAAAGAGTCTAGCAGCATCATCCGCTCCCTCTCCTCCTCTCTTACCATGTGATATGCACACACCGGCTACCCTTCACCTACTGCTCCAGCACCACGCTTCATGTACAGCCTGTAGAACTCTGAGCCAAATAAACCTCTTTTCTTTATAAATTATTGACTTTCAGGTATTTCTTTATAGCGACAGGAATAGACCAAGACAATATCTATCTATCATCTATCTATCTGTCTCCCCACTCCCACTTCTGTGACAGGAGACTTATCACCTAGTCCTGCCCTCTACCCAAGCTTCTGTGACCATCCCCCACTCAAATCTGCCCCAGCAGTAACCTCAAGCGGGCTTGAGTCCTTGTCACCCCAATTTGCACTAATTTTGTTTCCTATGCTTCAGAATTGTACTTGTTAATATATAAAAATATTCAGGCTGCCCTAGTTCATGTAACACCTTTGAGAGGTGGCAGTGAGCAACCACTTCCGCCAGGTGCACACAGCCCCACACCAGTGTGCAGGGTCTGGTCAGTGGAGGACAGCCTAGGTTGCAGCTGAATCTTACCTCATCAGGGCACAGCCAAGCCAGGTCCTGAAGGCATGGCCCCTGGCTGGATTATTGTGAGGCAGTAGACACCTTCACAGCTATTTGCCTTATCTTTATGACTGTTTCCCAAAGGTGTCCCTGACTTGAGCTCAAAGGAAGGTCTCTCAGGGCCGCCCATCCTGACTTTCTGGTCACACCACAAATGACCCTCCCAAGGGTCACATCTTCACTAAACACACCTGGCCCCCTCCAGACCCCACCATTGCTACAAGCCTGAGGCAAGAGGGTACCACACTTCTCTTCTCTGTCTCAACTCATCCACATGGGCCTGGCTTTCACTAATTCCTCACAGCACGGCTGAGACCACAGTGTAATGTTTAACAGGGTTTCATCAGAGGTCAAGGCTAAAGGAAGGAATATAAAACCACGAGGGTACCACACTTCTCTCCTCTGTCTCAACACATCCACATGGGCCTGGCTGTCACTAATTCCTCACAGCATGGCTGAGAACACAGTGTAATGTTTAACAGGGTTTCATCAGAGGTCAAGGCTAAAGGAAGGAATATAAAACCACACAGGGGTGTTCTGGCTATACGATAACCTCACAAAGACATGGTATCAATATATTTCCCAAAGTCTGGTTTCAAAAAGTCTTGGGATGCAGCATTACACATGGGCTTGCTGTGACAAATACACATACTCCTGGACTTACGATGGGGTGCCATTCAGACAAACCTGTTGTAAATATCACAGCTTAGCTCGACTCCCTTAAACATGCTCAGAACATACATCAACTTTGCTGGGCAGAATCACGCAGCAACACAGGACAACGTAGACTGTCAGTTATTCACCCTCACGACTGTGGTGGACTGGGAGCTGCGGCTCACTGCCACTGCCCAGCATGGAGAGGGAGTATCATACTGCACATCACTAGCCTGGGAAAAGAGCAAATGGCAAAATTCATTCCAAGTATGGCTTCTGTTGAACGCATGTCACTTTTACACCATCATAACATCAAAAAATCGTAAGTTAGAGACCATCTACTTAACAGAGATTTCAATGAAATAGTGCCTTAGATTGTGAAGTATATATTAATTCATTGCATTATTAATTAGGATTTAAATTACTAATGTACCGTCATAGCAGCCTTTCTTGGTAGAACCTCTGTGGACTGGGCTAGAGGCGCTGTGCTGATTTTCAGGCAGAGCTGATCTTGTTCCTGCAGCTTCAGGATGGGTTGTAAGGAAGGTGAAAGAACAACGTGCAATACGGCAAGTTGCAACATGGTCACAAATTCTTTGGCACTTTTCCCATCAAGAGGTAGGGGCTGTGTCCACTCCCCTGGATTCTGGGTCTGCTTTGACCAATAGAGAATGGCAGAAGTGGTACCGTATGACTCCCAAGGCCAAGTCATGGAAGGCAATCTAGACTTGCATTGTTGCCTGGTAACATCTGCCCTTGGGGCCCTGAACTTCCCTGTGAGCGGTCCCTGGAGCCTGAGGCCGCCATGCTGCAGTGACCACAGGTAGATGCTCTGGTCACCAGCCCCAACTCAGCCAGCCGCCAGCCAGCCCAACTCAAAGACTGGACATAGGAGCCAAGATGTTGCCAGGTCAATGGGTCATCCAGCCCCATCCATCCTAGCCCCAGCCATGGGACTCAACATAGCTGAAGCCCCAGACATCATGGAGAAGAGCCATGCCTTCTGTTCTCTTTCCAAATTCCTGACCTACAGAATCTGGGAGCATAAGGATGAAGTGGTTGTTTCATGGTTTTTTATGCAATAATAGGTGAGTGAAACATGCAACCTCTTCTCAATCACTTCCTTAGCCTTAAGAATTAAATCCTACATCCTTAGCTCTCCAAGTAGAAGACTGGACAAGTCATGCTGCTTATTTTTCCTTCTTTCATTTCAGTTGCAGTGGGAACTAGTTTTGCAGGCCTGTTCGCTTCCCAGGGCTGTTGTAAGAAGTTACCACAAACTTGGTGGCTTAAAATAACAAAATGTAAGACCCTGGGAAGAACCTTAGAATGTGTTCAAATGGTCATAGGTTTATAAAATTTGCAAAAGTAAGACACTTAAGCAATGGAGACTGCTGGTTATTTCCATTCTTGCTTCCTCTCTGTTTCTGTTTTCTTTGCGTGGGTGCTGGGAGTGGCCCGGGGTGTTTTTCCATATTTGCTTTAGTGGAGTTCAAGTTAGAGATATATTTAGTTTTGGTTAAATGGGACCTATTTATGTGGTTTTCTGACAATTTCACATATAGCTGAGTTATGAATAACCATCCTGATGAGGAATGACTTCCAGGAATACTCCCTGAGCCCACTGGGCTGATTTTCCTGATGTCAAGACATAAATGTGCAGCGTCAGAGAACGCAGGGCAATTGATACCAGCCCTGGAAGTGTGTGGGGAAGGGGAGGAAAAACAATGTTTGAAATATGTGGAGCCAGCAGCTCGTCTGTGGGAAATTCTTCCAGCCATCACAGGATAAAACTGTTGGTAGAGGACTTGATTCTTAATGATGCTTATTCAAAAGTGTAGTTCTCCCCAGTTCAGAATAACCTTGGGGATATAGTTTAGATACATGTCCTCACCCAAATTGCATATTGAAATATAATTCCCAATGTTGGAGGTGGGGCCTGGTGGGAGGTGATTGGATCCTGATGGCAGATCATGAATGGTTTAGCACTATCCCTCTTGGTACTGTCCTCATGATAACAAATGAGTTCTTGTGAGCTCTGGTCGTTTAAAAGTTGTATCACCTCCCCCTTGCTCTCTTGCTCCTGTTCTGGCCATGTGACATGCCTACTCCCCACTCGCCTTCCACCATGATTGTTAATTGCCTGCGGCCTCCCTAGAAACTGAGCAGATGCCAGCACCATGCTTCCTGTATAGCCTATGGAACTGTGAGCCAGTTAAATCTATTTCCCTTATAAATTACCCAGTCTCAGCTATTTCTTTATAGCAATGTGAGAACAGACTAATATACTTAGTAATGCAGAGTATACAATTGTAAGTTCATCATACTTATATTTTTAGCTTTTGATAGGAATTGCATGAACCAGAATTGTCAGACTTTCTATATTTACTGGCCAGGAATCTGTAGCATTACTATAAATAATGAACATGTCTACAAAAGCTCCTGTATGAAAGGCCGTAGGGATTTCCCGAAACTTGACAACAACCCAAATATGTGTATGACATCATTAAGAATGAATTGTGAAGCCAAAAGAAACTTTTCCAAGCTTCTTGATAATAAAAAACAAATTTTGACCAAATATGCTGGAGAAAAGGCTGCGTTATATTTCCATTCTCCATACTTGGTCTTAGCCAAAAGTCTGAGAAGCAATTATATTTCTTTTATAATTTCTTTTGTAAATTATATTTACAAAATTATAAAATAGGCAGCTAATAAACATATGGAAAAAGTATGATAGAGATGTTTTAAGCAGTTATTTAAAGAAAAATCTTAATTTTTTGGACTTCACGTTTGTGTTATTTGCCATTTTTTAAAAAATTATTTATTGTCTTGTGTTCTTTTCTTATTCTAAATATTAACACTCATATATAATTTTATATTTATAATCTTACTTTTTTTCCTTAAACAGGATGCCTCAAATTTTATAAGCTTTGGGATCCCACAAATCCTGAATCTCCCTGTCTCCTTCTTTAACCCACCCAAACCGGACTGGAATTTCTATTTTTCCCTCCTCTACTTTCCCATATTGAGGACCTGACTTGGGAAGAAGGTAGCCTGCACTGTTATCTAACTTGACAGATAGTTGTTGACCAGGGCAAAACGTTTATGCTAGGTTTTCTTTGGATTTACGTTTTGGGAGCTCAAAGCATGAATGAGCTTTGATGTAGTGGCAGAAATGCTGCTTGGGCAGGGAGTCACGCCTCATTCATTCTTCAGTGGGGAAAGGGCTGATGAGTGGGTTTGTGGATAACAGGGGAGGCAATAGCATGGGTTCCCAGACTTTAAAGAGGCCTATTAAATCGAAAGTTATCCTGGGTTTTGGAGCAAGGGAAGTAAAACTTCCTTTCTATTTTCAAACAATTTCATGCATCCATGACAAAGAAATATTGAAGATGTGGCCTCTTGGGAACTGGGAGCACCAGAAGTTGATTTTATGTAACATTTTCAGAAATAACTGTGGAATAGAATTGTTCAGTGAATTTTCCAAGTCTACAGTGTCATCGAAATCTTTCATTAATTGAATAACGATGTTAAACTGTAGAAAGAACTTTCAAGATCCCAAGAATGGGTAAAATGATGTTGGATTCCCTTAGCCCTGCAATATGAAGTTAGGTGAATGAGGGAAAGCAGCCAAGCAGCTCAGACCCTGCCTCTAACATAATTTCACCTGTGACTCTTGTTATACCCTGAAGACATGCGCTGGAAGGAATCCTAACACAGGCCTGTGGGTATTATTGGGAAGGACAAGGAAAAGAGAAAAGGGGTAGCACTTAAAACAGAAAATCGATGAGTCCCTGCTCCTGACATGTTGCCAGTTGCCCCCATGAAGTTAGGGGAGCAGAGAAAGAAACCAGTGTGATTGAATGGATCTTCAAATGGAGAACAGATGTTGTTACATGTTTACTTGTTCACAGCAGTATCTTTAAGTCTGAAAAATGGAAAGCTTCCAGGTCACAAAGAATGCGAAGGAACTCAGTCAAAGCTAAGGATCCTATGATGTGTGGGAATTTATGGGCAAATTCTCGAAGCTCAAAGGAGGTAGCTTACAGGCCGATGAGGGTATGTACTATCTCACACTGTGGAGAGCAGGCTCTGGGGACTCTGGCACATAAACAACAACAACAACGTAGGGTAGGGAAGGGCTGTGTGTGTAAACAAATAAACAACCTCTGCGTACATATCATTATTTTTTCCTAGTCCCAAGGATTCCTCAGATGCCTCGGAGGGAGGAATAGGAACTTCAAAGTGATGCTCAGCTGTGCGAGGAAATGTGAAGTCTGTTATTCAGAGAAGTGAGAAAGAGCCTGTCTTTGGAAGCAGGACCTGGATTTGAATCTAAGCTCAGCCGCTTACTACCCTCTGTGGACTTAACCTCTCTGAATTTCAATTTTCTTATCTGTAGCATGGCCATGAGAATCCTTTTCTCCACAAACTCACAAGATGTTGTCAGGATTAAATAAGATAATATATCTAGGACTTGATAGACTGCAGTCAATAGATGACAAATCTTTTTTTTTTTTTTTTTTTTTTTTGAGACAGTCTCCCTCTGTCGCCCAGGCTGAAGTGCAATGTCACGATCTCAGCTCAGTGCAACCTCTGCCTCCCGGGTTCAAGTGATTCTCCTGCCTTAGTCTCCGAGTAGCTGGGATTATAGGCACCCACCACCACGCCCAGCTAATTTTTTTAGTATTTTTAGTAGAGATGGGGTTTCACCATGTTGGTCAGGCTGGTCTCGAACTCCTGACCTCAGGCGATCCACCCGTTTCAGCCTCCAAAAGTGCTGGGATTATCACAGTGAGCCACTGTGCCTGGCTGACGGCATATCTTATGAACTCATTTTCACCTATACCTTCCTAAGGCCTTTGTTACAAATAAATTATAAAATACGTGTATGTTTACATGCGAGCATTTTCATCTGAAGTCATTGGTTCATGGCCGTGCTCTATTTATTTATTATGTATGAGGGACATGCTGGCAGGGGTCCTTCCTGTAATTCCATCCCACTGCTGCCTCCAAATGCAATTGCAAATCTTCCATTCTGTCAAACCTTATGAAATTATTTCCATCAACAAATGTCAGCTTTGGAATTCTCCTTATAAAAGCTCATTTCAGGCTTCCTTGGAATTCTTAAATAACTAAGCAAGCATTTGAGATCTGATACGCACAGGAAAGCACTGGCATAGGAAGAGATAATCTGCCTTAAATGCATACACACTCACAAAACAGACATTGTTCTCAGCACTTTCTTTTAATATTTTGGGGGCCAGGCTACCTAGTCAAATGCTGCACAGTAGGCTTCTTCTGAAATCAGCCTCCAGCAAGGGATTAGCACCAATTCTGAGAGCTGCCATTTATTTTGTTTACAGTCCCTGTGCAGTTTTGGAACACTGTGTTCCCTTTCTTGTAAGGGCACAACAGCAACACGGCCATGTGGCACTGGACAGGCTCCCCACTTCATGCTAGAGTTTCCTTTGGGCTGGCATTTTTTGCAAACAGCTTTGGGGCCTCTAGCTATCTGGTACAAAGGAAAAAGCATGGGCTTTAGAGGCATTCAAACAAACCTGGGCTCACCTTCTGCTGTCGTGTGCTATGTGCTTACTTAATCTGACTCTTAGTTTGTTTTTGTTTTCTTCTGCAAAAGGGAAATAATAAAATTATAGTCTTTGTAGGAGCAATGTGAGGACTGAATAAGACAATGAGTGTAAAGCACCCATGATAGTGCCCGGCAATGTGAAACACTCCAATAAATGAAGTAATTATTTTAATAATGGCAGTTAGGGAATGTGCAATGTGCTTTTCTTTGTTGTGATTTCCAGTACCAAACTGCTCTGCCTTTGCTTAAAGAATTCAAAGACACACATAAAAATGTTTCACTGTACAAGGTTCTGCTCAATGATATGACTCTTAGCAGTAGTAACTATCTTTTCAAATGCTCTGGTGGCCTGGCAAAAAGGCTGTATTAGTGACAAGTTGGTTACTCTCTGAATTCCTGCGGCCTTTTTAACCTATCTGGAGAAAGACAAGGCACACTTCCCTGGTTTGTTAACTGTGAAGAAGCAGAAGTGAAGAGAAGTGGACCTCGTACTGATGATGACATGAACACTTACAAGAATCCAAAACAGCTGTTGTAACTCTGCAGCTCACCCTTGGCATGGCTAAAGAGGGGTGGGTGTGGCCAGATTATATGTTGTTGATATGCACAGTCATGTGCAATGGACACTCACTTTTCAATGAATATGTTTTCTACAAACTTCTTGCACACGGGAGTTACTCTATCAAGGTGAGTGTACCATGCTTACTGTTAGTGTCCTGAGAAGGCTTACTGCGGTGAGTCTCATCAGTGGGGATGAGTGGGTGGGTGTTCGCTGTGTGTGTGCCAGGCATTTACTCTAGGAGGCTGGTGGCAAGCATCCCACAGCATGGTGGTGGGGCATGCATCATATGGCACGTAGGAAGGAGAGCACAGCTTAGAATTGCATAGGCCAGGACTCCAGTCTTAGCTCGGCTGCTCATCAGCTACCTTGAAGGAGCTATCTAACCTTGCACCTCATTTTAAAATAAAAACAATAATGTCTACCTTGCAGAGCTGTTGTTACTATTATAAATAAAAACTGTACTGTATTTTGCACAGTGCCTAGTATAATGAATTAACAATAAATCATGGCTTATATTTGCCATTCCTTAAAAATAATCTAGATTTACATAGGAGAGTGATGGGGCCACAGGGCAAGCTAACTCATTATGTAAATAAACAGATCTCTGAGCAGGTCTGCTTACCTTCAGCATTGAATCCAGCCATTATATCATTAGTAGCTACTCACAGAGGAAAAAGAACACCTAGAGTTAATTACTAAGTGAAATCCTGGCCAGGGCCTAGTTCCACAGCAAATCTTCTCGACACCTGAGCCTGCCCTGGGCCCTGCATATGCTGAGGTGTTCATCTATCATTGAGCACCAGAGGAACATGCTTTCCTTTCATAAGGACCTCCCATGTTGGTTGGCCTCCTTGGTGAATGAGCACTGGAAACAGGATGAGCTGGGCAGACCTAGCCTCATCCATCTTTGCTGCATCCCCACAGGAAGGACCATCTCCCAGCTCCAAAGTACTGCTCCAAATGAATGTAATACAGATCAAGACAGCAAAGCATGGTCTTATGGACCTGCTGGGACTAGGAGCGGTTTGATCATCTGTGGAGCTATCCCACAGGCTGGGGCTGGGTAGAATCCATAGTGTAAGTGACATGGTGGCCAAAGGTTGGATGTTCATCAGGGAATTCTGCTCCCCTTCTCTGTTGCTGGGAAGTGGCTGCTCAGCCAGAGAAGATGTTTTCAAGAGACACCTGCATCTACTTAATAATTTGGGCCAGGTGACAGTTCTGGCCATGGGAAGCTAGGAGGAAGTGATGTATGACACTTCCACACCTGGCCCACAAAACGCTCCGGCCCATCCTTTGCTCTCTGATCCTATCTGTTGGCAGCAGTGCTGGGGACATGCCCGTAGGATGGCAGAGCCTGTCTCGGCATAGGCTCCACAGGATTGTCTGGCACGTCCCTCATTCTTGCCTTGCGCCAATTCCTGCATGAGTGGGAAGTGAATTTCTATTGTGTTTCATCACTGAGGTTTGGGGCTTTTGTGTGGTAGAAGCCACGTTACCTTAATTCAAGGTGATTTGTGATTCACTTTCTCCAGAATGTCAGCCCAGGCATGCTGGAGATTTGGCTCTGTAGTGACCAGATAATTGAGGGTATCTGGTAGGGGATTACCCCAGGTAAGACCAAGTTACTTTGAGCCAACACTCAGTACCTGTTGACACATTTCAGGACAAGAAGGAAGCTTGACGTTTAAAAGTTAATCCTGTGGCCTTGATGCTGAGTGAATTTATAATGCAGAATAAGCCCCAAAAAGAGACATCTATTTACTACAAATTTTTATTATTTACTTATTGTTATTATCTTTTGAGACAGGGTCTGCTTTTGTCACCTAGGCTGGAGTACAGTGGCATAATCACGACTCACTGCAGGCTTGACCTCCCTGCCTTAAATGATCCTCCCACCTCAGCCTCCTGAGTATCTGGGACTACAGGCTGGCTAATTTTTAAACTTTTTGTAGAGACAGGTTTTCACCACGTTGTCCAGGCTGGTCTCAAACTCCTGGACTCAAATGATCCACCCACCTCGGCTTCCCCAAGTGCTAGGATTACAGGCGTGAGCCATCGTGCCCAGCCTACTACAAATTTTAAAGGCTCTTTCTTGGAATTTCATTATCCAAGTAAACATTTTGGGAGTTACCTGCTCCATAATTATTTATTGATAGATTTATTTAACTGGAAAAGAAACACCAAGGCCTTTATATTCCCCATCCTAGTTTATGCAAAATTGGTTAGATGTCTTAAGCAAAGAAAAAAATAGTCCTAACAACCACTTGAATTTCTAAATGCCTTAAACAATACCTATAGGCTACTAAACTGGCCAGATAATATTACAAAATTGGCTGTGCTGTGTTTTTCATTTCAACCCTTTCTCTGTAAGGAAGGGTCCCCAGAAAAGAACAGTTCACTTTCACTTCAGTAACTGGTGGAGATTATCCTCCCTTCCTTTTTCAGACTGTCCCATAGACTTCTTGCACTGGGAAATTTGCCAAGTTCCTCACATTTTAGCCACATAAGGCAAAACTCACCGGAAACATGCATTTCCCTTCTCTTCCAGCAACAATGACTTTACCCAGAGTCACCAGGAAGTCCTGTCCACTGTCAGCTGTGCAGTATGTGTGTGTGTGTGTGTGTGTGTTTCACCCAAAATGTGGCATGAAACAGACTTACATAAAAAACAACAGAAAGGCCTTTTTGCAGCACTGCTTGGAAACCCCCATCCTGCTTGATAAGCCTTCTTCGCTGTGTTGCCCCTGCAGGGGCCACTCCTGCCTAAGCTGGGTGGTGGTCCCCCACCTCACCTGTGGGCAGCTCATCCTGGAGGACACAGCATGGGTGAGGGGGTGCCTATTCTCAGTTGTCCCTAGGCACAAAAATTCTGCTACTTTTCTTTTTTAGGAAAGTGATTCCCTTCCAGAAAATATTTTTTTCTTGCTTCAAGTAGAATACTTTTTTTTTTTTTTTTTTAAATACAGGGTCTCACTGTGTCACCCCGGCTGGAGTGTAGTGGCACCATCACGGCTCACTGCAGCCTTGGCCTCCTCAGGCTCAAGTGATCCTCCTTTCTCAGCCTCCTGAGTAGCTGGGGCTATAGGTGAGCACAACCACTCTCAGTTAATTTTTGTATTTTTTGTAGAGATGGGGTTTTGCCGTGTTGCCCAGGCTGGTCTTGAACTCCTGGACTCAAGCGATCTACCCACTTCGACCTCACAAAATGAGGGCTTACAGGTGTGAGCCACTGCACCCGGCCAGCACTCTCAGAATTGATCCTTGTCATGTTCCTCTCACCCATCACTGTAGCTGAAGCCCTGGAGAAGCCACTGATTACCCTCTAATCGTCCTAGGTGTTGGTTTCTCTGTTAACATAATGTCTATAATCGGAACTCTTAACCAGGAAAACTTCCCAAACAATATAAATTCAGTGAAAATATGTGCACTGCTCATACCTGGTTCCCCCGGTACTGTTGCTGCATAAGAAGTCACCCCTTAATTTAGTGGTTTAAAAAGATCATCTTATTTATGCTCTCAGAGTCTGTGGGTTTGGAATTTATTTTATTTTATTTAATTAATTAATTAATTAATTATTTAAGATGGAGTCTCACTCTGTCACCCAGGCTGGAGTGCAATGGCACGATCTCCGCTCACTGCAACCTCTGCCTCCTGGGTTCAAGCGATTTTCCTGCCTCAGCCTCTTGAGTAGCTGAGATTACAGGCAAGTGCCACCATGCCCGGCTAATTTTTTTCTATTTTTAGTAGAGACGGGGTTTCACCATATTGGTCAGGCTGGTCTTGCACTCTTGACCTCGTGATCCGCCTGCCTCAGCCTCCCAAAGTGCTGGGATTACAGGCATGAGCCACCACACCTGGCGGGTTTGGAATTTAGACAGCAGGAGTGGCTTGTCTCTGCTGCATGACAGCTGGGGCTGTGACCACTGTGGGTAACGCAGCAGCTGGGGTGTATTATGGTCTAACGGCTCCTTTCCTTATATGTCTAACCCTGGCCTGGAGCACTGGAGGATGAGGTCCGCTGACTGCAGCGTCCATCCTGGTCCTCCCCAGGCACTGTGGCCTCCCTCACAGCATGGCTGCCTTGGGTACTCGGACTTCACGTGGAAGGCCAGGGCTCCGAGAGCAAATGCCCCAGCAAGACAGAAGCTCAGCCGCCTTTGATGACCTAGAAGCTAGGCAGCATCCATTGTACTGCCTTCTATGGGTTGTGAGTGAGTCCCAAACCTGCCTTGACTCAAGGAAACGGAATTAGGCTCTACGTCTTGACTAGGTAGTGGCGAAGTTCTGGAAGCACATGAGTAGGAGATACTGTGACGGTTTCATCTTTGGAAAATACCATCTAGCACACCTGAATCTGCTTTCAGGGGGTGTAAGGGGATTTCCATGGCAAAATTTGAAGCCACATGTGGTCACTGCTTTGTACTGAGGAAACAAAGTGCTCTGGGCATCCAGAAAGGGGGTACGTTTTTTCTTACTGGGATAAATCTGGCTGCATTTTAGCTAATCCTGGAAAATTGATCGACAAAAGCAAAGGACCAAGAAAGCTGCTTATATCAGTGTCTCCTCCACCCTCAGCCTCCAGTAGCATCCCTACGTTTTACAATTTTATTTATGTCACTTTAAATAAGGTAAGCTCTCCTTTGCTGTTCTGGTGTATTTAGACATACACGTATTTTGCTGTCTTGGGTTCTCGTGATAATACTCTTACATCTTTGCACGCTTCATTTTGACCCCTTCCTACTACTTTGATTTTCCCATGACTTTATTCAAAATTTGGAGAGAATAACCCACTCGGCTCTCTTCTCCCTGGTTGCTTTCTCCACTCATTCTAGCTACCTCTGCTCCATAAAATTATGCTCAATCAAGTATCACATTATTTTTATCTTTAGTTGTATGTGTCGTTCCTGTGTCAAAGAGCTTACCCTGTGGGTGCTGTCCAGCCATCTTGAACATTTTGCAAGGCAAATTTATTTATTTATTTATTTATTTTGAGACATGGTCTCACTGTGTCACCCAGGCTGGAGTGCAGTGGTGTGATCATGGCTCACTGCAGCCTCTAACTTCTGGGCTCAAGCAATCCTCCCACCTTAGCCTCCCAAGTAGCCGGGACTTCAGGCAGGCACCGCCATGCCCAGCTAAGTTTTTAAATTTTTTTCTAGAGACGAGGTCTCACTATGCTGCCCAGGGTGGTCTTGGGCTTCTGGGCTCAAGTAATCCTCTTGCTCTGGCCTCTTAAAATGCTGGGATTACAGGCGAGGGCCACCGTGCCCGACCTGGCAAATTTATTGAAAATTGGGGCAATATTGAATCATCTTTGTATCCCACTGACTAGCAAGAAGGTAAGATACCATGGCTGGCTCAACACAGCTACTACCTAGAAATACACTTCTGTGTTATTCAAACCAGGAGTCAGGAAGGAAAACTAATTGAAAAATACCTTCTGAGTATCTGAATTGGGCAATTGCTATGGGGAACAGAATGACAAAGAAGCAGTACCCCACTCCCCAGAGGAGCTTCCCATCTGCTGGGGGTGCCAAAGCATGAACACATAGAAAGGTGAATAACCACAGCGTGGCAGGCAGGATAATGACACCCCTAAAATGTCCACATCCTGATCCCCGGACCTGTGAGCATTAGCTTACATGACAAAAGGGATTTCGCAGATGAGATTAAGTTAAAGATCTGAGATGGGAAGATGAGTCTAGACTATCCAGGTGGGCCCAGTGTAGTCACAGGGTCCTGATAAGTGGACAAAAGAGTCAAGATAGTTGGAGTTAATGCGAGTTAAGACCGGACATGGCTCTCTTTGGAAGACGAGAGGGGCCTTGAACCAAGGAGTGAGAGCATCTCTAGAAGCTGGCCAAGGCGGGAGGGAACACAGCCCTGTCTACACCCTGATTTTAGTCCAGTGAGACCTAACTTGGACTTCTGACCTTCAGACTGTAGGATAACACAGTTGGGTTGTTTTAAGCCACTAAGCTTGTGGAAATTTGCTATAGTAGCATTTGGAAACTAATACAAATAGCAAAGTTAAATGAGATAAGAATCCAGAAAAAAAGTGTCATAGGTCAATAAGCCAGAAATCGCCGCATACTGGAGCTTCTACTGCAATCTCATACGTTCATCCGCCTCATCGCCCATGAAAACTCTCGTTTCTGGAAAACGAAGGGTGAAAAATAATTAGCTCATGGGAAAAGTAGAGGTGGGCAGACCATTCAAAACTTAACGGAACTTATAACCAGAGCCTTGTTACTATTACCAAGAACAGTAACGATGCTAGTTGAAATATCAGTATAATCGATACAGTTAAATCTCCACTGGCGTCACATCTCCCTCCCACCGTACATCCTTTGCAGTTTTATACCCTGGGCTTCTGATTTCCTCCTTGCAAATGAAGTGTTCTTTTTTTTTTCAACTTTTATTTTAGAATTAGGGGGTACGTGGGCAAGTTTATTACAAAGCTGTAATTTCATGATGCTGAGGTTTGGAGCACACATGAATCTGTCACCCAGGTAGTGAGCATAGTACCCAATAGATAGTAGTTTTTAACCCTTAACCCCCTCTCCTTCTCCTGCTTTTTGTATTCCCCAGTATCTACTGTTCCCATTTTTTGACCATGTGTACCCAATGTTTAGCTCCCACTTACAAGTGAAAACATGCGATATTTGGTTTTCTGTTTCTGAGTTAATTAACTTAGAATAATGTCCTCCAGTGCATCCATGTTGCTGCAAAGGATGTGATCTCATTCTTTTTTATGGCTGCGTAGTATTCCACAGTGTATATGTGCCACATTTTCTTTATGACATTTCTTTCTGAGACCGACCTGCTTCATTAAAATAAAAAATACAACCTGAAGGTAGCCTGTTTGGCCAAGCATTTCTTTTTAAACACCGGGGGATACGTCTTTGCAGATTCTTCATCTTCATTTGCAACTTTCCCAGATTAAAAAAAAAAAGTCCAGTTTAAAAGTATAAAGCACTCATGGAAGACACTTCTGCTGGTAGTCCGATTTTTTTCTTAAAGTTTTCAAACAGTGCTAAAGTTTTCTATTTAATTCTGAAAACCCTACTGCTCATGGCCTCAAAATATTAATCTGCTTGGAAAAACTGATGAACAGCAAACTGTAATTGGTAGATGCCATGAGGGCTGTTGGTTTAAATGAGGGTGGGAGCAGGTTGGGGAGGCCTCTTGCTGGAGGTGGGCTCAAGCTGAGCCTGGAGAATGAGTCAGACGGGAGCTTACAGCATCACTTTCCAGGTGGAAGGAGGAAAATATGGTGCCCGATCCAACATGGGGTGTCCCTGGTGGGCTTTGTTTGGCTCAGACACCCCAGTTGGTGTAGTCCTATTGGCCAGAGCAGCCGCTCTCCCACACCCACAGCTGCTGTTGGTCCTGGGCTTGGGCCTGGAGAAGCCCCTCTTCAGGAGGCTGGGCCAGCCCTATTCTCACACCTAGAGATAGCGCAGCTCCCTCTCTTGGCGTTCAAGCCTCTTGGCCCCTAATTCCCCCTTCAAAGCAGCCTCCTGAGCTTTTGAGGGATTGTCACTCTTGGAGGAAATAAAAACGTAGAAAAATATAGCAGAGCACTCTAGGGAATATGTACTTTCTCAACTTTTCTAGCCACCATCCTTTAAGCAATTATAATGCTTCCGGCTATCACAGGACATTGAGAGGGAAAAGGCCTCATCGACATACCAACTACAGGCCAGGTGGACCTTCGGTGCACACACACCCCAGCGCCCACAGAGATCCAGGCCTCCTGTGTATGAATGTGTGCCATGAATTTAGACCTATTTCTCGCCTTCCGGGCTCTCTATTCCTCATCCTCCATCCAAGTGGCCATCTTGTGCAGGTAATTCTTTTCTCTCCCCTCACCCTTTCCCCCTGCTTCTCCCTACTCTCCCTCCCCCTGTTTCTCTCTGAGTCTCTTTCCCCCTTCTGCCTTCCAGTGCATCCTCTGCAATTTGAGGTGACCCTCTTCTCCAGCTGCTGCTGCAGAACCCCAAGTGTGGTCCCCACACCCCCTCACGGTACACTTCAGCAGGAAGGTGCTTCTGCGTCCCCCTGTCCTCATCCTCCACTGCAGCTGTCCTGCTTCATCTCTTCCTCCTGGACTCAGGTTGGCCTTGGGCCCTGCTCCAAAAGGAGCACATTCACCACAGCTTCAGACTTCCTCCTGCTGCCGCTGCTCCTCGGAAGCAAACCTGGTGACTGCTGATGTCCAGGCCTAGACCATGCCTGGCAGAGCAGCCATGGGGTGGAGAAACAAGTCCTCAAGAGGGCTGCGAGGAGAGGCACAGAGACGGTCAGGGAAACTGAGGTCACACAACTGGGAATAAGAAGGTGGGGTGCTGGGGGGCTTGTCAATGTGGTTCTTCCACAGAGGATGGAAAGCCCCTTCATTTCTGCCCAAGAAAGTATCTTCAGCATTCACCGAAATCTCCCCAAGAGGGAAGCGCCGCAGGAAGGGGAACTAGGAAGGAAATACAAGCTGGTGCTTACTCCATCCCCGTCACAAAGAGGCTCAGAGAGAGACTTGGGAACGATATGCATATGCAATTTTTTAAATCACTCATTCAAGAAATAATAATGAAAAATGAGTTATAGGCAATGGATTAGTAAGTGCTGATCAGATTGACTATGTAAGTGAATTACATTCAAATTACATGTGAAGGAGCTCTATCAAGGGCAATTATGGGTCCTTCGAGAGGCTTTAAAAAGAGGAGGGATGAAACTTGGTTAAAATGGGGGCTCGTTAAAGGCAAGAGGAGTACAGAATGGTTGAGGTAACTTTCTCTGTGCCCCACTGTCAGCCCTGCTCTGCCAAGCAGGCTTGCAGGTGGGGATATTTGCTTGCTCTGGGTTCAGCAAGTCCTTGTGCTGCCTTGCCTAACCTGCTTCCGAGGTATCGGGTTTTAAGCTGGTGTGGCAAGAATGATATTGGCCTTTGTGTTCTAAAGGAGTGGCATGAAGCACAGTGGACCTTGATCTTCAATTGACGCCACAGTCTCCCTAATCCACTGATCTCCAATCATCCCACTAGATTAGCCACCCTATCAGGCAGTATTTTTCCATGTCCCATGTGCTCAAGGACGAAGCTTTAAAAGCAAGCTTGGAAGCTTATGCGATGCAGTACAGTGTCGGGGGTTGGCAGGGGAGAGAAAAGCAAAGGACTTACATTTGTTTTAGAAATTGCTGCCAAAAGATAAGCTTGTCTGTGCAACTATATGACTTCTGACACTGAGGCAGGGAGGATTGTGAAACCAGGATAGACAGAATTTCAGCCAGCAAATAAGTACACGTTCACTTTAGCCAGGGGGTGGGGTGGGGAGGCGGCTGGGAAGGGACTGAGTTTATGAAGAGGCCTAGAGTAATAGTTTCTGAAGCATTACTTATCTAGTGCTAGGCGGCAGAGTTCATTTTGTTTGTATGCGGTGATTACTTGCAGTCTACATGCAGAAAACCAGTTTATCTAATGAAGCGCAGGACTACAAATAGAGGTTTCTTAATAGAACCAGGCGACTGCCATGGGCCTCACCCTGACCGCTGGGTCACAGAGCCTTACCATCGGGGACTAGGCTTTGGGAGGCACTGAGGCAAGTTGGAGAATTAGAAAAGGAGTCAGCCATGAGTTATGTCCTGGCTATTACCGAGAGATAATCTAAAAAATGAAAATAAAGCTGCATATCAGGAGTTGGAAGCAATGTTTTACTGAAGGGCAGTCCGGAGACATGCATTTTGTTTCCAGGTGTTCAAATGCACTTCCTCTTGCTGAGGGGGCCCGAAAGCCTCCCGCTGGCTGCTCTGGGTCCCAGGTGCGTCCAGACGTTGCCAGACACACCTCTGTCAGGTGAGGCAGGCTCCAAGGGAGGAGGCCTTGGCTTTGTTAATTTTGCAGAAGAGCAGGGACTTTCATGACAATTTTTTTGATCTAATGACAAGCTATTTCCTCTACCATTAGTGTCCCGAAGGGCAAATTCTAAAGCCAAGGCCATTTGATAAAGCCTGGGGAATTTATTGCAAGGCAGATGGACACAGCAGCAGCACATAAGAGCACACGCGTGGGGCTCCAGCCCGGCCACGGGGAGACCTTTTCTCAGCAAAGGGCAGCACTGCTCGCTTTGCTGGGGCAGCCCTCCCAGGAAGATCCCAGAAGAGATGGTCTGAGGTGTGTGAACACTGTGAATGTCATGGACAAAGCTCAGCGTGGGACCCCATGGGACTTCAGGTTATTAAGATGTAAATGTTGGCCAAAAGCTTATGTGTGAATTTTATTTTTAAGTTGTGACTTCCTTCCTCTCTGCCTGGGCCAGTGCACAAGCAGGAGGAGGGAGAGTCGGTATTACTCTGCAAGAGCTGTTTCTCCAGGTTTCTGGGTGTGTTCTTGAGTGAATAGAAATCTGACACCACTGAGAATTCACTGACAAAGGCTTTCCGTCTGCAAGGCAGTGTGTCACGCACTGGCCCTGACCAATCCCATTTGGAGCTGAAGACTCCAGAACATGGCGGAAGGTCATTTCTGCAGCAGTGTTAGCTGTTCCACAGCTCAAAGAGGAACTAAAATTAAAGACAGGAAAGCAACATTGTGAAAATGCCTATGGCAGCCACTGAGAGTTACAAAACAGCCTCAACTATCTCCTAAGAAATGATCACTGGGGATGCATGTTTTCAAACTCTCATTGGATGCCCTGTATGCACCTGTTGTAAAGTCGAGAAATCACACCAGCACCAGCACTGCTTTCCTGATCACCTGTTGAAAATGTAATGGACACGAAATACCAAAAACGGGATTAAATTCCCCACCAAGAGGACATCCTTTTCGTGTCAGCGGCTTCCCAGTAGCAGTTTTTCACAAAATCGTGTTTAAAAACATTTTTCTATAGGCAATATTCACCTAGAATGGAAAACGTGGCTAGAATAGCTTATTTTATGATCTTAGATTTTCTCTGTGTTGGTGTGTCTCTCCTCCCATTTCTGAGTTCTGTTTGGCTTAAATGTGTAATGATCTGACCACTGAGCTTTGTCACAGAACTAGGGTAGGAGGACAAAATATTGAGTTAGGAGAAGTTTTCAACCAGCAATTTCCCAATAGTACATGATTTCCTTTTTTGTCTTCTTTTTCTTCTTCAGAGGAGAGCAGGGTACATTCTGGAGTGAGGACATGACTACAAGTTGTAGGCAGGAAATACTGTTTCATGACACCAAATTTTAAAAGAAAGAGACTTTAGAAAATGGTCATATTTTGGCCGGGCACAGTGGCTCATGCCTGTGATCCCAGCACTTTGGGAGGCCGAGGTGGGAGGATCACTTGAGGTCAGGAGTTTGAGACCAGAGACATGGTGAAACCTCGTCTCTATTAAAAATACAAAAAATTAGCCAGGCATGGTGGTGCACACCTGTAATCCCAGCTACTTGGAAGGCTGAGGCAGGAGAATCGTTTGAACCCGGGAGGCGGAGGTTGCAGTGAGTTGAGGTTGCAGTGAATTGAGATTGCGCCACTGCACTCCAGCCTGGGTGACACAGCAAGACTATGTCTCAAATAATAATAATAATAATAAAATAAAAAAGAAAATGGTCATATATTTATAGTCTACTTTTTATATTTTGTTAGATGTCACTAACTACTTAATGCTTTTTAGTTATTTAAAATGTTGCTCACAAATCCCAGTGTAAGCCCACGAAGTTGACCTCAGTGATTACACTTTTCCTAAAACCCTGGGGATTTTGTTTTAAAAGGTTAATGTGTTTTTTCAGTTAGTGGGAAGATAATTATGGACCCTCTCCTGGGTGTAAGTGATGTAAAGGGTCTTCGGGGATATGAATTAAAGAGTAGGCTCTGGCCCTGACCTCTGTATTGAGGAGGGAGGCCTCCTGAGAAGGGAGTCCTTGCTTGTGCTGAAAGGAGCTTTTGCTACATGGGGTCCCACAGGTTTAGGTGCAGGCAGGAGGAGCGGCAGCAAGAGGGCCCACTGTGGGCCCAGAAACATTTGGCTGGGACCTCAGCCTTGTTGTACCTTGTTCTAGGGGAAAAATAAAAGCGGCTCAAGCCTTTCTTAACCCCTGGGAGACACTGGCAGGGAAGAGGCCACAAAGAGCAAGACAGCTGTGACAAGTGCACAGTCACCCCAGGCCCCAAGGCTCTCCTGTTTCCACACACTGTGTCCAAACCAATCATCCAGCTCTTGGCCTGCTCTGCCCAGCCCTCTTCCTGACCTTCAATGCTTACATCTCCACTCCCAAAATAGATCAGGAAGCTGCTGATGCCACAGAAAGATCTGGCTTTGGAATAAGTAAGCCCGGGTTCAAATCCCCTGCCTGTACACATTTATAACATTCGACTTTATGTTCCTACCCTGTAAAATGGGAACACCAGGACCTATGATTCAGGGTGCTGGGGAGGTCTAAAGTAGGTAACATATGTCAGACACATAGCACAATGCCTGGCGCATGACAGCTGATCAGTGAAGGTTATTTGTCCCTCCTGCTTGTCCTAGGAGGAGCTAGTGCCGGGATTCGCCTCAGGGGCATGTGGGTGTCAGAGACAGGGCATTGCGTCCTGGCTAGGTGGCTTGCCAGATGCAAGATCATCTGTTTTCCTGTTTCTAAAAAGGAGATAATGTCATAAGGTTACTGTCAGGATTAAAATGAAAAGTGATAGAGCATGCCTGTCCCATCATAGGAACTTGATACCTGTTGGTTTCTGTCTTTAAACTTCTTTGAAATATGCCATCCCTCATCCCTGTGATGGCCTCACAGGCAGCTGCATCCCTTGAACCCTGTACTGGACCACTGGCCACCCCTGCATCTGCCCCTACCTCTGCCTCATGCAACTGTCACTGCCATAGGAGGGGCCTACCAGGCACTGGGCGACTCAGCCAGGTGCGGAGGCAGACACGAGGCTCCATGGCAAGGCTGTGGGACTGTCCCTGGCAAAACAAGCCTCCCTTCACTTTCTGTCTTTATGACTACCCTCGCTGTTCTGTCACTTGATTTTACCTGAGGATCCAATTCTGGGGTAGGAACAAAGTTTCCTCCTGAGCTCTGACCATGCTCTGAGTTGGAAATCCGAAATACTGAAGGATTTCCAATTCACAGCAGCTCTATTTTGGATTTTGATTTATTTGTTGGAGTGGTTCTGAGCTATCACAGCCTCCCACTCGCCCCCTCCTCAGGGCTGTTCTTGGAGAGAGCAGCATGATTTCAGCCCATGAAGGAACAATCAGGCTCAATAAACCTAAGAGAAAATCGAAGAATAATCTAATGTTCTCAGTGCTCAGGTCTAAAGAGGAAGTGACCTCATTTCATAAGGGACAGCCATTGCTAGTTTAATAGAATAGCCTTTTGCATTATCACAGATGTAGCAGACTAGGTGTGTAATCATAGATAAAATAAAAAATCGTAGACAATTTTGAAGAAAAACCAGGAGCATCTTTTGAGATTACTTAAGGGAATACAAGGAATCTATGTATCCCTTTGCGTAAGATGTCCCATGCAATATATCCAGCCCCTTGGGTATTTAATGAAGCACTTTCAAGAGGATAAGAGGCAGGAGACCGGAAAGACTCCACTGGTGTTCTGCAAAGTGGAGTGTGAAACGCAAAGGTTTTTTTTTTTTTTTCCAGAATTTACACATCCAATGCCAAACCTAAGGAGGAAAGGAGTAAATGGCCAGAAGGAATAGGGATTTGATTGCCAGATGGTTAAATGTGGTGTGACAGTATTCCATTAAGAATTTTGAAACATTCAACATACATTCACTTTGCTTCAACGAGACCCAAACGGAAAGCATCTAGAGAGGCACACACGCAGCGGCGCTCTGCGAAACGTCTGTGTTTCACATGGTACTGCCTGTTTGCCTGTCGGCTCTCAATGCCACCCCACTCTCCCTGCCCTTCTCTGTAGGAGCTGGAAGCCTGCAAACTACATTTCCCAGAATCCCCAGCCAGCTTGCTTCCCAGTAGCCTCTGCCAATGGGAGACACTGGTGGGAGCTTGGAAGGAGGGTAGAAGGGAGAAAGAAGCTGATTTTATTTCTCCTTCTGTTGAAGTCTCTGGCAGTGGCAGCAGTAGCAGCAGTGGCAGCAGCTGCGGCAATAGCAGTAGCAGCGGCAGTAGGTGACTGAGTTTCTGCTCAGGTGGAGTTTCAACAGCAGTGGGGGCAGGGAGTGCTCTCGCAGCCTCTGCAGCAGGGCGTTCCTGGGCTCTGGATCTGGCAGCATCAGTGTCCGTGACAGGCAGCCCTTGGTGGGAGTTTAATTTCTCGGCTTCCTGAAAGATTTCCAATAACGGCCGTGGAGCAGCAAGTATCACAGCAGCTTCAGCCACCGAGCAATCACCGACTCTTTGTGGATCACACCATATTTCCTTTTGTTCAGCCAGCCTTAGGACGGTAGTAGTAGCTTCCTGCAGTTACTGGTCTCTGAATGATCTCAGCTCTCCCCTTTTATTCTCCTCCAGCTCTTCAACACATTTGCAGCCCATTTCCTAGGTTAACTTTCTTCTACTTGAAATTCCTAGGGTAGTTTCCGTTCTGCTGACTGGACACTGTCCAGTATACACGTTTATAAGGTAAACGCGAATTTTAAGGCAAATCAAATACAATCTCATTTTAATTCCTTACCCCAGCTGCATTTGTGGGCTTACAAAAGGAAAGAGTAAGCGAGTCTTTCTCCCAAAAGTTTGACAACAAAACTCAGTTCCTTGTCACATACCCTGCAGCCTCCACCAAAGAGGTCACCATGACAAGTATTCTTGAGCAAGAGACTTTCTTTTGAGAGATCTCTGTTCATAACCATAATGACATTAATAGTAGGTACCCGTTCAATAAGTGTCTTTTATATATTGGGCATTTCAAATACATTATTTCATTTAATTATCAGTTATAATAATTATCTATCTATCTATCTATCTATCTATCTATCTATCTATCTATCTATAGACAGGGTCTTGCTGTGTCACCCAGGCTGGAGTGCAGTGGCAAGATCTCAGCTCACTGCAGCCTTGACTCCCCAGGCCCAAGTGATCCTCCTACCTCAGCCTCCTGAGTAGCTGGGACTACAGGCATGTGCCACCACCATGCCCAGCTAATTTTTGTATTTTTTTGTAGAGATGGGGTTTCGCCATATTGCCCAGGCTGGTCTTGAACTCCTAGGCAGAATCGATCCACCTGTCTCAGCCTCCCAAAGTGTTGGGATTTCAGGCATGAGTCACTGCACCCAGCTTACTTGGCTTTTATTAGCAATTCATAAACTGGGCAGCACCTAGTTGATAAAATAGACAAGAGCTCCACTGGGAATGGCAGAACAGTAAGATTCTGTAAGGTAGTTTGAGCAGGAACAAGGAAACAGCATAGTACAAAAAGCATATTGGTTAATATCCGCTTACTTGGTTACTTCTGGTTATCTTGGTTACTTCAGGTTGCTTTCATTGTGTGGATTAAAACAGAGGGAACTTGCTTTATCATGCCACTCAGGTTGACTGGACTCCTTTTTTTTTTTTTCTTTTTGGCAACCTGGCCTGTTTTGGGATTTTACTGCTTTTTAAAGTTTTAGTTTGATTACGTGGCACTTAACATGAGTGACTCCATTTGGGTTGGCCTGTTGGGGCCCAGTGCAGGAATTCAGTCCAAAACAATGGTCTCTCCCAAGTTTTATTTAACAGTGGCTACGCACCCCTCTCTTTTTAGCATGCATACCTTTTGCCATGTGACTAAGCCATCCTTCCTACCCGGTGTCACAGTCTATTTCTTCACTCCCCAGAATTTAAGATGGTCTTGTGAATTACTCTGGCTTACAAAATGAGCCAGAAGAGGTATGTGAGTTCCAGAGGCCAGACTCAAGGGGTCTGGCAAATTCTGCCTTCACCCACTTGGAACATTGTCCTTTAAAGGCCCTGAAAGCAGCAGATCTCACCTGCATTGGAGGATGAGACGCCACATGAAGAAGAAAGAAGACGCCACAGACAGCAGCGCAGTACCACCTTCCAGAGATGTGAGTGTGACCGTCTTTGACCTTCTAGCCCAGCTGCTTTCCCTGAATGCAATGCATGAGCAGGCCAGGCAAAACTAGAGAGGGAAGCTGCCCAGCTAACCCACAGAATTATGAGAGATAAAAAATCATTGTCTTAAGCCACTAAGTCTGTTATGCAGCAATATATAGCATTCATTCAACTTTTGTCTCATGAATACTCTCATTTCTTTTATAAGTTCTTTTGTGGTTCAAATTAGCTCAAATCAGTTTCTGATGCTTATGACCAAATGCCCCTATGTGATAGATTTTGAGGGGTTAAGAAGCTTGCTCGGATCACACAGCGGTAAGTAGCAGCACTTCATCTTTAACCCACCTCTGGCCCACTCCCTTTCCATAGGTCCTTGTTGCCTCCCTCCCTAATCCCTTCCAGTCTAGTTTCCTCACTCATTTTAGCATCTTGAAGATGCCTGACCTTTTGTAACAGGCACTTAGAAGAGGCAATAATCAAGCTGTGAGCTGGAATACTGGGTTTCTCATCCAATAACCAGGTTGGCAGGTTGGTAACCATACAAGGGACTTTTCAAACTGGAGAATTAGTGTGCTGAGCACAAAGTGGTGAGTATTTTGAGAGTTACTGAAATATAATTGACATAACAATAAAAATACAATATTTAAGTGCATGTATTTCAAGTGTACGATTTGACAAGTTTGGTTATATTATATACACCTACGAAACCATCACCACAATTAAGAAAATGAGCATAGCTATCACACACAAAAGTTTCCTTGTGCCCCTTGGTAATTCCTCCCTCTCTCCTGCCCACATCTCTCCTTTTCCCAGGCAATCCCTGATCTGATTTCTGCCGCTATCAATTCGTTTGCATTTCCTAGAATTTTAAATAACTGAAAACATACATTAAGAACTCTTTTTCTCTGGCCGAGTATGGTGGCTCACGCCTGTAATCCCAGCACTTTGGGTGGCCAAGGCGGGCAGATCACCTGAGGTCAGGAGTTCGAGACCACCCTGGCCAACGTGGTGAAACCCTGTCTCTACTAAACATACAAAAATTAGCCAGGCATGGTAATGGGCATCTGTAATCCCAGCTACTCGCGAGGCTGAGGCAGGAGAATTGCTTGAACCTGGGAGACAGAGGTTGCAGTGGGCTGAGATCACGCCACTGCACTCCAGCATGGACAACAGAGCGAGACTCCGTCCCCAAAAAAGAAAAAAAAAAAGAACTTTTTTTTCTCCAGCTTCTCCCACTTAGCATAATTATGTTGAGATTCAGCCATGTTTTCCTGTGGATCAATAATTTATTTCTTTATATTGCCAAGTGGTATTCCATCGTATGTATATACCATAGTTTGTTTATCCATTCAACCACTGAAAGACATTAGGGTTGTTTTCTGTTTTGGGTTAATAAAACAAAGCTTCTGTGAACATTTATCTACAAGTCTTTGTGTGGATATAAGTTTCCATTTCTCTTAGGTAAATATCTAGGGTCATAAAATAAGTATATACCTAAATTTTGAAGAAACTACCAAACTATTTTACAAAATGGTTGTATTATTTTACCTTTTTGCCAGCCATATATGAGAGTGTCAATTCCTTCACATTCTTGTCAAAACTTGATGTGTTCAGTCTTTTTAATTTTGACCATTCTAAAAGCATGTAATGGGGCCGGGCACAGTGGCTCACACCTGTAATCCCAGCACTTTGGGAGGCCGAGGCGGGCAGATCACGAGGTCAGGAGATCGAGACCATCCTGGCTAACATGGTGAATAATACTAAAAATACAAAAAATTAGCCGGGCATGGTGGTGGATGCCTGTAGTCCCAGGTACTCAGGCGGCTGAGGCAGGAGAATGGCCTGAACCCAGGAGGCAGAGCTTGCAGTGAGCTGAGATTGCGACACTGCACTCCAGCCTAGGTGACAGAGCGAGACTCTATCTAAAAAAACAAAACAAAAATGAAAAAAAAAAACACACAAAAACATGTAATGGTATCCCATTGTGGTTTTAACTCACATTACTGTCAGAGGCATTGGAACCAGAGTGACTCCATCTTGAGCAGAGGCTAGATAAAATAAAGCTGAGACCTTCTGGGCTGCATTCCCAGGAGGTTAGGCATTCTTAGTCACAAGATGAGATAGGAAGTTGGCACAAGTTACAGGTCACAAAGACCTTGCTGATAAAACTGGATGCAGTAAAGAAGCTGGCCAAAACCCACCAAAACTAAGATAGTGATGAAAGTGACCTCTGGTTGTCCTTACTGCTCATTATATGCTAATTATAATGCATTAGCATGCTAAAAGACACTCCCACCAGTGCCATAACAGTTTACCAGTGCCATGGCAACATCAGGAAGTTACCCTATATGGCCTGAAAAGGGGAGGAACCCTCAGTTCCAGGAATTGCCCACCTCTTTCCTAGAAAACTCATGAATAAGTCACCCCTTGTTTAGCATAAAATCAAGAAGTAACAATAAGTATAAGCAGCTGAGCGGCCCATGCTGCTGCTCTGTCTATGGAGCAGCCATTCCTTTATTCCTTCACTTTCTTTGTTTTTTGTTTTTTGTTTTGTTTTTTTGTTTGTTTTGAGACAGAGTCTCACTGTGACACCTAGTTTGGACTGCAATGGCGCGATCTTGGCTCACTGAAACCTCCGCTTCCCAGGTTCAAACGATTCTCCTGCCTCAGCCTTCCGAGTAGCTGGGACTACAGGTGTGCACCACCATGCCTGGCTAATTTTTGTAGTTTTAGTAGAAATGAGGTTTCGCCATATTGGCCAGGCTGTTCTTGAACTCCTGACCTTAAGTGATCTGCCTGCTTTGGCCTCCCAATGTGCTGGGATTACAGGCTTCAACCACTGAGCCTGGCCTACTCCTTTGCTATCTTAATAAACTTGGTTTCAGCTTACTTTATGGACTCGCCCTAAATTCTTTCTTGTGCAAGGTCCAAGAACCTTCTCTTGGGGTCTGCATCAGGACCCCTTTCTGCCCTTTCTGGTAACAGTACCATAATAACAAATATTATCGAGCATATTTTCATGTAATTATTTGCAACTTGTATATCTTCTTTGGTAGAGTGTCTGTTAGAATATTTTGTCTATCTAAAAATTGGGTTTGTTTTCTTATTATTGAATTTTGAGAGTGTGTTATATGTTCTGGACACAAGCCCTTTATCAGAGATATGGTTTGCAAATATTTTCTTCTAGTCTGTGACTTTTCTCTCTTAACAATGTCTTTTGAAGAGCAGGTGTTTTAAATTTTGATGAAGTCAGATGTATCAATTTATGATTTTAATAAATCATGCTTTTAGCATAGTATTTAAGATACTTAACCCAAGGTCACAAGAGTTTTCTTTTAGAAGTTTTAGTTTTAGGTTTTGCATTTAGGTATATGATCCATTTTGAGTTAGTTTATATACATTGTGCAAGGTAAGGACTGAGGTTTTTAATTTTTGCATATAGATTACCACTTGTGCCAACCTCACTGTTGTGATGATATGATAGAAATCACTGTCTTTTCTCCACTGACTTGCTTTTGCATCTTTGTAAAAAGTTGGTCATGCCAATGAAACTGACCCAATTTTCCCATAGAACTGATGGGAAAAACTGTTTACAGTTTTGTTGTTGTTTTTTGTTTTTGTTTTTGTTTTTAATGAACATTGAAGTGGACTCTCCAGGTTTTAAAGCTTGAGAAACTTACATTTGTCTTATCTGAGTTTATTTCTCAGGAAACCAGCTGTCAGGCCTCCCAGATAGTATCAGAAAGCTGAAGATTTCCAGATCGCTGCATCCTAACAGCAAGGTGCCAGAACCCTGATTCAACTACCTACTGCCTGTTGAGCAACTCCTACATAAACTCCTAACTTTATTGGTTACAGAGACAGATTTTAGACTTGTCTCCCATATCCTGGCTGGCATCACCAGCAATAAAGCCTTTCTTCCTGGCAGTACTTGTTGTCTCAGTGATTGGCTTTCTGTGTGGTGAGCAATCAGACCTAAGCTGAATCCCTGGCATTCACCAACACATAAATGTGCAGTTCTGTTTCTGGACTCTCTCTTCTGCTTCATTGATCTGTTTTTCTAACTTTATGCCAAAATTGCACTAGTTTGATTACTGTTCCTTTATAATAAGCTTTGAAATAATGTCATATTAGGCCTCCAACTTTGTTCTTCTTTTTGAAAACTGTTTTGGCTATTTTAGGTCCTTGCATTTCCATAAAAGTATTAGAATCAGCTTATCAATTTCTCCAAAAAAAAAAAAAAAAGCCTACTGAGATTTTGATTGGGATTGCACTGGATTTATAGACCATTTTGGGGAGAACTGACATCTTAACAATATTGAGTCTTCCTCCCATGAACAAAGTATATTTCTTTATTTGTTTAGGTCTTCTTTAATTTTTCTCAACGATGTTGTATGGTTTTCAGTATATAGATCTTTCAGAGTTTTGTCAGATTAATTCTTAAGTATTTAATATTTTTGACCTAATTGTAAAAGGTATTATTTCTTTCCGTTTCAATTGCCAATGGGTTATTGCTAATATATAGAAATGCAATTGATTTTGCCTATAACTTTGCTAATAGTTCTAGTAGCTTTTTCATGTGAATTCCATTGGCTAGTCTACATAGCTCACTGACGCTCTGTTCATTAAAAGAATTTTTTCCCTCTGAGTTTCCTTTTAGGTAGCGTCTTTTGCTATGATTTCAATTTCACTTTTTTCCCCTTCTTCAATAGCTAATCTGCTACTAATCCTATAGTGTTTTTTTCATCTCAATATTGAACTTTCCATCTGTAGATGATTTGAGTCTTTTCTAAATCTTCCATGTCTCTATTTGACCTTTTAAACATATAGAATACAGCTATAGTAACTGTTTTAATGTCCTTTTCTGTTTATTCTACTGTCTGTGTCAGTTCTGGTTTGATTTCAGTTTATTGATTATTCTCTTCATTATGGCTAGTGTTTACCTCCTTCTTTTCATGATGAGTAATTTTTTATTTGATGCCAGCCACTATAATTTTATCTTGTTGGGTCTTGGGTTCTTTGCAATCTTATAAGTGTTCTTCAGCTTTGTTCTGCAATACAGTTAAGATACTTGGCAACACTTGAATACTTAAAGTCTTGCTTTTAAGATTTTTTAGGTGGTACTACAGCAGTGCTCAGTTTAGGCATAATTATTCCCCACTACTAAGTTAAGACCCTTCTGTGTACTCTATTTATTGCTTCATGAATCATGGTCTTAAATGTGGCTGGTAAGAATAGGTACTATTTCTAGCTGTGTCCGAGTATCAGACATTGTTTCTTCTAATCCACTCAGGTGGTTCTTTTGGCCTTGGGTAATTTTCTGTCATGCATGCACAAATCAATACTCAGAAGAATACTTAAGGAGGTCCCTCTGCAAAACCCTAGAACTCTGTGTGCACAAATCTCTCCTCTCTGGGAACCTGCTTGTGAGTTCTCACTGCTGTGGTTTTTCCAACCTTCAACTCTGTCTCCCCAACTCAGGGAGGCCTTGGGGCTCCACCAGGGTTCCCTCTCCCTATATCTTAGCCTCAAAACTCTTTCACAGTAGTAAATTTTGGCCACTGTATGGATGACATTATTTATGTCTCATCTCTTAAGTATCAAAGTATCATTATCCTTAATTGCCTGGTGTCCAGTACCTTAAAATTGCTATTTAATATATTTTGCTTTTTTTTTTTTTTCAGGGAGGAGGGTAAATCCAATCCATCTTGAATGAGCATATGTATTAGTTTTTATGCTCCTGATAAAGACATAGCTGAGGCTGAGCAATTTACAAAAGAAAGAGGTTTAATAGACTTATAGTTCCTTATGGCTGGGGAGGCCTCACAATCATGGCGGAAGGCAAGAAGGAGCAGGTCACATCTTACGTGGATGGCAGTAGGCAAAGAGTTTGTGCAGAGAAACTCACATTTTAAAACCATCAGATCTCCTGAGACCCACGAGAACAGCACAAGAAACAGCACGGGAAAGACGTGCCCCCATGATTCAACCATCTCCCACTGGGTCCCTCCAACAACATGTGGGAATTATGGGAGCTACAAGATGAGATTTCGGTGGGGACACAGAGCCAAACCATATCAGGGTAGAATGGTATTAAAGAAAAAGATTTTCTTACACTTATTAAGGCAGTAAGAAAGATTTATTCAAGATTATTGCAATAGGTATCAAGACTGTGCAATAGGAGACAGGAAATGGTTGAGCTCAACTCTGAATACAGCAAAAACCACTGGAGGTTTTTAGCCAGTGAGCAGAATGGGAGGAGAAGAGTCAGTGGATGGAAAATTACTAAGAGGAGAAATCAAAGGTGGGAGGATTTTCCCTAAACTGACTTAGCAGGACTCTTGTTACAATTGGACTAGGCAGGCTGAAGACAGGATGCAAGGACAAAGCTTGTTGAAAAGAGGCCTCAGAGGAGCTCATCTAAAATTTGGTCAAGGGGAGGGTCTTTCTTGGTCCCTCCTCTTGTTCAAGGGAAAAAGAGACATTCTTCTTTCCTTTGAACAATATAAGTCAATTTCTCATTTGGTGGCCTTTTTTTCATTAAGGACAAGCTGAGCCCCCTGCTGAAACTTGGTAGCAGGGCAGCCAGTTGAGAAGATTTCTAGATGTCAAGGCATCTTTAGATGATGGGGTGAGGACTGCAGTGGCCATCCCAGATCATGGATTTTCTGGTTTGCAGTTTGAATGTCCTTGGTGATGGCATAGACATCAGTGTCACAGTCATGGTTATTTTTCCGAGCAGAGTGTAGAAGTGTCCAACTTCATCTTGAAGGGCTTCTTTAGACAGTCACAATAAAGATCTGGGAAGTTAGGTTTTAGTTCTCAGTGATGCCAAATCAGGACAGTGGGAGAAAAATTAAAAACCTCAGTTTGGAGAGTGGTAGCCAGATAGTAAAGGGAACTAGAAGAACTGAGAATTTGGTAAGGACTGACAAGCTGTGCATGATGACAGGATCCCGTTCAATTTACAAGTAGATAACAAAACCTGAAAGACAAGTACAGGACCAGAATAATAACCCATAAGAAGGTGCTATAGTTTTTATAAAATATCTTTCTACAGTCATCCCCCTTTTTTGATCCAAATTAACCAAAGTAAGATTATTCTTGTTTACAAAATAAGTCTTGTCTCATTATATTTGACTTACTTATTTGCATAATTGCAGCAAGAATGGCAACTGACCAGGTAGGCTTATTTAAGTTTGCATTGCTGGAACTTTTTACAAGTAATCTCAGATTATGCTTTCAAGAGTTCTTGAAGCTATAAAGCCAAGTCAAGCACCACCAGGCCTTATCTGCAATGCCTAGAGATTCAGATGGGTTCTTCTCTTCTTGAGGTCCTAAAAACATCCTGAGTTTCTTTGGCCTGCCAGAAAGTCACCTTCCTGACTCACCTGTAAGGCTGGGAACTCCATAATCCAGGTACCAGGCAGACTTTCCGGGAGGGCTTCATATGCATTGGCTCCATAAAGTTAACCTTAGTTCCTCAAAACTGTCTGTTCATATGTGATTTTATGTCTTATTCTCAGTTGGAAATGCAGAAATCACCTGTCTTCTGCGTCGATCAGGCTGGGAGCTGCAGACCGGAGCTGTTCCTATTCGGCCATCTTGGAATGGACCCCCATGTCTTATTCTCAAATAAAACATTTTGGTCAAAGCCTTGATTATCTAATCAATTTTTAAAATTATGTTCTGTTACAAAAAGGACAGATTCTTATCGAACCCATATAAAATAGTATATCACCATTGATACGGTTTGGATCTGTGTCCCCACTCAAATCTGATGTTCAATTGTAATCTCCCAGTGTTAGAGGTGAGGCCTAGGGGGAGGTGATTGGATCATGGGGACATTTTCTCATGAATGTTTTAGCACTGTCCCCTTGGTGCTGCTCTTGTGCTGGTCAGTGAGTTATCGTGAGATATGGTTGTTTAAAAGTGTGTAGCAGCTGGACATGGTGGCTCACACCTGTAATCCCAGCATTTTGGGAGGCCAAGGTGGGCAGATCACCTGAGGTCGGGAGTTCGAGACTAGCCTGACCAACATGGAGAAACCCCATCTCCACTAAAAATACAAAGTTAGCTGGGTGTGGTGGCGGGCGCCTGTAGTCCCAGTTACTCGGGAGGCTGAGGCCGGAGAATCGCTTGAACCCGGGAGGCCGAGGTTGCCGTGAGCCGAGATCGTGCCACTGCATTCCAGCCTGGGTAACAAGAGTGAAACTCCGTCTCAAAAAAAAAAAAAGAAAGTGTGTAGCACCTTCCCACTCTCTCTTTCTTCCTTCTGCTCTGAGTATGTGATGCGCCTCACTCTCCTTTTGCCTTCCACATGACCGGAAGTTTCCTGAGGTCTCCGGAGAAGCAGAAGCTGCCACGCTTCCTGTGCAGCCTGCAGAGCCGTGAGCCAATTAAACCTCTTTTCTTTATAAATTACCCAGTCTCAGGTATTTCTTTATGGCAAAGTGTGAACAGACTAATACAACCATGAACATAAAAATACTCAGTAATAGTTTCTGAATTATGGAAGGATTAGGAAAAAAGATAAATGTTCCATTTTTGTTATAGAAATGTATCTACTAAATTGTTACATATTATAGCTAACTTAAGAGAAAAAGAAAAGGGGTTCCTTATGTCCAGAAAATAGAACATTAAGAACAAGCAATGTTCCAAACAAAAAGCCATAAAAATTATACTCCTTCTTTAGTTGATTCAGTCCTATGTAATTAATTCTTGTTTTGCTTGATCATGGGTTAGCAGTTTCATGAACTCAACTAGAGTTTCGAAAACCCTCACTCAGTCCAGCAGTATGATATTCAAGTTTTTTAGGCCATGTCAGTATCAGATGGGGGCTGGGGAGGTTGATGGGTAGAAAATTATTAAGAGAAGTAATTACCAAGAAAAATATCAAGGGGAGGGGAATTCTTGCTAAACTGACTTTAACAGGATTCTTGCTGAAGGCAGACCAGTGTGGTCAGAGGTCAAGGTTGAGGGACTCTCACTAAATTGGCTTAGCAGGATCCCTGCTAAAACTGGACTAGGCAGGCTGAAGCCTGGGTCCAGGGATGAGTCCTGTTAAAAAGAGGGCTGAGAGGGGCCTTCTAAAGTTTGGTCACTGAGACTGTCTTTGTCAAGGGCCCTTCCTATGTAGTATTTATGACGGTATTTTGTCTGGCATTAATAGAGTTAATATTGTGTGCCTTTCACAGCAAATCAAAAAATATCAGAGCATTTAAGAGTATCAAGATATCATGTTGACCTTGGAACTGATAGCTTGAAGCAAAAAAATAAAAAAATTGCTGCTTAATTCCTCTGATAAGCTCTTGAAATAACTGAACTCTAACCCTGGTAACCGTCACCTACTTCACAAGGTTGATGGAAGGCACAGGTAAGAAGAGAAAGCCATAACTGTTTGAAGATGGGCAGATTCTGACCAAGACTCCAGACTGTAAGGCCAGGAAAGAGAGAGGGCTTTCCTAAGTCTTGAGCCCAGGTGTATGCCTGGATCCCCAGTCTGGGCTCTGGCAAGAGACAATCAAAGATCCCAGCAAAAATATTACACTGTTCCAATTCATGGTTAAAAATGTTGGCATAGGTAGTGGTATTTATCTCTGGGTTTTTAATTGACAACCAGGAGCAGCGAGTTAATATTGAAGAGCCCTATTCAGGAATGAATATACACACTCCAGGGGTGGTCTGTTGGAATTTGAAAGACTATTAAGAGGCTCCTCCTTTGGGAGGCCGAGGCAGGCAGATCAGGAGGTCAGGAGATCGAGACCATCCTGGCTAACATGGTGAAAACCCATCTCTACTAAAAATACAAAGAATTAGCTTGGTGTGGTGGCACACGCCTGTATTCCCAGCTACTCGGGAGACTGAGGCAGGAGAATCGCTTGAACCTGGGAGGTGGAGGTTGCAGTGAGCCGAGATCATATCACTGCACTCCAGCCTGGGCGACAGAGCTGGACTCGGTCTCAAAAAAAAAAAAAAAAAAAGAAGAAGCAGCTCCTGCTCTAGAGAGTCAGCTATAAGAACTTCCTCTATCCTCAATGAACACCAACAGCTTTGCTATCTGGCATAATGGATTTTAGGAGTCATTTTCATTGGTGAAGTAAGAGTTGTTCAAAATATTATGGGCTGACTGGAAGCACTGTATCAGATTGCATCTCCTTGCATAAACAGGGTATTATGACCTAGAAAGCCTAGTGGATAATGTATGCCCTTCCAAATGCTGTCTCTGGTTTGGGATTTGAATCAGGACTTGTATCCACAGCTCATAGAAAGGTTCCTGCACCTGACCCTGACTAGACATGAAGCTAAATCATGCTGTTCGAGTACTGTCACATCTGCCTTAAGTGAATCTGTTATGTAAGGCACCTGTCAGTGTGCCAGCAGAACAAAGCACCAGTACTTGGTTGAGTTTACAGAACTGGTTGTACCACGTTTTTGAGCCTGCTGGCTTCTAAATGTTTATTTTATGGCCGAATTCCGTCTGAGACTTGCTTTCATTGTAACATACCACCTGGTATGAAGCTGAGGAGACCTATAGCCCTCACCTACATCTATTATGGGCCCACATACATGTGTTTGTGTTTCTTAGCTTAGGGAGGTTTCAGAAGCCCCGAGGCTGGAGTAAAGCATGGTTACGGACTCTTGTTGTAGCAGAAATGTTGCTTACTGTCTTTCTATGACCCTTTGTATTTCTGTGTATTGGTTCTTCACCACTAATAATAAACCGCCTCAGTTCTTTTCTTAGAAGGACGTTGAACACTAACTATACGGCATTGAGCTAGGGATGAATTAAAGGGGAGCTCCCTGGAACTCCAGGAACTGTTTTCAAAATGTGCCTGTTTGTGTTTATATGGTAACGTTTGGCTGAATCCATTTCACCTTCTGAGTAACACTTAAGGCAAAGCTGAAATTCTTGCTGTCAACAAAACCCCCAAGACTACAATTTCTACCCAGCCTCTTTCAAAAAGCATGGAAAACCTCCTCCATTCCAGCTTATTTTTGCATTGAGGCTGGTATTTCATTTGTTTGTTCTTTCGCTTTCTTTAAGCACCACTGCCCAGCAGTGTGGCGTGAGTACTGCTTGCTTTCTGCTCCCAGTCTCACTTTTTTTTTTTTTTTTTTTTGAGACAGAGTTTTGCTTTGTCACCCAGGCTAGAGTGCAGTGGTGTGATCTTGGCTCACTGCAGCCTCCACCTCCTGGGTTCAAGTGATTCTCCTGCCTCAGCCTCCTGAGTAGCAGGGATTACAGGTGTGCACCACCACACCCAGCTAATTTTTGCATTTTTTGTAGAGATGAGGTTTCACCATGTTGGTCAAGCTGGCCTCAAACTCCTGACTTCAGGTGATCTGCCTGCCTCAGCCTCCCAAAGTGTTGGGATTATGGGCGTGAGCCACCTCGCCTGGCCCCAGTCTCTCATCTTTGTACCACACATATAACTTTGGTTTTGTAAGTAAGAAAATGCTTACTCCTTGCTGTTGACTACACTGTGAGATTCCTTTTGAGAACCCCACAAATAAAGTCAATACAACCATCAGGAATCCTTAGACTCATTAAAATTCCAGACCCTGTAAAAACAATATTTCCTGTTGAATCTCAACATGAACAAAGAGTGATCAACTGAGAGTCAAACGTGACTGTGGGATGAGTGAGTTTGGACATTAACCACATGATGTGTAGAGGAGGCACATCTCTTGTTGACACTCGCTTGTCCATGTGACACTTCTGCTTTCCTGACACGCACTCATGGATACCACGAGTGTGTGTGTCATGGGAAGTGCACGCCACCGAGCGGGCGCGGGGGCTGACCGGGCTGGGTCACTGCAGTGAAAAGTCATGTGGAAAAAGCTACCATTCATTTAATTGTTTTCACTTCTCACCTTGAACTCAGCTTTGTGACCACTCTGTGAAAACAAAACCAACACAGGTATCCTGCCACAGAATCGCCATGTGTTAAAAGATTCCACAGAGGTGTGACTGGACAGCAAACAGCGTTTTTCAGAGAGCTCCCTGTTAGTGGCAAAATGAACATTCCCTTAGGAGGGCAGATCCCTTTTCTCAAAAGGCCAGAGGATGGGGATGCGGAAGGGGGTTGACTGTCTGATTGGGATTTATGCCAGTGGAATGCAGCCAAGTTGTGCTTATAAAGGCCTTATTCTTCCTCAGGTCAGAGCAGTACTACTGGGAGAGCCAAGGCGCTTCTCTGGATGCACTCAACTACAGGGATCTTTCTTTTGTACATGCTTGAATATTTACCATTAGGTTTGATGTAGTGGAAAGACTCCTGGATTTGGAATCGGAAACTCTGAACGAGAAGACACTTATTTTGTCACGGTACGGGAGGAAATGTATCTTCCTTGCCCATCTCAGGTTCAGGGCTGAGGCCCATATAAGAAAAGACAGATTAAGAAGAGAAAAGTATACACATTTAGTTAATCTAAGTTTTACTTGACACGGGAACCTTCATAAGGAAATGACCCAGAGAAACAGTTCAGCCTGGCTTCTTTTGTACAACAGGTTTGACGAGAAGTGGCCAGGTGTGCGGAAACGTGATTGGGGAAAGAGTGTGGTCTGATGGGAATAAACTGGGGGAAACTGAGCAAGGCCTGTTTGTTCAGCTTCTTCTTTGTCTTCAGAAATAAGGATGTTCCCTTTCTCCGGGTCTAGGGAGGGCACCGCTCACAGGAGGGTCTTACGATGACCTGCTTCAGGAGAAGGTCAGAAAATCCTTCTTAGGTTTTACGACCTGATTCAGCAGGCAAGGTGAGGGGAAAGGTGAGAGGGAGCTTCTTGCACGTGCCATCTCTCAGATTCCTTCAGCTTAAGATATTCAGTGTGTCAAGGTACCACAGTTTGGGGTAGCATGTCCTGAACCCTGTCATTACTTAACCATTCTGAGCCTAGAGCTGTCTTTTGTAAAATGCAGATAATATCCCACGCCTTACAGGACAGTTCAATCAGAGGAATAAATAAAAGTGCCTATGCAGGTACCTGGAGCATAGTACATGCTCAATAAATGTTTTTGCTCTCAATCTAATTTTAAAATTAATTATATCGGTGTAATCCTTCCATAGCTCTTATTTAATTTTTATGTTTGACTCCCCAAGGAGGTTGTAAATACATCCTAGAGGGAAGGGACCTTAGATTATCTTTTTATGAAAAGTCAACAGCAGTAAGTGAAAGAAATCACTGTACATTAAATTTTTTTGTCAAATGAATGTCACTGCTTTCTAAAAGTACTTAAAAAACACTGATATTATGCAACTTCCTCCTAGCTCTGGAGACATCCTGGAGGTTACCCTTATGACTCAACTAAGAAAGCCCCTCAGGACTGAGGATGGGACAACTGGGATGTAATTGGGAATTGAGGGGGTGATGGAGAGATCCACTCTCCATACTGTTCTCTAGGAACAGCGGGGACACACCTGCTGCTCTTGTTCATCAGCTCGTCAGCCATCAGGCTGCCCCTTTGCTCTTGCTTTTAATACACTAGCACCTGTGCAGGAAAACAGAAGAAAAGAACACACATTCTTCAGGCCTTTGTGATCCCTCCTGTGTTCATTCGAGTGAACTAGAGAACCAGAGCTGGGAAAACCCCCATGGCGATGCATGCAAAGACATGCACACAGGTGACTCCTGTCTGGGTACTAGCTGGAACAACAAACACTATGCTATACGTTCTCTGAGGTCCACGTGGTTGAACTTGAGTCTGAGAAAGCATCTTGTCTGATGGGTTCACCCAGAAGCATCTCAGGTCAGGACAGAAAAATCCTGACATCAGGAGCATCCATGCTGCTTTGCCTTGACCAACCGGTCACCCTGAGTGTGATGGAAACTAGATTTACTCTGGCTATTGAGGCATGGTCTTTCTCTTGCTCTCTTTAATAGAACTTCCTTCTTTCACTAACAATGAGGTTGAGAAAGTATGTTGAGGCTTAAATATTTCAACAAGACGGAGCGCCAAAAGCCAGGAGCTTCCCAGTATTTCTGAAGCTCTTTCCGCTTTTCCAGAATCAACCCCCTTTTTCTATTTACTGTCATCCATTAAAATATAATGCTCTGTCAACACCACTGTTTCTGTTTTGAATCTTCCAAGCCTGGGTTTGGTAAACAGTTTTCAATTCATTGACTGTTAATCATTCATTTATCTGCATGTTCAATGACACCAGCATTTGCTGTGTTCTTCCTATGTGCTGGTCGCCGGGTTTTACAGATGAACAAAATGAAGCTCAGAGGATAATCACTTCTCCAGTGGCAGCTGCTAAGCAGCAGAGCTGGGATTTGAAAGAAGCTACTCAGGCTTTAAGTCCCATGTATTTTATTCAATACACCTAATTTCAACATCTAGCAAAAATAGAAAACTGATGATAATCTACCTGTAATTATGGATACTTTCATTCTTTTTTTATTTTAATTTTTTTTGAGGCAGAGTCTTGCTCTGTGGCCCAGCCTGGAGTGGAGTGGTATGGTCTCGGCTTACTGCAACCTCTGCCTCCTGGGTTTGAGCAATTCTCCTGCCTCAGCCTCCTGAGTACTGGGACTACATGCATGTGCTACCACACCTAGCTAATTTTTGTATTTTTAGTAGAGACGGGGTTTTGCCACTTTGGCCAGGCTGGTCTCAAACTCCTGACCTTAGGTGATCTGCCTGCCTTGGCCTTCCAAAGTGCTGGGATTACAGGAGTGAGCCACTGCACCTGGCCTATCCTTTCACTCTTAAAGGAACTTTTCCAGCTATTCCACCCAACTGGCTGCCAGCGTTACCTTCCTAAATAACTTTGCCTTTATCATCTCTAGGTCAACATACCATCAGTTCAGGAGGAAAAAAATAGGTTTGAGATTAGAGATTGGGAATATTGGTTCAGACGCCAATTCTTAATTGCAAGATCTCCTATACTTTTAATTATACTTGTAGGGGAGGAAAAACATTTGTTCTCTGCTCTCCTGTGTTCAGTGGTTGGGGGCCCCAGGAATTAAATTCACACAAGACAGACTACCAAGAGAGAATAACAGATACAATTATGTATGCTGGCACAGGAATTCACAACGAAATGTGATTCGAAGAGGCATTTAGAATTTGGAGCTTATATAAACCATCTTAGGCTGGACAAAGGAAAGGGGATTTTGGGCTTCTGAGATGGGAGGTAAGTTATGGGAAGGTGAAGGGAGAAAATGTATAATAAACAAGTGTTGTTTAATAACGTTTGTTAGGCAGATAAGAGTCGCCTCAGGTGCTAAAAGTTGTCTCTGGAGTATTTCTCTTCCTGGTATGGGAAAGGGAGACACCCTTACAAATGGAAATTTATGTCCTGTTTTTAGACAGAATAGGGGATGGCAGACAGCGAATTGCCTTCAGCTCAAAACAATTCTTACGCCAAAGTGGCATATTTGGGGGTGGCACATTCTATTTCCCATTATACCCAAGATGCATGAATCTGAAGCCCTACTTTTTTGTTTTAGTACACATTACTTCCATTGTTATTTAGCTCTTTTCCAAGGCTATAAGCTACTTAAGGAGAAGAGAAGTGGTTTCTTTAGTTTTGTGTCTGTGGCATTCCCTCTTAAAAGCTACTGTTTATTTAGCACCCATGATATCTCATGTGCTTTATGTACATTACCCCCAGAACACTTTCAGTTAATATAAAAATCTCCATTTCACAGATGAAGACATTTACCCTCAGAGAGATTAATTGGTTTACTGAAATCATTCTGCAAATATGTCGCAGGGGACTCAGGATTTGTTCCTAGATCTTTGTATTAGTCAGCGTCTTCAAGAGAAACCGAACCAATAGAATGTGTATTTAGGTATATAGAGAGATTTATTTTAAGGAATTGGCTCATGTGATTATGGAGGCTGGCAAGTCCAACGTCTGCAGGGTGAACCAGCAGGCTGAAGACTCAGAGAGGAGCCAATCCTGCAGTCAAGTCTGAAGACTGTCTGCTACCAAAGTCCCTCTTGCTCGGGAGAAGGTCAGTCTTTTGTTCTATACAGGCCTTTGTGAACCCCCAACATTTGAGACAGGTCTAAGTTAATTTAGAAAGTTTATTTTGCTACAAAAATTAATCAGGCATGGTGGCAGGTGCTGGTAATCCCAGCTACTCAGGAGGCTGAAACAGGAGAATCACTTGAACCTGGGAGGCAGAGGTTGCAGTGAGCCAAGATCGTGCCACTGCACTCCAGCCTGGGCAACAGAGCAAGACTCCATCTCAAAAAAAAAAAAAAGAAGAAAAGAAAGAAAGTTTATTTTGCCAAGGTTGAGAACGCATGCCCATGACACAGCCTCAGGAGGTCCTGATGACATGTGCCCAAGGTGGTCAGAGCACACCTTGCTTTTGTACATTTTTAGGGGACATGAGACATCAATCAACATATGTAAAATGACTATTGGTTCAATTCGGAAAGGCGGGACAACTCGGAGCAGGCAGGGGGCTTCCAGGTCACAGGTAGGTGTGAGACAAACGGTTCCATTCTTTTGAGTTTCGGATTAGCCTTTCCAAAGGAAGCAATCAGATCTGCATTTATCTCAGTGAGCAGAGGGATGACTTTGAATAGAATGGGAGGGAGGTTTGCCCTAAGCAGTTCCCAGCTTGAATTTTCCTTTAGCTTAGTGATTTTGACGGCCCAGGATATTTTCCTTTCACACCTTCAGCTGATTAGATGGGGCCCACCACATGGGGAAGGGCAATCTGCTTTGCTCCAAGTCCCTCATTTTAAAGGTTAATCTCATCCAAAAGACCCTCACAGAAACGTCCAGATTCATGTTAAGCCACATATCGGCACACTGGCCCAGCCAAGTGGACAGAAAATTAACCATCAGCATTTTCTGGTAGGAAATTTCACACTCACTTCTTTTTATCACATTAAGGTTCTTCTCAACGTAGGTTAGTTGGTGACCTTGAGTCAAGTTCAAGCCATGCATGTTAACCTGGAGCAAAAGCCCCCCCTCCCCATCTTACGTGAAATGTGTAATCACCAATTTCAGGTCTTTGTTTACAGATAAAATTTCTAAGGGATTTTCTGTCTCTGGAAACTTAAAAGGCCAACCTGATGTGGGTGTTTTTTCATTTGTTTTGTTTTGTTTTGTTTTTGAGCGGAGTCTCGCTTTGTTGCCCAGGCTGGAGTGCAGTGGTGCGATCTCGGCTCACTGCAAGCTCCGCTTTCCAGGTTCACGCCATTCTCCTGCCTCAGCCTCCCGAGTAGATGGGACTACAAGCACCCGCCACCAAGCCCAGCTAATTTTTTTTTTGTATTTTTAGTAGAGACAGGGTTTCGCCATGTTAGCCAGGATGGTCTCGATCTCCTGATTTCATGATCTGCCCACCTCGGCCTCCCAAAGTGCTGGGATTACAGGTGTGAGTGGGTGTTTTTAAAGAGTAGAGACATTCTCAAAGGATCCTGTCTCTGGAGCCAGCTTTAGGGACCTCTTGGTTAGTTCTGGAAGACAATCTAATACAAGGAAGTGGAAGAGAAGAGAAGAGAGATTAGGTTTTTATATTTAAGCAAAGCCACTTTATTCTTACTTTCTGAAATGAGAGAAAAGGGAAATGTAGATAGATTGATCATGGGCCAGTACATTGATAGCATGTATAATTAAGTTTTCCTAAAGTTGCAGTTATATTTTAGCCTGCTTTAGATGGCAGTTTTGCTTTCAAGATATTTAATTTTTTTTTATTAAAACCAAAAGCAAAGGCTTTAAGAAAACTAATTTCCCAGAATGTGTTTCTGTGATTCTGGAAGCTTTTCCTGGTGGGGCTGAGATCGGAAGCAGAGCCGTCAGGCCAGCAGAATGGGGGGGAGGGGCCGTGGAGATGGAGGAGATGGGCTTGTGAGTGCTCTGGGATGGAAAAGCCGTGGGAACACAGTCTAGTCTGTCCTTTCAGCCAAAGACCCCCAGGCGGAACTCTATGGCTCAAGGTGTTCCAAGTCGTCATTTATTTTCATATTTGTACTTTTTATTGTGATGAAATAGACATAAAATTTGCCATTTGAACCACTTTTAGGAGGCCGGTACACTGGCATTGATTACATTCACAATGCTGTGCAACCATTGCCACCATCTATTTCCAAAAATGTTTTCATTATTTTCATCATCCCAAACAGAAGCTCCATATCCAGTAAACAGCAGCTCTCTCTCCCCTCAGTCCCTGGTAACGTCTCTTCAACCTTCTGCCTCTATGAAGTTGCCAATTCTAGGTTCCTTGTATGAGCAGAATCATTCAGTGTTTCTTTTTTGGGTCTGGCTTCTTTCGCTTAGCAGCATGTTTCCAATCAATGTTCATCCATGTCGTAGCCTGTGTCAGAACTTCATTCCTTTTTTTGCTTGTTTGTTTTTTGTTTTTTGAGATGGAGTCTTGCTCTGTCACCAAGCTGGAGTGCAGTGATGCTATCTCGGCTCACTGCAACCTCGGCCTCCTGGGTTCAAGCGATTCTCCTGCCTCAGCCTCCTGAGTAGCTGGGACTACAGGTGCGTGCCACCACGCCCAGCTAAATTTTGTATTTTTAGTAGAGGTGGGGTTTCACCATGTTGGCCAGGATAGTCTCAATCTCTTGACCTCAGGATCCTCCCACCTCGGGCTCCCAAAGTGCTGGGATTACAGGTGTGAGCCACTGCGCCCAGCCCTTCATTCCTTTTTATGGCTGAATAATATCCCATTGTAGGGATACATTTGTTTATGCATTTCTTTCTTTCTTTTTTTTTTTTTTTGGTTAGACAGAGTCTCGCTCTATTGCCCAGGCTGGAGTGCAGTGGCATGATCTCAGCTCACTGCAACCTCCACCTCCCGGGTTCAAGCGATTCTCTTGCCTCAGCCTCCCAAGTAGCTGGGATTACAGGCACCTACCACCACACCTGGCTAATTTTTGTGTTTTTAGTAGAGACGGGGTTTCACCATGTTGGCCAGGCTGGTCTTGAACTCCTGACCTTGTGACTCACCTGTCTTGGCCTCCCAAAGTGCTGGGATTACAGGCATGAGCTGCCATGACTGGCCTGCATTTATTTTTTGATCCGACATTTTATTTGAGAAAATTGTCAGTGATTTATTTTAAAAAGAGCATTTTTTTTTTCCTGATGGGTGTTAAAGTGGATATTCCTTTCTGTTGAATAGGATGTGGTATACAGGTATTAGTGTGAGGCTGATGACTAAGAGCATGTGGCATTTCTGTGAGTGGCACAAGAGCCTAATAAAAATCAGTATCTACCCTGAAATTCTAAGTGAATTTACCTTGTGCCCAGGGCTTTAACTTTTCCCTAGATTCTGGAAAAGCATACTGTCCATGGCCTAAAGTTTGTGGGATGAGAAAGTTTTCACCTGGTGAAATGTTTGTAGGTGATTACATTTTGGGGGCATTGAATTTTTTTAAAATAAGAAATCTAAAATGTGATACATACACACCATGGAGCACTATACAGCCATAAAAAAGAAAGAGATTATGTCCTTTGCAGCAACATGGATGAAGCTGGAGACCATTATCCTACGTGAACCAACTAACACAGAAACAAAACCAGACACCACATATTCTCCCTTATAAGTGGGAGATAAACATTGAGTACACAAGGACTCAAAGAAGAGAACAGCAGACACCAGGGCCTTCTGGAGGGTGGAGGGAGAGAGGAGGGTGAGGATCGAAAAACTACCTGTCAGGTACTATTCTTATGACCTGGGCTGTGGAATAATCTGTACACCAAACTCCCATGACACGTAAGTTACCTACATAACAAACCTGCATATGCACCCCTGAACCTAAAATAAAAGTTAAAAGAAAGAAAAAAATCTAAAAATCTTGTTGACATATTAAATATTATGTGTGTGTGTGTGTGTGTGTGTATATATATATATATATATATATATAATTTTTTTTTAGACGCTGTCTCGCTCTGTCACCAGGCTGGAGTGCAATGGCATGATCTCGGCTCACTGCAACCTCCGCCTCTCGGGTTCAAATGATTCTCCTGCCTCAGCCTCCCAAGTAGCTGGGGCTACAGGTGTGCACCACCACGCCCAGCTAATTTTTGTATTTTTAGTAGTGACAGGGTTTCACCATATTGGCCAGGATGGTCTTGGTCTCTTGACCTTGTGATCCACCCACCTCGGCTTCCCAAAGTGCTGGGATTACAGGCATGAGCCACCGCACCTGGCCAAATGTTATACTTTTTAAAAAAAATAAAAACAAACAAACAAAAAACTAAAATCTACACAAATGATTACTTACTCCTTAAAAATCAGGTAGGACAGCCAGGTGCGGTGGCTCATGCCTGCAGTCCCAGCACTTTGGGAGGCCATGGTGGGTGTCTCACCTGAGGTCAGGAGTTTGAGACCAGCCTAGCCAACGTGGCAAAACCCTGTATCTTCTAAAAATACAAAAATTAGCCAAGTGTGGTGGCAGATGCCTGTAATCCCAGCTGACTATGGGAGGCTGAGGCAGGAGAATCGCTTGAACCTTGGAGGTGGAGGTTGTAGTGAGCTGAGATAGTGCCACTGCACTCCAGTCTGGGCGACAGAGTGAGACTCTGTCTCAAAAAAAAAAAAAAACAAAAGATCAGGTAAGGCGACTTGAAGTTTTAAAACATTTATGCAGAGGACATATTACAGAAGAGAACATGTACTTTTCCAGTTGCAGAATGTTTTCATCTGATTTTCTGGAAGCCCCATGACATAGCAGAGTTCTTTTCTTGCTTATCCCCCTGGTTTTGTTCCATCTTTTGCTACAGCCCTTCTCAACCTACTTCATCATTATGCATTAATTAATCCATATGGTAAGTTAATTAATAATTATCACTGATAGATTAATAAGTATATTAAAAAGAATTATTTCATAATAAAATAAACAATTCATGGTATTCATTAATAATTTAACAATTATGCTACAGGAAATTATTCAGTAATTAATACAAATTAAAATGGATTTCTTTTTGTCATATTTATTCATGATTCTCCAAAAGACCTCCCCCTAGATATTTCTGATTCACCACCAATTGGCTTTATTCTCTTGACACCATAAGAAACAAGCTTTTTAATGCTGGAAACATTTATTAGAGTTGACAGCCGTGCTGCAGAGGCGCGGACTGAATGTTCCAGGCGGATGTTTATGCTCAACTCACGTGTAAGTAATCACTGTAAGTCATCTTACGAAACCCCATGCAGCCTCGGTGCTGGTTAATAACTAAGTTTGTGTGCAAATTTATAGGACTATTTATAGGACTAGGTATTAATGGATCAGACAAGAGAGGGAAGTGAGCTGTAGAGAATTTAAGTTGCAGAGAAGAACTTGAACCCAAGTCCTCACCCCATAAACGCTACTGTTTTCTTCTCTGAATAGTCCATTGACACCAGGGAGTATGGCTTTAAGAGGAGCTTTGCAAAGTTTAGTTGAATTAGCTGATAAAAGTGCTTCAGATGTTAGGAAGCCAGTAGCCACGTCAGGCCCCCATTTACGAGAAAGCTTAGACTAGCCCATCCACCTGGGCAGAATTTATCCTTTTTAGTGCATGGGTCAGGTCTGACATTGTTGGAGGTGTGTGTTCTCGCTGCAAATAGCTGGGCTTTGTTGCTAGAGTTGACCATCTTGTTGTAGGCTGAATATTAAGGCCTAGGTCCATATGTGCATGTGTGGTCTTTGACATGGATGGACTTTCCTGCTAGGAATTATATCAGATGACATGTCCTCAGACAGGAATGAGGACCAGAACTCCCAAATGGGACAGGAATGAAAAGGATTCTAGGTGGTAGGAGTTAAGTATGGCCCCAGGATCTTGGAGGAAATGTGGGGAACCTACACAGAAGACGGAAAAGCTGTGCTCCTGCCTCAGCCTCCCGAGTAGCTGGGACTACAGGCACGTGCCACCACGCCCAGCTAGTTTTTGTATTTTTAGTAGAGACAGGGTTTCACCATGTTGCCCAGGCTGGTGTCGAACTCCTGACCTCAGGTGATCTGCCCACCTCGGCCCCCCGAAGTGCTGGGATTACAGGTGTGAGCCACCACACCTGGCCAAAAGCTGTATCTTCTAGGGCAGAAAATTCGGAATTCTCTGTGTTCATTTGCTGTCCCATAACATTGGCAACATTTTGGTTAAATGGGCCAAGGTTGCATTGGCTGTGTAACTGGGGAGGTAGGCTGAGTGAGGAAGCAATGAGGGGAGGATATTAGAAAAAAAAATGAGGGAGAGGCACCTCTCCCTACAACCCTGCTGAGGTCAATAGACCTAAAGGGACACAGCCCTGTGACTGAGTCCACCTGCCCTTCTCAGTACTGGGGCATGAGGGATTTCCCAAAGCAGATACCTTTTTGTGGTTCTTTTAATATTTCAAGGTCAAACAAGAGAGATGCATTTGTGCCTCTATGCAAAGAGAAATTCAATATGTGTGACTTCTTTCATGGTCTCTTTTATGCCCACAGTGTGTCAGAGGTTCTAGTGCTATGGAAATTCCCCAGCCCTCCCACCATCATTTCGTTTATGACTATCTGCCTGTAAAGTTTTGGTTTCTATCTGTTATCATGTTCCACCTTGGGTCTATCGAAACACCAGCGACATGATGTTAATAGGTGCCCAAATTATAAGGTTAAAAAAATAATTTTATGGAAAAATTTCTAGAAAATTGACTCCTTAAAAATTGCAACCAGGGGCTTCCTAAAAGAGATTAAACTGAAATTTACCTTTGGGGCAGACTGTTCCTGCTTGACTGGGTCCTTACCATTAACTAGATGGCAATTGAACTTGCTTGTTGTGCAAGGACCCTGTCTCCACCAGTTTTTTTATGGTGCTGATAGAAGGTGGCACAAAGTGGGAAGGAATGATTCCCGGCCCCACATGGATTGAGGGTGAGTTCTGCTGCAACCTGCCGTGCAGCCTGCACTTAACCTGCCGGTTCTTCTTGCTGTGAGGCTGTATTCTTCTTTGTGCAGGTGTTTCTAGGAGCTGGAAAGCTCACGACAGCATTGTGCAGGAAGGACACAGAGACAGAATCGCTGCACCAAGCTGGAGGAGAGAATGGCACCAGAACGAGCTCTGGCCCAGCGCTCTGTGGAGTGGACCTATGAGGCCCACTGTAGGAGCATGGTCCCACCAATTCAGATGGCTGCAGGGGCTGGGAAGGCGATACACAGGACTAAAAGAGACCATGGGCATCTGGCAAATAGGAAAACATGGGCTCCATTTAGAGGAAGGAGCTGTGTCTTAAGCCATTTTGTGTTACTGTAAAGGAATACCTGAGGCTGGGCAATTTTTATATATATATATATATATATAAAATGGTTTATTTGGCTCACGATTCTGATGGTTGGAAAGTTCATGATCAGGCCTCTGCTTCTAGTGAGGGCCTTGCTCTGCTTCCACTCAGGGTGGAAAGTGGAGGGGAGCCGTGTGAGCAGAGATGGCAGAGATGGCATGGCAAGAGCAAGCAAGCGTGTGGGGAGGCGCCAGGGTCATTTTAACAACCAGCTCTCTTGGGAACTAATGGAGCAAGAATGCATTCATTACCATGAGGAGGGCACCAAGCCATTCATGAGGGATCCCCATGACCCCCATGGGACCCCCACGGGACCCCCATGACCCAAACACCTCCCACCAGGCCCCACCTTCAACACCGGGGATCACATTTCAACCTGAGATGTGGAGGGACACACATTCCAACTATAGCGAGCTGCTACAGAGCTTGAGCTGGTGACTGACATGCAAATCCAGAGGCTAAATGTTGTTTTCAAGAGAAGACAGAAATTTTTACTTTTTTATTGAGGCAGAGTCTCACTCTGTCGCCCAGGCTGGAGTGCAGTGGCATGATCTTGGCTCACTGCAAGCTCTGCCTCCCGGGTTCACGCCATTCTCCTGCCTCAGCCTCCCGAGTAGCTGGGACTACAGGCGCCCGCCACCACGCTCAGCTAATTTTTTGTATTTTTAGTAGAGACGGGGTTTCACTGTGTTAGCCAGGATGGTCTCGATCTCCTGTCCTTGCGATCCACCCGTCTCGGCCTCCCAAAGTGCTGGGATTACAGGAGTGAGTCACTGCGCCTGGCCAAATTGTGATATTTTAAGTGTAAACTATCTCAATGGGAATATTGATAACAATTCATATATATTTTTTAAACTGCATGACCCAAATGAAACAGGTCTGTGTGCCTGATTTGCAGCCTCTGGACTATTATGTGCAAGTGGAATCCTGTGGCTTGGGGTCAGGAAGCAATGCTGCAGGCCTCTGGGTAAGGGATGGGGACTTCCCCGAATGGAGTGGGAATTCCCACTGCCGGTCCTTCTGGAAAGTGGCCTGTCCTAGGACAGGAACTGAGGAACAGGGAGGCAGAGTTTGCCTCCCATGGGTGGAGGAGCTCCTTCTCTCACCGAGTCTCTGGAGGGCTGCCCTGCATGGTCGGGGGCAGGTGTGCTCACAGCACCCTGGTGGGGCAGGCCCTGCTCCAGGGAGGCAAGCTCGGGGGGCCTGACTGAGCGGCAGCAGTAGCAGCCCCAAGTCCCCCTGTTTTGAGCGTCCCTTCTGCTGACACTTCAAACAATGCCTGGTTAAAGGTTATAGCCCAGCTTAAGCTGGGTGCGGAGAGGAATGAGGTGGAGCAGAGGAGAAGGTGGGGAGCGCGTGCTCCTTCTGCAAGGCCTAAGTCAGGGGACTCAGTGGCACCAGAACAGTGGTCATCTTGGGAGTGCCAACAGCTGGGAAGGCAGTCCTGGTCGCTCAGGAGCGGGGAAGAAGAGCAGACGCTCAGGTACGTGGGAACCTATTCCAGAACACGTGTGACACAGCCCAGGGGAACCCCCAGAAATAATAGAAAGGTGCTTTGAGGGGTTTAACTTCCCATGTGGGCAGACGGGAAATGCATGCAATTGGTTGTAATTAGAGTATTGATGGAAACTTGCCCCCTTTTTTTGTAGACACACGTGGTTGAAGCCGGGCCCTTCGTTTGAAGAAATGACAATAGATGTTTGCCTGGAGTTTTAGCGTTTACAAAGTGATCCACTAACACCGTCTCATGGAATCTTCACATCAACGGTGGGGAGAAGGTGTTGTAGGCATTACGATCTCTGTTATAGATGTGGAATCTGGGGCTCACTGTTTGGGTAACTTGTCCGAGGTCATGCAGCTAGTAAGACTCAGATACAAATGCAGGTCTCAGAATTCTAAACCAGGGTTTTCCTCTCTGCCTGGCACTCAGGGACAAGGTGAGGGGATGAACTACTCTAGTCCACTGTTATGGGTTGAATTTTATCCCCCTAAAAGATAGGTTGAAGTACCTATGGATGTGGCCTATTTGGAAATTGAGTCTTTACAGATGTAACCAAATTAAGATGAGGTCATTAAGGTGGGCCTTCATCCAAAAGACTATTGTCCTTGTAAGAAAAGGGAAATTTGGCTAGGCATGATGGCTCACGCCTGTAGTCCTAACATTTTGGGAGGCCAAGACAGGAAGTTTGCTTGAGGTCAGGAGTTTGAGACCAGCTTAGGCAACATAGTGAGACTGCATCTTTACAATTAAAAAAAATTTTTTTTTAATTACCAGGGTATGGTGGCTGGCTTATGCCTGTGGTCCCAGCTACTCAGGAGGCTGAAGCAGGAGGATTGCTGGAGCCCAGGGGTTTGAGGCTGCAGTGAGCTATGATTGTGCCATTGCACTTCAGCCTGGGCCACAGAGTGAGAACCCCACTCTAAAAACAAGAAGATGAACAAGAAGAAGGAGAAGAAGAAGAAGGAGAAGGAGAAGGAGAAGGAGGGGAAGGGGAAGGGGAAGGAGAAGGAGAAGGAGGGGAAGGGGAAGGGGAAAGGGAAGGAAATGGAGAAAGGAAGAAGAAAAAGGAAGAAGAAGAGGAAGAGGAAAAGGAGGAAGAGAAACAAGAAGGAGAAGAAGAAGAAGAAGGAGGAGGAGGAGGAGGAGGAGGAAATTTGGACACAGGTGCTCACAGGGAGAAGAAGGCCATGTGGAGACAGACACAGAGGGAAGAAGATGTGAGACAGATGAGGGCAATGCTGCTAACAGCCAAGGACCTCCTGGGGCTACTACACACTGGAGGAGGCGAGAAAGGGTCCTCCCTTCAGGGCTTTGGAGGGAGCACCGTCCAGCTCACACCTTGATTTTAGACTTCCAGCCTCCGGAGTCGAGAGGGAATGCACCGGTGTTGTTTAAGCCACCCTGCTGTGGTATCTGTTATGGCGGCACAGGCAGAAATAGGGACACAAGTGCAGGTTCAGGGCAAGGTGTGCGAGCACACTCAGTCCCTGGCCTCGGAGTCTCTCTGGATGGCTTCTTGCCTAGGGTGACTGACAGAGGGATGGATGATATGAAAAGGCAGCTGTTCTCCTCCCGACCTAACCCCAATTCTTACTCCATGGGTTCATGACAGCCCATTCTGCTGGAGACTGTGTCTTAAAACTTTCTCCCCTAGTTTCTCTCAAGTACCCCTCGTGAGCTGTGATTTCACTGGGCTTTCAACTCTTAGGCCATTTTCTTTGTGCCTTTCTATCAAAGCTTTATATCAACTCAAACCATGTCTATAGTAGTTTTCCATTTTCCTTTTTTTCTTTTTTAATGATTGTAATTTTTTCAAATGGATTATGTATTTTTATATCTTTTTTCTTTTGAATTTACTTCTTTTTTAAGAGCCATTTTTTGTTTGGAGCAAAATTGAGCAGAAAGTCCGGGGAGTTCCTCGCTGCTCCCACACACACAGCCTCCCCGCTGTCGATATCTGGCACCGGAGGGGTCTGACCCTTACAAGTGAGGAGCCTATGTTGATGCACCATTATCACCCAAAGCTCATAGTTTACACGAGGGCCCACTCTTGCTGTGGAACCACGTTCCTTTTCCCCACGTGTTTTTGCATCCCTTTTCTTTTTTCTACCTTCCCAAACCCTGTGATGTTCGGAAGAGCTATGATCCCTATTCTATAGAGAGGACACTCAAGGAAGCAGCTGATAAGTAGAACCAGGACTCAAACCCAGATCTCATAACTCTAAATCCAGCAGTGGTAGTTTTTTCTCTTTAATACAATTATGACACTCCCTTTTGAACTTGTGATATATACCTGCCGCTAACACACACACACACACACACACACACACACACACACACACACACACCTTGAGAGGCTGTTGCCAATTGTTCTTTAGGCATCACACACAGCCCCGGCACACAGCAGGGGCTTAATAGATATTCCTTACATCGAAGTTGAAAGTCTTGTCTCAACATTCTGCTCTCACACACTCGCCTACAAACTCATCAAATAATAGAGCATCGATTCTCATTCTCTCCCTCTCCCTTCCTTTTAAATCTCCTGGGGCTTAGAATCCATAATTTGTGGAATTCCCGCATTCCCACAGGTGTCCTGGGAGGTGGGCAGGGCCAACACTTCAGCAGCTTCTGCAACGCAGCAGACTCCTGGGCCTGATGTGCTAGCTGCCCATTTGCTATGGGCCTTCGCTCCCCAGAAGCACCTCTCTGGGTATGGGGCAAACACCCCTCATTGCTGCAATGCAGCCTCTGCTGGAGTGAAACAGGATGCTTGATTTCTATTGCGTCAGTAGCAACACTGCCCAGAGGTCTAAGAGAGGAAGTCAGAGCAAAGCCCATCAAAGCCCACCCAGAACAGCAGGGAAATTCCAAGTCATCGGTTTCTAGTTCTCCCCATGCGTGTGGTGGCCCTGCTTTGTGGTGAGCCTCCAGGACTGTCCTGCTGTGCCTCTGAAGCACCTGCTCACAGAAGGGTGACCCATTGAGGCATGCAGTGGGTTGATACAAATGTCAACTCCAGCCCCTGTCATCAGCTAAAGGTCAGCAAATGAGTTCTCTGGCATTTGGGGTCTGCAGGAGCAAGTGAGTACTGTGAACACCTGCAGTGTGGAGACCACGTCCATCTAATTGGCGTCTATGGGGCCCAGTGCCAGGCTGGGCCCAAGTGTCGATTCAGGAAGGGTGTCTCAGGATGCAGAAGCCGCCTGATGCGTGCAGAGGTGGATAGGCCTTCAGCCTGCTCTCCTCCTCTGTCCTGCAGACCGGGTGAGTTATGTTAGCCTCTGCTTTCCCTTCCTGTCCTGAGCACAGCAATCGGGACAACCACACATCCTCTGAGAGATGATAAAAATAATGAGACCAAGAAGACTGCACCCAAATCGATGTTTTGTCTTTGCGCAGACCCCATAGTGTGTCTTGTGCTGCAGAGGGAAGCACCTGGCATCTTGGGGCCTCTTCTCTGCCCCCTCCCCACTTTGGGGAGGGGTTTTGTCGGGGGCAGCCTCCATCCTTTGGAATCCTGTCTGTGCTCTGATTCTCCCTGATGGTCTTTATAGCTTTGCATTATTTTGCTTTCAGAGAACAGAGAAATGTGAATAAGAACAGAAACATGGCACCGGTGTCCTCAGCTTCTTCCCCACCTTCACAGAACTGCTGCTGCAAACTAGTAGTTTTGAGAAATGATGAAAAACCTGTGGTTTTCCCCAAATTCCAAGAATCAGAGGCAGATTCTAGGAGGGTGAAGATGGTGTGGGCTCAAAAATGGTCATGCGGCACATCTTCTGAGGAGATATGCTGCCCATTAAAAGGGCAAAACAGGAGTTGGTGTGTGGGCAGTTCCCGCATCACACATAAAGGCTTCACCAGTGAGGCTCAGCCCAGGAACTGCCTGCCCTTGAGGCTGGGGGCTCACAAAGAAAGCTTTCCCCCAGCTTCTGATGTCCATGAAGAGCAGAGAGCATGCTGGTGGTGATTCATAACCCCCTGAAATGTATCCTCAGTTTGCCAGAGAAAAATTTCTAGGACCCACCTAATAAGTTCATTCATTGGTTCCCAGACTCGGCAGGTTTTACCAGATCCCTCACGACTGGTCCCAGCTTCTCTCCCAGCACATTACTTGAAGGTACACAAATAGTCCACTGTGCTTTGTTTCCTCTGTTTCTTCCAATTCTCTCTTCTGCTTGACCAGCTTGTACTTGAAGATCTAGGTTTTGGGAGATTCCCGGGATTGCTGCCAGGCACTGCCTGCCCCCATCTGAGTAAGGGGTGTAAACCCCAAGAGTATCTGAGACAAGTGTCAGTTAATCTAGGATTGTATATTGCCAAGGTTAAGAACATGCCCAGGACACAGCCTTGGGAGGTCCTGACCACATGTGCCCAAGGTAGTGGGCCTACAACTTGGTTTTATACATTTTAGGGAGACATAAGCCATCAATCAATACATGTAACATGTACATTGTTTTGGTCTGGAAAGTTGGGACAACCGGAAGGGGGAGCTTCCAGGTCACAGTCAGATTCAAAGACTTCCTGACTGGCAGTTGATTGAGTTATTATCTAAAGACCTGGAATCAAGAGAAAGGAATGTCTGGGTGATGGTAAGGGGTTGTAGAGATTAAGGTTTTGTCATGCCGATGAAGCCTCCAGGTAACAGGCTTCAGAGAGAATAGGTCATAAATGTTTCTACTCAGACTTAAAGAGGCTGTTCTATCAGTCATTCCTAAAGGAAGGAGGGTATCAAGAGGCTGTTCTATCAGTAATTCCTAAAGGAAGGAGGGTATCAAGACGCACGTCTGGCTCCCCCTTCCCCTCATGACCTGAACTAGTTTTATAGGTTAACTTTGGAATGCCTTGGCTGAGGGGCCATGCATTCAGATGGTTGGGGGCCTTAGAATTTTCTTTTTGGTTTACAGGGACTTGCACTCACAGTGGCCTGGCTGTCTGTCTGTCTGTCTAACCTGGCATTATGCACACACTTTGAGTTATCTTATTCCTGCTCTGTGTTCTCATTGCATGAGATCCTTGGGTGCAGGAACTACGTCTCCTCCTTGTTCTCCAGAGTACAAATTTTTCTTTCAATAACTGTGCACTGAGCTCCAATTTTGTTCCAATGGCTGTGCTAAGCTCTGTAGATGAAGTCGAAAAAAATAAAGAAGTAAAGACATCATTGCTGCCTGTGTTAGTTTTCTAGGGTACCAAAGCACCACAGATAGGGCAGCTGAAATCACAGTAATTGATAGTTTCACAGTTCTGAAGGCTGGAGGTCCCAGATGGAGGGATTGGCAGGGTTGGTTCCTTCTGACAGCTGCGCCTTCCTCCCAGCTGGTGGTTTGCTGGTGATCTCTAGGGTTCTTGGCTTGTAGAAGCCTCACCTTAGTCTCTGTCTTCATCCTCACATGGCCTTCTCCCTGAGTGTCTTTCTTCACATTTACCCCTTTTAGAAGGACACCAGGTTTTTGGATTAGAGGCCACTCTAATGACCTAATTGTAGCTTGATTTGCTCTGTAATGACTCTATGTCCAAAGAAGTTCACACCCTGGGGGACAAGACTTTAAGATATGAGTTTTTAGGGGACACATTGTCCTGAGGCTTGTGGTGTAGCCGGATGGGGGCCGTGGTGCACCAGGACGCACAGGTGCACACTGCATGTGCTCACCTGGGCAGCGCAACTTGCCTGTGCCTGGTAAGCAGGCAAGGCTTCCTGTGAACCGTGAGGGACTTCTGACACCAGAGGGACAAGTCAGAATTACCCAAGTGGTGGGAAGGAAGGGGTGGGGAAGGATGTTTGGAGCTGAAGAAAAGGCATGGGGGAAAGTCCTGAGGCAAGAGAGAGTGTGGTTCCTTTCAGAAACCTCAAGAACATAACTATGGACACAGCACAGAGCAAGAATGGGGACTGGCAGGGCTGAAGCTGCAAGGAAAGGAAGGCCCTGGTTTCAAAGGGAGCACCTTTGTGTCATAATGAGGAAAACTGGACTTTGTCCCGCGGGCAGGGGAGAACTACTGAAGGGTTTTAAGCAGTGGAAGAACATGATTCGTGGCAGCCTTCCAGAAGCTCATGGGCTCCTGGGAAAAACAGGCCTGGGAAGAAATCAGTAATGCTGGGCAGTGAGGCCGACTAGAAACATTCCCTGGGCCCAGTGAGCACAGACGCCAGGGCAATGCCTGTCCCTGGGAGGGCTCGGCCAACGCTGGGAAGTTTGGTTCAGGCCCTTCTGCCTACAGCAGAGAGGCCCAGCACGCTGCTCCTGGGGGTCTTTGCTGGAGGAAGCTGGGAGGCCAGTGCACACCTGGGCTGCGTGCATTTTTGATGTCTTTTAGCTTAAACATGGAGTTCATGTTCTCACTGCTTGTTGCCGCTGTTGCTGCTGTTGTTATTGTTGAGGGAATATGGGGCTGGACTGAGCAACGCCACATGCTGGAATGACCCTAAAAGCCTGCCACCAGTCTCTCTGGAACATCCCTAATATCCCTAGTGTGGGACTCGGGGAAGGGCATTTGCTCCCCAACACCAGGTTAGAAAGTTATCACATGAATAGAAATGGTGGCAGGGGGTTATAAGGAAGGGAAAGGGTGACACTGGCAAAGATCGACAGGAAGCTGGGGTGGGTTTCATGCCTGAGGGGCCTATGCACATCCCTACGGCCCCTAGGAAGGTCACAGCCCCTGAATGAGGAGCAGGACAGTGTAACCAGGGAGGCAGAGGTGTGCCCAGGACGTAACAATTCACTGCATGACCCTGAGAGTGAGTGCCTCCTTGTGGCTAGGGACGACACACTTCCTTTCCAGCACCCAGGGTGGCTGCAGGGCAGCTGAGGAAGGGACTGGGGCAGGCTGCGGGCCCACGTGCGGCCGTGGCCACCATTCACAGCCATTTCCTCTCCTATTGTTTCCTGGAAGCATCATATCCGCCCTGAGGTCGGTGGGGCAGGGATTGTTGACTCTGCTGCAGGTGAGAAAACAGAGCCGGGTGCTGCCGCTGCCCAAGGGGACCAGTGGTGACAGAGCTGGCCTGACTGGGCTGACCTCTCCTTGACCTCTACCTCTCTTCCCAGGGCTCAGGGCTAAGAAGATGCAGTGCCTCCTCTTTTTCCAATCCCTGGAAACAGGATTGGTTAACCTGGCAAGTTACTGTCAGTTGTACCTTAAAAAACCAAAATGGGGAGAATAGATAGGCGCAGGTGTGGCTGCACCAAAGGAATGCTTAGAAACCACGGGCCTCCTGTGCACACAGCAGCGTGGGTGGATCTGAACATTTCAGTGCTGAGTGAAAAGGGTAAGAAACAGCAAGAGACGCGTGGCAGAACACTCCTTAGGAAAATTAAAAATACACACATAAAGTCACTGTATTTTTAAAGAATTGGCACAAATAAAAATACATAAACACATTCCAATGGTTACCCATGAGGAGGTGAGGAGAGTAAAAGTCCATAAAAAACAAACCATGGGAAGGGCCTTGCCCAGCCCTATAGTGACTGTGTGCCATCGAGAGAGGGCTACACGTCCGTCCTCCACCTCTGCGGCCAGAGGTACCAAAACTCCAAACAAATGAACAGACAAAAACCAAGACAACACCCTGAAAACACAGCAGCAGATCATGTGGATCGTGTGCCTTAGGCATTGTTGACAGTAAGTGGCAAGGCAAAGCAGGCACCCCTGATGCTTTACTTTTGTTTGTTCACTTCACAGAGTGAAGCTCCTGATGCTGCCTTAATGAAGATTTATAACATCCATCCATCCATCCATCCATCCATCCATCCATCCATCCATCTATCCATCCATCCATCCATCCATCCATCCATCCATCCATCCATCTATGCATCCATCCATCCATCCATCCATCCATCCATCCATCCATCCATCTAACAAAAACACATATCAAGTGTTCCTAAATGTAAGACACTCCCCTTAGTGCTGGAAGGGAGGAAGAGATAAAGACATCATCTCCTTTCTAGAGAAGTTTTTAATCCACGTAAGGGTGAGGCATTAGGGACTTTGTACAGTTGGATTTTAGAGCTTGCCTATACATACAGCTTGCAAAAATAGCGCTAAAAATGCCACTTTGATCTATTTCTTTTAGTCACAATGAGGGAGGAGTAAGAGAGAAATAGTACAGCTGACCTAAGATCAACACGGGTTTGAGCTGCATGGGTCCACTTACACGAGGATTTTCTCTGCCTCTGCACCCCTGAGACAGCGAGACCAACCCCCTCTTCCTCCTCTTCAGCCTCCTCAACATGAAGACCACGAAGATGAAGACCTTTACGATGATCCATTTCTACTTAATGAATATAAATACATTTTCTCTTCCTTATGCTTTTCTTAATACTGTTTTCTTCTCTCTAGCTTACTTTATTAGGAGGATACGGCATATAATAGTCACACACTGCATAAGGACATTTCAGTGAGTGACACACCACACATACGACAGTGGTCCCATATGATTTTTTTTTTTTTTTTGAGACAGAGTCTTGCTCTGTCACCCAGGCTGGAGTGCAGTAACACGATCTCGGCTCACTGCAACCTCTGCCTCCTGGGTTCAAGTGATTCTCCCACCTCAGCCTCCTGAGTAGCTGGGATTATAGGCATATGACACCATGCCTGGCTAATTTTGTTTTTTTTTTTTTTTTTTTTTGAGACGGAGTCTCACTCTGTCGCCCAGACTGGAGTGCAGTGGCATGATCTCGGCTCACTGCAAGCTCCGCCTCCCGGGTTCACACCATCCTCCTGCCTCAGCCTCCCGAGTAGCTGGGACTACAGGCGCCCGCCACCACGCCCGGCTAATTTTTTGTATTTTTAGTAGAGACGGGGTTTCACCGTGTTAGCCAGGATGGTCTCGATCTCCTGACCTTGTGATCCGCCTGCCTCAGCCTCCTTAATTTTTGTATTTTTAGTAGAGACGGAGTTTCACCATGTTGCCCAGGCTGGTCTCAAATTCCTGACTTCAAGTGATCCAACTGCCTCGGCCTCCCAAAGTGCTGGGATTACAGGCGTGAGGCACCGTGCCCGGCCCCATAAGATTTTAATGGAGCTTAAAAATTCTTATAGCCTAGTGATGTTGGAGCTTTTGTAATGTCATAGTGCAACACGTTATTCACGTGTTTGCGGTGATGTTGGTGTAAACAAAGCCTCTGAGCTGCCAGTCATCTAAAAGTATAGCACATACAATTGTGTACAGTATATGATACTTGATAATGACAGTGGACAATGATGTACCGGTTTATGTACATAATATTATTTTAGAGTGTACTCCTTGTACTTATATTTTTAAAAGTTTGCTGTAAACCAGCCTCAGGCAGGCCCATCAGGAGGTATCTAGAAGAAGGATGCTATCATAGGAGATGACAACTCCAAGGGTATTACTGCCCTGAAGACCTTCCAGTTGGACAAAATATGGAGATGGAAGACAGTCATGTTGATGATCCTGACCCTGACCCTGTGTTGTGTCTGAGGTATTTTTTTTTTTTTTTGAGACGGAGTTACACTCTTGTTGCCCAGGCTTTAGTGCAATGGTGTAATCTCGGCTCATCGCAACCTCTGCCTACAGGGTTCAAGTGATTCTCCTGTCTCAGCCTCCCGAGTAGCTGGGATTGCAGGCATGTGCAACCACACCCGGCTAATTTTGTATTTTTAGGAGAGACAGGATTTCTCCATGTTGGTCAGGCTGGTCTCAAACTCTTGACCTCAGTTGATCTGCCTGCCTTGGCCTTCCAAAGTGCTGGGTTTACAGGTGTAAGCCACCGCACCTGGCCGTGTCTGAGATTTTACAAAAAAGTTTAGGAAGTAAAAAAATAAAAAAAATTATAAAAATAGAAAAAAGCTTATAGAATAAGAATATAAAGAAAAAACATTGTCTAGCTGTGCAACATGTTTGTGCTTTAAGCTGTGTTATTACCAGAGTCAAAAAGATTTTTTTAAATTTAAAATATTAAAGTAAAAAAGTCACAATAAGGTAAGGTTAATGTACTATTGAAGAAAGAATGTTCAAAGTAAATTTAGTGCAGCCCAAGTGTACAGGGTTTTTATGAAGTCTGCAGTAGTGCACGGTAACGTCCTAGGCCTTCACATTCACTCACCACTCACTGACTGACTCACCAGAGCCACTTCCAGTCCTGCAAGCTCCACTCATGGTAAGCGTCATGCACTTTCCCCAAAGCAACTGAGAAATGTTCACTTCTAAATAATAATAGCTACCCCAAGCCCCTTTTTCTTTAGTACTTTCTGTATTGCCAGTTAGAGCTCAGAGCATTTTCAGTGTTTTACATCATGTGACCTTCTGTATGAATGTATGAAGGTGTGTCCATATTATCTCCATTTTTACAGGTGGAAAAAGATGAAGCTTAGGTGAAATAATTTACCCAAGGTCACATGGTAATGAAGAAGGGATTAGAAGCAGGGATTTCAATTCAAAAGTATTCCTTTTTTAATCTACTAGATTAGGGGTCGGCAACCTTTTTCTGTGAAGAGCCAGAGAGTAGGTAAATATTTGAGGCTTCATGGACCACACAGTCTCTGTCTTAACTACTCAACTCTGTCTTGTACTGTAAAAGCAACCATAGGCAATAGGTAACCAAATAGGTGTGACTGTGTTCCAATAAAACTAGGTTTACAAAAACAGCTGGTAAGCCAGGTTTTAGCTGGAGGGCTGTAGTTTGCCAATCTTTGCCCTAGACAATGGAAATAGCTTTATTTCTTTTTTCATGATTCTATATTTGCCCCCTTCTAAAGGAAATAAGCTCACATGAGGTAGTATACAATTTGATATTATATAGTCACCTGTAAAAACAAAAACAAAAACAAAAACAAAAACATCAGCCGGGCATGGTGGCTCACGCCTGTAATCCCAGCACTTTGGGAGCTGAGGTGGGCGGACCACAAGGGCAGGAGTTCTAAACCAGCCTGGCCAATATGGTGAAACTCTGTCTCTACTAAAAAAATACAAAAATTAGCTGGTGTGGTGGCACATGCCTGTAGTCCCAGCTACTCAGGAGGCTGAGGCAGGAGAATTGCTTGAACCTGGGAGGCGGAGGTTACAGTGAGCCAAAATCATGCCACTGCACTCCAGCCTGGGCAACAGAGTGAGACTCCATCTCAAAAAAACAAACAAACAAAAAAACATCATTGCAATCAAGAAAACAAACATATCCATCACCCCCAAAATTTCCCAGTGTTCCTTTGCAACAACCTCCCTTGCCACTGTTCACTCACCATCCCTGAGCAACTATTCATCTGCTTTCTGTGCTATTGATGGTTTTCATTTTTATAGAATTTTATATAATGGAAACATGCAGTATGTACTCTTTTTGTGTCTGCCTTTTTCACTCAACATAATTATTTTGAGATTTATCCATGTTGTGTGTAGGGGACTTTGATGAATTCCAATTTACTGCTTTTCTGTTCTCTTATGGTCTATACTATTTGTGTTGTAGTTAAGAGATCTTTGCAAACCTAAACTCACTAAGATTTTCTTCTGTCTTCTAGAATTTTAGTTGTAAAATTCTAGAAAATTTGTATTTTTAGTTTTCTTATCTAGTCTATGATCCAATTCAAGTTAATTTGTTATGTATGGGATGAGTAAAAATGAAGATTCACTTCTTTTTTCTTTTTTGCATGTGGCTAATTTGTCCACTACCATTCACTGAAAAGATTTGCCTCTCCCCAGTCAGTTACCTTTGCACCTTTCTTAAAGATCGGCTGACCACATGAGAGACTATTTATGGACTTTCTACTTTATTCCATGAATCTGTTTTTCTATTTTTATGCCAATACCACATGTTCTTCATTATGGTAGATCTTAAACAAATCTTGATATTAAGTAATGTAGTCCACCAACTTTGTACTTTTTCAAAGTATCTATTATATTTGAAGTCCTTTGTATTTCCATGTAAATTTTAGAATCAGCTTGTCAATTTTTATGAAAAAGCCTGCTGCAATTTTAAGTGGGATTGTATTAATGTATAGATCTGTATGGGGAAACATGTAATCAAGTCTTCGATCTAAAAAAATGATACAGCCCTTCATTTATTTACATGTTTTTAAATTTCCTTCAGAGATGTTCTGTAGTTTTCAGGTACAGGCCTTGCATGTCCTTTGTCAGATTTTTCCCCTAAGTATTTCATATTTTTAGATGCTGTTTAATGGTATTTTAAAAACTCAATTACAGATAGTTGATTGCTAGTACATAAAAATACAATTTGTTTTGAATATTGTTTTCTTATCGTGCAACTTTGCTAAATTTACTTATTCAGTTTAGTGGTTTTTTTGTAGCTTCCTTAAGATTTTCAACAGAGATAATTGTGTCATCTATGCATAAAGACAATTTAATTTCTTCCATTCTAATCTGTATGCCTTTTATTTCCTTTTCTTGCCTTATTGCATCAGTTAGGACCTCTAGTACAATGTTGCATAAACATGGTGAGTGCGGTCATGCTTTCCTTTTCCTAAACTTAGATGAAAGACATTCAGTTGTTCATCATTAAGTAAATGTGAGCTGTAGGTGATTCAAAAATGTCCACTTCAAATTGACATCCATAAAGTTGAGAAATTTCTCTTTTATTCCTAATTTGCTGAGGGTTTTTTTTTTTAAACCAGGAATAGATGTTAGATTTTGTCAAGTGCTTTTGCTCCACTTATTGAATAATCATATATATTTTCTTTTTAAGTCTGCTTATGTGATGAATTACACTGATTGACTTTTCAATGTTAAACCAACCTTTCAAGTTTGTTAAACCAACTTATCCCAAGTTGTTAAACCAACTTAGGACGAACCACACTTGGTTACAATGTATTATCATTTTCATAAATTGTTGTATTAGGTTAGCTAAAATTTATTAAGGATTTTAACAAATCCTTATGGGAGATATTTGTAGTGCTCTTATAATGTCTTTTTCTGGTTTTAGCATCAGAGAAATGCTGGCCTCAGAAATTAGGCTGGAAAGTATTTAATTCTCTGTAAATTTTTGGAAGAGCTTGGACAAAATTGGTATTCTTATTTTCCTAAATGTTTGATAGAATTCACCACTAAAGCCATGAAGCCTTATGGATCTGGATCTTTCTTTATGAAAATGTTTTAAGTTACAAATTCACTTCCTTTAGTATATAAGAGGCTATTAATGTTATCTATTACTTATTGAATGACCTCTGGTAGTTTGTGTCTTTCAAGAAATTTTAAAATTTTATCTAAATTGTTAAACATATTGACACAAAGTTGTTCATAATATTTCTGAATTGCTCTTTTAATGTTGGTAGACTCTGTAGTGATCTAATTATCATTCCTATTATCAGTAATTTGTATTTCTTTTCTTTTGTTCCTGATCAGCCTTGCTAGAGATTTATCAATTTCATTCATCTCTTTAAAGAAGCAGATACTGGATTCATTGATTTTCTCTATTGTTTTTCTTTTTCTATTTCATTGATTTCTACTCTAACCTTTATTGTGTCCTTTCTTCTGCTTTGGTTTCATTTGCTTTTCTTTGTTTAGTTTTTTAAGGTAGATAGTGAAGTTCTTGATTTGAGATCCTTCTACTATTCTGTAATAGGCATTAAGTGCTATACATTTCCCTTTAAGTACTGCTTTTGCAGCATCCAGCACATTTTAATATGTTATCTTTTCATTTTCATTCAGTTTGAAATACTGTTTAAAATATTCCTAATTTTCCTTCTGATTTCTTCCTTGAACCTAGGTTATTTGGAAGTATGTTATTTAGTTTCTATTAATTTGGAGATATTCTAGATATATTTCCAATACCGACCTCTAATTCAATTACATTGCATTCAGTTCAATGAACATACCTTGTATGACATTAATTATTTTAAATTTATTGAGATTTATTTTATGTTCCAGAATATGATCTATCTTGGTATCAGTTCAGTGTTTACTTGGAAAGGATATGTATTCTGTTGTTGCTGGGTGAAGTGTTCAAAAAATGTCAATTAGGTTCAATTGGTTGATATTGTCATTTAAATCTTCTGGATCCTTACTGATTTTCTTTCTAGTTCTTCTATCAATTGTTGATAGAGAGTTGTAGACATCTCTGACAATACTCGTGGATTTCTCTTTGCTGTTTTCTTCATTTTGTTTCATGTATTTTGAAGTTCTGATGTTAGATGCATAAATGTCTATGATTGTTATTACCTCTTGATTAGTTGACCTCTTAATCATTATAAAATGATCCTCTTTATGTCTAGTAATAATCTTTGTTCTGAAATTTGCCTTGTGTAGTAATAGTCATTCCAGTTTTGATTAGTATTATCATGTTATATAATTTGCCATGTATTTTCTTTTCACCTACTTGTTTCCTTATATTTAAAGCACGCTTCTTATAGGCAGCATAGTTGGGTCTTGCTTTTTTATTCAATCTGACAATCTCTGACCTTTAATTGTGGTATTTAGGTCTTGACATTTAATTTTATTATTTATATTATTGGTTTTAAATTACCACATATTCAACTGTTTTCTATATATTTTATCTGTTCTTTGTTACTTTTTTCTTTTTTGTCCTTTTAGTATTTCTCTAAGGTTTATAATTTACATCTTTAACCAATCACAGTCTAACTTAAAATAATAACTACTTCATAAATAATATAAAAATCTTACATCGGTACACCTCCATTTCCTCCTTCCCTGATTTTGTACTAATGTTGACATACATTTTACTTCTATATATGGCTTAGATCCCACAATTCATTGCTACTAGTTATAATAATAAACAATCAATTATCTCTTAAAGAGTCTTTAAAAATAAGAAACAATGTTATATTTAATTACACATTTACTGTTTCTGGTTTATTTTATGTCTTTGAACAGATCCAGATTTTCTTCTCTTTTTATTTCTTCCTAAAAAACATCCTGTAACTTTCCTTATAGTACAGCTCTGCTGGTGATGATACTTTTAGCTTTTCTGTATCTGAAAATATTTTTATTTCACCTACAAATGTTTTATAATTTGTAGTATATTTTAGCTAAATATAAAATTTTAGGTTGACACATTTCTATTTTTAGTGCTTTTAAGATGTTGCCCCACTATCTTCTGCTTGCACTTTTTCTGACAAGGTGTCTGATTTATTCTTATATTTATTCCTCTGTATGTAAGGTGTCTTTTATTTCCCAGGATACACTTAAGGTTTCCTGTTCATCATTGCTTTTAACAATTTTGAATATGATGTGACTTGTAGTTTTCTTCACATTTCTTGTGCTTGGGGTTTACTGAGCTTCTTGGATCTGTAGTTTCACAGTTTTCATCAAGTTTGAAAATTTGTGGCCATTAATTTTTCAAATATATTTTCTGTCCTTTTTGATCCTTTATAGACTAATTACACATGTAGGAAACTACTTAAAGATGTCCCACAACTCACTGATGCTCTGTTCATTTTTATTGTCAGCCATTTTTCTCTCTGTGTTTATTTGCAGTTTCTATTGCTTTTCTTTAAGTTTACTAATCTTTTCTTCTTAGATGTCTAAACTGTGATTAATCCTATCCAATATATGTTTTATTTCAGAAATTGTAGATTCCAAAAAGCTTAATTTACATTTTAAAAAATATTTTCCCCTTCCTTAATATGTTCAATATTTCTTCTATCTTCTTAAATATATGGAATACAGTTATAACTATAATTTCTGTATAGTTCTCTTCATTGACTTTTCTCTTTATGAGTTATATTTTCTTGTTTCTTTGGCTATCCGGTGATTTTTTGTTGGGTGCCAGACATTATGAATTTTTCTTTTTAGGTCCTGGATAGATTAATATTCTTATAGATATTCTTGCGTTTTGTTCTGGGATGCAATTAAGTTGCTTAGAAACAGTTTTATTGTATTTAAAGTGATAGAAAAGACTGATGCACTCTTTAGCTTATACAGTATAGGCATACAGGCTATCAGAATCAAAAGAGCTTGAGGTAAGTTAAGCCTGGGGTCTACTTTAAAGGGAAAAGCTAATTTAATACTCTTCCAGAGTCAATCAGTGCTGATTAATTTTTCTTTAATTATTCAACTTTTAGATGTGTGGATCCTAAAAACAAAAAATCAGCTCTGCGTGTCTTTTTTTTTTTTTTTTGAGATGGTCTTACTCCTCTCACCCAGGCCAGAGCGCAGTGGCACAATCACAGCTCACTGCACTCTCAGCCTCCCAGGCTCAATGGATCCTCCCACCTCAGCCTCCCAAGTAGCTGAGACTACAACTGCGCCCCACCACGCCCGGCTAATTTTTAAATTTTTTTGTAGAGATGAGGTCTTGTCGTGTTGCCCAGGCTGGTCTTGAACTCTTGGGTTCAAGCAATCTTGGCCTCCCAAAGGGCTGGGATTACAGGTGTGAACCCCTTGCACCTAGCCTGAATGTCTGTGTTTTCTACTTACATTAGAAGAGGTGTGTGAGATTTGCAAATTTATTGCCAGCATAACAGTGATGCCAGTTTGTGAAGACCATTCTGTAGTAATTGAGACACTGCCTGGTTTTCCTAGCATTTTTCTTATTTTCTTTCCTTCTCTATGTGACTCTACCAGTCTGACCCCTGATTTATCCTCTGAAACCCTCAATGAGGTCAGGAACGTAGTCTGAGGAATAGCAGAACCTAAAAGATTTCTTGACATGCAAAATCTGTAATAGAGTTGAGATTTGAATAAGACTGTAATTAGTGTATTGTGGGATGTCTTCACATGTCTGTAAAACACATGAATTTACATAAAAGATTTATCCCACAATTTGGGGAACCCACTAATTGAGTTTACTGAAAAAATTATGCATTAGACCCTTGAACAACATAAATTTGAAGTGCACAGGTATATGCAATTTTTTTTTTTTTTTTTTTTTTTTGAGACAGAGTCTCACTGTCGCCAGGCTGGAGTGTAGTGGTGTGGTCTCAGCTCACTGTGGACTCCGCCTCCTGGGTTTGGGTGGTTCTCCTACCTCGGCCTCCCAAGTGGCTGGGATTGCAGGCACATGCCACCATGCCGGGCTAATTTTTGTGTTTTTGGTAGAGACGGGGTTTCACCATGTTGGCCAGGATGGTCTCGATTTCTTGACCTCGTGATCCACCCACCTCGGCCTCCCAGGGTGCTGGGATTGCAGGAGTGAGCCACTGTGCCCGGCCATAATTTTTTTTTCAATAAATATATTGGAAATTTGTTTGGAGCTTTGTGACAACTTGGAGAATTCACAGGCTGGGCATGGTGGCTCATGCCTGTGGTCCCAGCACTTTGGGAGGCCGAGGTGGGCAGATCACCTGAGGTTGGGAGTTCGGGACGAGGCTGACCAACATGGAGAAACCCCGTCTCTAGCAGAATTACAAAATTGGCCTGGAATGGGGGCACATGCCTGTGGTCCCAGCTGCTCGGGAGGCCGAAGCAGGAGAATTGCTTGGGCCCGGGAGGCAGAGGTTGCGGTGAGCACGACCACAAAATACACAAATCTATTAAAAGTTAAATTTTATGAAAACATACAGACTGTACATGTAAGCAAATTTAAAATGCAGTATTAAATCATAGCTCTATAGCCGCCACTGTCTGGCCACAGCCCCGCGCTCCTCGCTGTCGCTTGTCATCTCGCACAGGGTGGTTCCGTTTCTGGTATTTGGTGCCGGAATTAAGCAACCACCATGTTGAGCAAAAAGGCAAGACCACCAAGAAGCGCCCTCAGTGTGCAACGTCCAAGGTGTTTGCCACGTTTGACCAGTCACAGATTCAGGAGTTCAAAGAGGCCTTCAACATGATTGATCAGAACAGAGATGGTTTCATCAGCAAGGAAGATTTGCATGGTATGCTTGCTTCTCTAGGGAAGAATCCCACTGATGCATGCCTTGATGCCGTGATGAATGAGGCACCAGGGCCCATTAACTTCACCATGTTGCTCGCCATGTTTGGTAAGAAGTTAAATGGCACAGATCCTGAAGACGTCATCAGAAATGCTTTTGCTTGCTTTGATGAAGAAGCAACAGGCACCATTCAGGAAGATTACCTGAGAGAGCTGCTGACAACCGTGGGGGATCAGTTTACGGATGAGGAAGTGGATGAGCTGTACACAGAAGCACCTATTGACAAAAAGGGGAATTTCAATTACATCGAATTCACAAGCATCCTGAAACATGGAGTAAAAGACAAAGATGACTGAAAAGAACTTTAGCTAAAACCTTCCAGTTACATTGTCTTACTCTGTTTTGTTTCTCACACACTTCCACCACCCTCATAGAACCTGTTGCATGCAACTTAGTTTCACAGCTTTGCCTCTTTTTTTTTATGTATTTATTCCAGAACTTTCTGCCACTTAGCACTTGTATAATCAGACGGGAAATGAGGATGAGGGCATAAATTGTATTGAAAAAGAGATCGCCAATAAAAATCAACAAATGTGAAAGCCCCCCCAAAAAAACATAACTCTATAAACTAGTATGTACTGTACTGCTGTAATTGTGTAACTGCCTCCTGCTTTAGTGAGTCAGGTGTTGCCAGTATCTGCTTAAAACTCTGTGATGCTCGTCATCAGAGCAGTTCCTGTCTTCAGTAAACTGTGTATCACAATAAAAAGTGATCTCTTGAAAAAAAAAAAAAAAGAAATAGTTCGTTTTGAGGCCTGATTTAAGCTTTTTTAGGGAGAACAGAACAGCTTTTAATCCAGGGCTAATCCTTCCCCCATATGAAAGCTAAACCTTCTAATTAGTCTATGAATTATACGGTTTTCCAACATTGGCTGGTGGGAATACAAACTGTCCTGGCCCCTGGCTCCCTTTGTTCCTTTTAGGCAGTTCCTTTTCAGCCCTGGATAGTTTCCTCACAGGCCTGCTGCGATCAGTACTCGACTGAAGTCTCCAGGGTGACCCTCTGCAGATCTCTGGTGCTCTTTGTGTAGCTCTCTCCTGTCTAGTACTCTGTCCTGCCAACTCTGTCTTGGTCTCCTCCAATCCCCAAACTGTCTGCTTAACTTATGGAAACTGCTGATTCCCCTCCCTGTGTTATGCCTTGGATACTCTCTCCTGGCACTAAGTTGGGTGAATCATATGACTCAACTCTCTCAGGGAACACTAGGCTGTGATGCTTGATATTAAATATCTGAAAACCATTGTCGTATACATTTTGTCTAGTTTTTCTTTTTTTTTTTTTTTTTTTAGCAGTTTCAGGCAGAAGGGTAAATCTGGGTCCTGTTGCTTCATTCTGTTCATAAGTGGATGTCTTGGTAAATTGATTTATTTAGTCAAGTCATTTCCCAGTTACATCCCTAGGTTCTATGCCTATGTGCTGTAGTCCCTGAATCCTTGCATATCTGCAAATACCTTTATTTCACTGTCACAGAGAATGATAACTTGGCTACACATAAGATTCTTAGATTGTAGTCCTTTTCTTTCAGTATTCTATAATGTTTCCTAGTACTCCCTCTGATTCTTAGAGTTGCAGAAAAGAAGTCAAATGTCAGCTAATTTTTCCCTTTGTACGCAACTTGTTCAAAAGGTCAAGAAGTTTTCTTTAAAAAAAATTTGTCCTTGTAATTAAGAATTTTTAAAAGCTGGGTATGATCTAGGATATGATCACTCCAGCATGGAACATATTAAACGTTTTCCTTTCTTTTCTTTTCTTTTTTTTTTTTTTGAGAGGGAGTCTCTCTCTGTCACCCAGGCTGGAGTGCAGTGGCGTGATCTCAGCTCACTGCAAGCTCTGCCTCCTGGGTTCAAGTGATTCTCCTGCCTCAGTCTCCAGAGTAGCTGAGACTACAGGCCCCTGCCACCACACCTGACTAATTTTTTGTATTTTTAGTAGAGAAGGGGTTTCACCGTGTTAGCCAGGATGGTCTTGATCTCCTGACCTTGTGATCCGCCCACCTGAGCCTCCCAAAGTGCTGGGATTACGGGCATGAGCCACCGCGCCCGGCCACGTATTAAACTCTTTCAAACAAGCTTTTCTTCAAACAGGTATAATTTCCCCTTACTTCCTTCATCATTACCTTTCCCGTATGTGCATCTTTTTTCTTCTGCTGGAAATCCTAATACAGGCTCATAATCCATTATCTCAAATATTTTGTTTTTTGTTTTTATTTTGTTGTTATTTTAAAAAATAAATTTCCTACAAACATATTTGATGGAAAAGCATACCCTTTACTTATGCGAAGCTATTTTTAGCCATAAAAATATTAGTGTGACTCTATGTTTTGCTGCTGAAAAGCTAAAATGTTTGATTTCAGGATCTATCCTACATCCTGCTTGGGATGTTATATAGTATACACAGTATGTAATGTATATAACATGCAATATAATTTCTAGAAATTGGAAAAAATCTAAATTCCAAAACCCTTCTGGCTTCAGTGGTTTCATAGAAGACATTGTAGGGCTGTAATCACATATTTCTCTCCCGGGTCTATCCTCAAGGCTTTTTCTCAGTATTCCCCAGTCTGAATTTTCCCTCTAGGTTTATGTATTCTTATCCACTTGAATTTTCCAGCTACTAATAAAGTCTCATTCTTATAATCATTGACTTCAATTTATGTATCCTCATCTTAACATTTGAAAATCATACTTTGATTTATACTGCAATTAAATTTCTTTTATGCTCTTTCTCTCTTTTTGATAAAGATGTTATATGTTTTCTCCCAGAGTTCTATTTTACTAGGGATCTGTAATAGTAGTTATCCTGCATGAGAACTCCTGTACTAAGTCTTGTAGTAGTAAGAGTTTGGTTTGACTGCAAATGACTGGTTCTTTCTCACCACCATATGAGTAAAAACAGCTACTCAGGCAAGATAGATGTTTATTTTCACATAACCATGGACAATTCAGAACTGTTGGTATGTGGACTCCACAATTTTCAGGAACCAAATCCTTCTATTTTGTTGCTTTGCCATCTTTGACATTTGAATTCCATGTTGTGGGTGGGGTCAACTGTCAACATCAGCAATCAGGCCAGCAGGAATGAGGTAAGAACTGGAGCAGGACACAGCATTTCTCTTTAAGGACATTTCCTTGAAGTTGCATTTATCAATTCTCTTTCCATTTCATGGAACTTAGTCAAGTGACCACACTGACATGGAAGGCAGTCTGAGTAATGTAGTCCACATTTGAGTGGCCATGTGCCCAGGTAAAAAATCTTCATAGACTACGGGGAAAATAGATACTAGGAGACTCCTTGCAGTCTCTGCCACTGGCTGTTGGGTACCTCATTTTCCTCTCGCTTCTTATTATCCTATTCAATCTTCAATCAAGAGTCAAGATCAAGTAGTTGGGTCTCTTATGTGACACAGACCCATGAGTGATAGGGGGCCAGTGATCTACATCCCTATGGGGCAAGGACTGTAGTCAACTGTCCCTTAAGACATACGTCTTCTTGGAAATGGTAAAAAGAATGCAAGTGTAGCTTTGGCATTCATGGATACAATAATAAAATATTGAAATACAAAGTTTGGAAGCAGTGGACTTGAATCAAATGGAAGCAGAACAAATAACAGCTTTGATAATAATAATCTTCACATGACACTTTAACTTTTCAAAAGTGTTTCCACATTCTGAATATTATTGTACTTGACAGTGAAAATAATCATGATTTGTTGAAACTTATATTAGTTCCCTATTGTTGCTGTAAGAGATGATCACACATTTAGTGGCTCAAAACAACACACATTGATTATCTTACAGTTCTGGAGGTCAGAGTGTCAGAAATAGGCCTTACAGGGCTACCATTAGGGTGTTGGCAGTGTTGATTCCTTCTGAAAGTTCCAGGGGAGAATTCATTCCTCGCCTCTTCCAGCTTCTAGAAGCTGTCAGCATTCCTTGGCTCGTGGCCTCACCCTCCTCTGCTACTCATGCTGATCTCCTGCCTCCCCCTTCTAAGGATCCTCATGATCACACCAGGCCCGCCTGGCTAGCCCAAGATAATCTCCCATCTACAGATTCATGTCTTTTTCACACCCGTGAAGTCCCTTTTGCCATACAAGGTAACATTCACAGGTTCCAGAGATTGGGGCATGTGTTTTTACATCATGAGTGTTGTGGACTGAATGTGTGTGCCTCCTCCAAGTGCATGTATCACAATCCTAACCCTCAATGTGATGACTTTTGGAGGTGAGGCTATTCATGGGGGCTCCACCTATGTCACGAGGGTGGAGGACCTGTGAATGGATTAGTGCCATTATAAAAGAGACCCCAGAGAGTGCTTCGGCTTCTTTCAGCCACAGAGAAAAGCTGGATGTCCATGAGCCAGGAAGCGGGTTCTCATCAGACACTGAGCCTTTCAGTGCCTTGACCTTGAACTCCCCCACCTCCAGAAGTGTGAGAAATAAATATTTACTGTTGAAGCCACTCAGTCTATAGTGTTTTGTTATAGCAGCCCAAATAGGCTGAGACAATAGGTTTTATTATTATTCAGGTATGGTGAGGAAATGGGTCAGGAGATGACTGCCATTACGTACAGCGTGTGTTACTCACAATTCAAGAGCAGAGGTCACACCATGCCATGCAGGGCCACGTGGGGAAGCACCAGGATCGGTCAGGAGGCAGAGGGAATGAGAAGAAAATGTGGGCAAGAGACTTCATTATGGGTTGTGAGGGGGAAATGTAGGACAGGCAGGCAGGTGTAGTATTGCCCATTTTAAATAATTTCACTGGGCTCTAGGGCATCGTGGCTATTTCTAGTTGTTTAATATCTGTCCCTGGGGTGATTAGGGCAGGGGGATAGTGGCTCTGCAAGTGAAAGCTAGATAAAGGGGGTCAGTGGGGGCATGGGCTTTGGATTGGTGGCTTGCATACAAAAGGCACACTTGTAGGTGAGTCCCTTACTACTGCTAGGAACTGACCAGTCCTGGGAGGGGGAGTCTCTCCAGGATCAGCAAGACCCCAGAAGCCAAAACATCAGAAAACACAGAAACTAAAAAGACATGATTAGAATAACATGGACATCTTGTAATATAAGTATGACATTCAGTATAAGTGTTATATTCAGTTTACAGATGAGAAATTTGAGACTCAGATATTAAATAACAACTGTCACACAATCTCTAAGAGGTAGAAACAGAATTCAAAGCCAAATCTGCCCAAATAAAGCTCATTCTCCTGAAACAAATGTCGATATCCCCATTTTACAGATCACAACCCTTTATCAATGAAAACAACTCTGTACAGGTAAGGGAGGCATCCTTCATGAATTCTTCCTCCCGTTTCCACAATTCTTGCAATTAATCAAACAATCTGAGCCAGTCTTCACTTCATGAGAACAGCTGTCTCCAAAATGCTGAGGACATAAACAACTATAGAATAAACTGAGTTTATGGCAGAAAATCTCCTACGATGTGGAAGAAAGGAGACCTTCGTCATCTTTCTCTGTCGTGGACGTCTTCTCAGTGTGTTGAGGTGTGCTCTGTGACTTCCGTGGAAAGGGCATGGCTGTGTCCTTCTATGCATTTTGCAGTCATTCCCATCTGCAAATACCATTCCTTCCATAAATAACAATCACTCATTAACTCCAGGGACTATTGACTTCCCTTTCTTCAATAAACACTTCTGTGGGCTTGCTGTCTGCTTCCTCCTTGCAGCCACGGTAACCATTGTTGGGTAATGCATGGTTGCCAGGCTCCTGAACGGGAGTGAGATTTTTTTTAAACCTGATGTCACATCCAGGACAAACAAGAGAAGTCCTTTTAACCAAATAGGACTCCTATATAACAAGAGTCTTTGAGAAGAGAGTCGTATGACCTAAGATGTCCCCTCCAACTACTTTGGTAAGGGTCCTCCACCCACAGAGATCTTCCTCTATTCTGAGATGGAGAAATAATGATTAGAGACTTTACGCATAAAATGCCTGCTGTGCCAGCATCCATAGGTGGACCAAAATTCAGTTAATCCTCACAACTGCCTTAAACATAGGTACTAATATAATTGCCATTTTAGAGATGAGAAGAGCTAAAATTTGGAACATTGAGCCCTATGTCTAGCGATGAGAGTGAAGCTGGGATTTGGACCCGTGTGAATGATTCTAGGTTGGAGTGTGTGCTGTAAAACACTCTCGCTGGTTCACCTGAAGTTTAGGGCACACATCATTTTCATTATGTGTATTTTACTACCCACTGGCTTTCTTGTTCTAGAGGTGAAAGGATAGGCTCTCTTCTTCTCAATGAGTGAGCTTATACCCGGAAAATACAGACTTTCAGGAAACTGGCAAAACAAAGGCAATCTTTCTCTAACGAGGAGAAAGGGAGAACTCTTGACCAAAAGAGAAAGTGAAGGGCAGCTATGACCAACTGCAAGACCCCTCCCCTCCCCTCCACACACACACTCTCACACACTCTCACACACTCACACTCACACACACACTCACACACACACACAAAAACACTGAGAAAGTGAAGGGCAGCTATGACTAACTGCAAGATCCCTCCCCTCCACACACACACACACACACTCACACACACACACACTCACACATACACACTCACACATACACACATACACACACACATTCACACACACATACACACACACACACACTGTGAGAAAGTAAAGGGCAGCTATGACCAAATGCAAGATCCCCTCCCCTCCACACACACATACACACTCACACATACACACACACACTCACACACACACATACACACACTGTGAGAAAGTAAAGGGCAGCTATGACCAACTGCAAGACCCCCGCCCCTCCACACACACTCGCACATACTCTCTCACACACACACACACTCACACATACATACACACACTCACACATACACACACACTCACACATACTCACGCACACACATACACACACATACACACACTCACACATATGTACACACACTCACACATACACACACACATACACACACACAGACATACACACACACACTCACACATACACACACACAGACTGGGAGGTGCACTGCCCTGATTCCAGCTGGTGGACGGCAGGGGCAGTGCTGGGCCACTCTGGAGTCTCTGAGCCTTTCCATTTCCTATAAGCGGGGATGGTCCTGCTATGGAGGCTGGCTGGACATTCTGGCCTGTGATGGCATCATTCACCAATCATTTAACAACAAACAGCTAGAGTCTAATCACACTCAGACCAATCATTTAACAACAAACAACTAGAGTCTAATCACACTCAGACATTCAAAATCTACCACTTGATTGCAATGCTGCATCGGCCAGCTTTACAAGCGAGGTGTCAATATGGAGAGTGTGTTAGTCCATTCTTGCACTGCTATAAAGAAAGAAATGCCTGAGACTGAGGAATGTATTTTAAGACAGGTTTAATTGGCTCATGGTTCTGCAGGCTGTACAGGAAGCATAGCAGCTTCTGCTTCTGGGGGAGGCCTTAGGAAACACACAATCATGGTGGACAGCAAAGCGGGAGCAGGTGTCTTCCATGGCAGGAGCAGGACCAAGAGAGCAGAGAGGTGCCACAGACTTTTAAATAACCAGATCATGTGAGAACTCACTATCAGGACGATAGCTCCAAGGGGGATGGTAGTAAAGCATGAGAAACTGCCCCCATGAAAAGCATGAGAAACTGCCCCCATGATCCAATCATCTCCCACCAGGCCCCATCTCCTACGTTGGGAATTACAATTCAAATGAATCTGGGTGGAGACACAGATCCAAACCATATCAGAGACCAAAGAAGGACAATCTTCCCATGAAGTTATATTTGCTTAAGGGGCTCCCAAACTGCATTTTCCTGGGGGCCTCTTCTGTGGCAGCATGTCACTACACTGTGAGGCATTATTCCTTGACTATCTGCACCTTATTGACACTCAGATGTAGGCTGACATTCTTAACCTGTGTGAGAGTTTTTAGATTGGTAAGAACAAAAATAAAGGTGAACAACCACACACAGAATTAGTAGAAATAAAAAATAAGCTGTTAATCAAAAGAAAAGAAATGAACTGTCAAAAACGATATGAAAGTAGCCAGTCTTATTCTCAATGAAAGAAATGTAAAATCAATAAGATACTATATTTATTTATCTGCCCTACAAAAAACAAAAGTAAAACCCTTCTGTAGACAGTATAAGAAAACATTTATATATGCTGTAGTGAGAGTATAAATTGGCTTAATTATTATAGAAAGACACCTTGGAAAAAATACCACCTTAAAAGCAATAGATTAGATAGATGAGATAGGTAGGGCTAGGTAGGCGTGCGTGCACACACACACACACACACACACACAGTAAAAAACATACAGTAGTTCTCCCTTCTTCGCCGCTTTGCTTTTCAGTTACCTGAAACCATGCTGTCCAAAATATTATAACTGTGTTCAACTATGGTCCAAAAATATTACATACAGTAAGATATTTTGACAGAGAGAGAGAGAAAAACCCTACTCACACAACTTTTATCAGAGTATATTGCTACAATTGTTCTATTTTATTAGTTATTGTTGTTAATCTTCTACTGCGCCTAATTTATACGTTAAACTTGATCATAAGTATGTATGCAATAGGAAAAGACAGTTTCCAGAAGGTTCTGAAATGCGTGGTTTCAGCATCCACTGGGGAGCTTGGAATGTACCTACAGCAGGTGAGGGGAGACTACTGTGTATATATTGCATGTCCTTTGACCCAGCAACCCAACTTTCAGGCATGTAATCTGAGGTGATTAAGAATGTATGACCCGGCTGGGCCCAGTGGCTCATGCCTGTAATCCCAGCACTTTGGGAGGCCGAGGCTGGCAGATCACCTGAGGTCAGGAGTTTGAGATCAGTCTGGCTAACATGGCAAAACCCCGTCTCTAGTAAAAATACAAAAATTATCCGGGTGTGGTGGTGCACACCTGTAATCCCAGCTACTCAGGAGGCTGAGGCAAGAGAATCGCTTGAACCTGGAAGGTGGAGGTTGCAGTGAGCTCAGATCGTGCCACTGTACTCCAGTCTGGGCGACAGCGCGAGACTCTGTCTCAAAAAAAAAAAAAAAAGGAAAAAAGGATGTATGACCAATATACTTGAAAAGATGCTTAACCTCACTAGAAATCAAGGAAATGCAAATAAAACACAAGGTTCCATTTTTAATCAAAGTGGCAAAAATCAAAAGTTTGATCATATAAAGCGTGGGCGAGGTTGTGGTGGCACACGTGCCCTCAGCTGCTCTGCAGTGAGAGCGTTATTTTCCAGCTACTTTGGTGGGCAAAATGTTTCTCCTCTACGACCTAACAATTCCACGTTCTGAATCTCCCCAGAGAGACATCTATCTGCACATGTGCACAAGGTGAAGATTGAATGCAGCATTGTCTGTCTTAGCAAAAGCTAAACACAACCCAAATATCCAGGGATAGGAAAATAACTCAATAAACGTCGGCTTATCCTTATTATGGAATCCCACACAGCAGTTGCAGATCTTCATGTGTTGACGTGGAAATGTCTCCAAGGCATACTGCCAAGTGAATGGACAGCATGTTAACGTCTGTGCGCCACTCGGCCTCACAAATAAAAACGATTCAGCATATCTATCTGTCTATATCTCACTTAGGTATCTGAAAATATACGTACGTACATTTCAAAAAAGGGTACGCATTAACCAATAATAGTGGCTGTCTCTATGATGGCTATAACAACTCGATTGAAGCTGGTTAATGAGGACTTTAGTCTTACCGGTTTTAAGGAAGTTTTCAACAAGAACATGTTTGTTTACAATATGCGTAATTTTAAAGTGTTTTAAAAAATAACTGTGAAGATTTCACTACACTAATACTTACCAAGGCATTATTCGGTAGAGTGAAAATTTGGAAATAGCATAATTGTCCAACTACAAGGTATTTAGTTAAATATATTAGGGGAGATCTCATGATACATTACAACACAACCATCAAAATAATATTTAGAAGTCCAGTAAACAACCAAGAGGAAATGTTCAGAATAATGATCAAAAGAAAAAAGCAGATTACGAAACAGAGTGCACCTCATTAAACACCTGTCAACCCCAGGGTCCAGGGCAGAGAAGTCAGATTCCAAAATCAGAGCATGCTGGCCCAAAGGCTAAAGGTTCGGTAATGCCAAAGTCAGCAATGCTGGTGCAGACACAACAGAAAACTGAGGGCCAAAGAAATTGAGAAGAAAGCCAGGCCAGACGGCTGGATCAAGGATGGAGGCAAAGTGCTAAGGGTGCTGCCTTAGACAAATCCTGTCTGCACCTCTCCTCCTTCCACACCCTTCTGGAGTAGGCCCAGCTGTGCCCAGGGTCTGAACCCAGGCACTGATTGTCCCGAGTCTGGAGGAGGTCTGGGCCTCGCCCTCTAACTGCTTCAGCAGGGACTGGGTCAGGCCAAGGACAATGGCCTCCACCTGCTGGGAGATCTTTCCAGACCAGAGAGCGGAACCTGCAGAATGCAGAGGCCTTCTGGTTTGCTGGACAGTGGTGTACATTCCAGGCTCAACTCTTCATTCCTCTAGGGAGTGAAAAAACCCGCTCCACCTCCTGAGAGCAAGGCTAGGTTGTGAATACCCTTTCCTTTGACGTATTGAGAAACGGGTCCACATTCATTCAGTCACGAGAAATGTCACTCAAAATGGGAGTTTCCTCCTTGAGAATCAAGAATGAATGTTAGAAAATTAAGTGGCAGAATTAGTCAAAGAGCAACCCCTTAGTGGAATAGATTTGACATTACAGAAAAGGAACAGAGAGAAAGGAGAGAGAACAGAAAAAGGGGGTGGGTGGATAAACGGTGGGGAGAGAAAGAGAGCTTGATTTCTGCGTTTATAAATGACAATGCGGTTTTGTCTAACCACCTGCTGCAGCAGGGCTGGGACACAAGGGAACCTGTGCCCTCCCATGCGGTGGAGGGTAGAAGATCAGAAAGACGAGAGGCCGGGGAGAGGCCGAGATTTGTACATCCAGCTGAAAAATAATCAGGCTCCTAAGCACAAGGCAGTTATGGTTTTAAAAAATTAAAATAAGCAACGAAACCAACCACCCAACACATTCAAATCCCTGCATGAGTTTGAGGATCGAGAAGTGGAAGAATTGAACAGGGAGAAACAACGAAGACGCGCTTCTGCTGCAGGAGGCAAATGCCAAGTGTCAGAAATGATTCCTGAAGCTGGGAGCCTCTGAGTTCAACTCATTATTTCCATTTGTTCATTTGTTTTTTCTACTGTGTTTCAATACCTTTTCCTCCTCTGGCTTTTCTACCTGCATGAAGTACTTACTGGTGGTGAAGGGGAGACACAACTCCCAGCCCGTTGTTTGTTTTACAAGTGGACTCTTGCATGGAGAGGAAGCTCAGGAATGGGGTGGCTGGGCAGGAGGGCTGCTGTGTTCCAGGTTCCAGCAGACTTGCAGACCTGCCCAGGGCAAGAGGAAGAACTGGTGAAACCTGCACGCCTGCTTTGAAGATCTCAAGAACAATTTGCTTTGCTCCTGTGGCTAAGCCTGCAAACATATTAAAAGCTTTTCTGGGTGATTTGTCAGTGGATTTAGTTAAAGAATTTATAGCCTGACCCTGGGAATCGGTCTGTGCTTCAGAGCAACACTGACACCACGTGTTTGAATCTTTAGGACTAAAAGGAAAGTAAGATCACGAATGGAGGAGCAAGGAGAGATCCCAAACATAGCAGCTCTCATTATGAGGGTGCACTCATTTCACCCACTGAGGCTCTGAAAGGGTCAGCGCTGATGAGCTGGTCTGGCCTCTGCCTGCTCTACCCAAAAGTGAATGTGGGTGTCTGTAATTCTTGGAGTTCTTTGAGGTAGAAAAGATTATTCAGGGACTATTTTGATTTTAAAAATTAATATTCAACTTATTGAAGCTAGTTCTTAAGTTTTTAAAGTTCAGCTTCTAAATCTTATCACTTTATTTATTAGGAAAGTGCATGCTCAACATGCACTTAGTTTAGTATTTGGGAAAGTCTGCCAATCAGAAACGAAAATATTCAAAAAGAAACCTGAGTATAAAAAATGGAAAAAGTATACTTACAATATTTATGGGGGCTAATTAAATATGCTATGGGATCCCCTCAAATATTGACATTTCCTTTACAAATTTATTATATTCAGATTTTTTCAAGGGTATCTGACTGAGAAGCTTCCCCAAATACTTAGATAACTTTAAAAAATCATATAAAATAAACGTAAAAATAAAGCAGCGTATTAAGTTGCTGAAATGACCACATATTGTTTTCAAATTTTAAAAACTTATCCTTTCAATTTAATATCATAAATGTAAATAACTAAAAAACATGTAACATTAGAATCATAAGACTCATAAGACTCCCAGAGCACTTTGGGAGGCTGAGGTGGGCGGATCACCTGAGGTCAGAAGTTCAGGATCAGCCTGGCCAACATGGTGAAACCCCGTCTCTACTAAACATACAAAAATTAGCCAGGCGTGGTGGCGTGTGCCTGTAATCCCAGCTACTTGGGAGCCTGAGACAGGAGAACTGCTTAAACCTGGGAGGCGGAGGTTGCAATGAGCCGAGATCGCACCGCTGCCCTCCAGTCTGGGCAACAGAGCAAGGATCCGTCTCATAAACAAACAAACAAACAATTAAACAAAAGCAGTGCACTCCATTAGGCAATAAGTGGTCTATCCAACATTGAGAGGAGGTGCTGCCCTCCCTCTGCCTTAATTCTAAGTTTTGACTAATTTTCCTAAAATTGTTATCAAAAACATTGGTGATGCAGCATTTTTAAAATAATGCATTGAGAAACCAAAACTTCTGGTTCCGGCTCTTAAACTGGCAGAACAATGATGGAAAATCAGCCAACTTTTGTCTCCCCCTTCAGAAATGTTGCTGAGCACATCTGGTTCATCCTTTCCCTGGCCTCCTCCTCACAGCCGTTTGGTTCCTACGGCCTAAAAGTGTGTTGTGTAATTACTGCTAGGACTTTCTATCTAGTCACCGTAAGTTTTGCTGCTGGCACTTTTACTTGGATTTTTAATTTGGATTTGCATTTCTTTTACTTGCTTGTGTACCAGTGCCAATTAAATTATAATACAATGGTTTCTTATTACTTAGAATTTTTATTTTAACTTTGCTTAAAGTCTCTTTTGGACTTAATTAGATTCTTAATTATATAATCATTTTTATAATCATGTTAGCATTTCTGGGCAGTCAAGCTGTTTCATGACAGTTAGTTGACAAATATTGATTGTAGGGGGCTGCTGATTTTAAGATGTCCTCAATTTCATAGACGGCAAATTGTGGGTTGGTGGGGAACATGTCTCAGATTTGATGAAACATGGGACATCACAGAATATCTGAAAGACTAAATTGAGAGTCTAGCATACAGAACACTCATAGCGTCTATTTTTTGGTTCTTCATAAATGTTAATTCCCCTTTCCTTCTCCCAATACTCAACTTTAGGTGACTTGACTAACGTACATCTTCCTCCTGCAAAAAGCAATGCAGAGTATTGGGGAATAGTCAACAATTGTAAAGGTTCCCCAACTGCCAGTTTCTACAGACCCTGGTTCTTCCCTTATTCTTACCTGTGTGGGTGTCTATCTGACACGGCTGGAGGAGGGTCTGAGGTCTACCTGCTGCCATGAAGTCATGAACATGTGAATCAGAATGCTATTAGGTTTAGGTATAATATTGCTTCTACTGACGCCCTAACCTACAGAGTAACGCTTGACACAATCTCATTTTTTGGGGGATGTATTTCTTTTTAAAGAAATGTGTATAAATGTATGGTGTACAAGTGCCATTTTGTTACATGCATAGATTGCCTAGTGGCCAAGACAGGGCTTTAGGGTACCCATCACCCAAATAATGTACATTGCATCCATTAGGCAATTTCTTGTTATCTACCCTTCTCATGCCCCCTCACACTTCTGAGGACCTATTGCCTATCATTCCACTCTCTACATACATGTGGACACAATTTTTAGCACCCACTTATGAATGAAAACATGAGTTGTTTGACTTTCTGTCTGGCTTGCTTCACTTAAGATAATGACCACCAGTTTCACCCATGTTGCTGCAAAAGACATGAAGTCATTCTTTTGATGGCCAGATAGTATTCTATTGTGTAAATAACACATTTTCTTTATCCAGGGGATTTTCTTCTTCCATTGATGGACATTTAGGTTGGTTCTATAGCTTTACTATTGTGACTAGTGCTACAATAAATGTATGAGTGAAGGTATCTTTTTGATAAATTGATTGTTTTCCTTTTGCATAGATACCCAATAGTGGAGTTGCTGGGTCAAATGGTAGCTCTATTTTTAGTCTGAAAAATCTCCATACTGTTTTCCATGGAGGTTGCACTAATTTATATTCCCACCAACAGCGAATGAGTTCTTTTTTCTCTATATCCTTGCCAACATCTGTGATTTTCTGTCTTTTTAATAATAGCCATTCTGGCAGGGTAAGATGCTATCTCATTGTGGTTTGGATTTGCATTTCTCTGATGATTAGCAATGTTGAGCATCTTTTCATATACCTGTAGGACATCTGTATGCCTTCTTTTGAAAAAGGTCTATTCCTTTTTTTTTCTTTTTTGCATACTTTTAAAAGTACATTAAGAGGGGATTATTTGTCTTTGTTGTTGTGTTTGAGCTCCTTGTATCGTCTGGATAGTAGTTCCCTGTTGGATGAATAGTTTGCAAATATTATCTCCCATTCTGTTGGTTGTCTGCTCACTCTGTTGATTATTTCTTTTGCTGTGCAGAAGCTCTTTAGTTTAACAAGTCCCATTTGTCTGTTTTCGGTTTTGTTGCCTGTGCTTTTGAGCTTGCAGTCCACAATGTCATTTCATGTGAAATAGTACCGGGGAGAGCTTTCCAACCTTCTCCATGTCAAGGCACATACAAGAAATGACACATTAGTCCAGCCACAGGGGTCAGCGTGGAGGCTCCTGGAGACCCATCCTCCTACCTAGGCCGCAGGAGGACGCCTCTCACACTGCAATCCCCCTGCTCCTGCTTAGGGCAGAGAAGAAACTCGCGGTGTTTTTTATTGGAAGCACCGGAATTACTGGACTTAGGATGTCTGTCCCAAGAAGGGGAGGAGCAGGGGCGGGGACATCCCTGGCAAGGGTGACGTTTGAGGAAAAACGGCAGGCTGATCTGGCCAAGCTGCTGGGCACCCCTGGTCTACCCGGCCCGGGAAGCATCAGGAGCCTGTCAGAGGGGACCTGGTGGCGGGCACCTGGATGGCAGAGGGAGGCGGACAACAGTTCCGGGACAGCGCGCTCCCATCTCCTGCTGTTTTGAGAGCCTCTTCCCCTGCTTCCTGCCCCAGAAAGCCCCATGCCTTCCTCGGGAAGGTCACTCACGGGTAAGCTCAGCATGGCTGTGACGGGTCTGGGTCCGGTGATGCTCAGCTTGGGAGACTCCAGAGAACCCGCACGTGGGGCCTAGTGCCCGCAGACACCCGTGGGGTCGGGGGTACTGTTTGCTCTCCAAGCCACCAGCCAGGTTGTGCACAACGCCAGGACAACTCTTCAGGGCTGAGACACGTGGCTTCCCTGGGCCCAGCACCTGGGCAGCACGTTCCGTGTGTATGCCCTGAAATCACACCAACGCATGCAGCCAACCCCGAGACTCAACCCCAAGGCCAGGACACGGGGCCAGTCCTGGAGCAGCACAACGGGGTGCCCAGCTGTGACCCTGCCTACCCGGAACCCTGAGTCTGGTGGCACTGGAGGCTCAGCATCACAATGATCCTTTCTTGTGTTACCAAAAAAAAAAAAAAAAAAAGTTTAACAAATACAGGCCATTGTTCTTACTTTTTAAAAAAAGGACTGACTGCTTAGGGGACTGCAGCCATTTAGCCCTGCCTGACCTCCAAGAGTGAAGGGGCAGAGTCCCCACCTGTCACCATCTGCAGGACAGCCATGCGCCGCTGCACTCTCTTTGGCTGAGAACCTCCAGCATTGGTTATAGGCCCCACTGTGGACCCAAAGTGAAACTCTGAAAATAGAAATAAAGCAGCTCATGCTCCAGCAAACAAATACTATGATTTCTGTCTACTGAAAGAAATGAGTAATCAACCTCTCAAAAGTCAGAATTCAACTACAGCATGTTCACAAAACCACTCACACTGCCCCCAGATGGGCACAGATGTTGACTCTGCATCTGTTCTAATTTTCCTCATGAACCTGTGCCCACTGGGGTAACAGGAAAAACAAACTGAACTGTGTTTAGCATGAGCTGGTAAACTTAGTCTGTTTGCAATGATAGAAACTACTCCAGCTTAAAACAAACACTCAGCCCCTTAGCAGAGACGTGCAGATGTTCGGATTTGATTGCCCTCTCCGGCTCCATGGCAAGGTGAGGCCTGTGCTCTGGATAGAGTGACCATCACAAATCATCTTCCAAGACGGGCACTTTTTTTTCATTTTTAGAAACAAGTGCCTGGTTTAGAATGCAATGCGTGTAAAAATAATGCAGTGCTGTCCGTGTCCCCAAACCATCCTCAGGTAACCGTGGTTAGCAGTGTCCTTCCAAATATGCTCCCTGCATAGAGGAACCTTGCACACATAGGTGAGCTTTTTCTCATTATTACTTGGAATTACAGCATGCATCTTATTCTATAATATTTATTTTTTAACCACTCAGGTCAGATCAATCCGAGATGTGTTTGAGAGAGAAAGAGGGCACTATTAATAATTATGCCAGTAGAGCAGGTGATGTTTGTTCACCCTAGTTAGAGAGGAGAGGTGTGGCTTAGGAAAACTCATGGCAGAGCAGACAGTGAGGCCCAGTTTGTATCCTGTATTGACATGCCAGTCTGTGCAACAAAGCGGCTGGGTTGGGCCGCTTCCTGCACTGTTGCCCTCTGAGGTGTGACTGGCCTCCTCTGGCCTTTTGGGGTGATGCACTGCAGACCACGGTGGAGTCTGAGGACCCGGAAAGTGTTTTCTGGTTTTGATGACTGATTCACACTAAGGCTTGTTTGAAGCCGTCTGAGATCTCTGTGTGCCAAGGCATCTCAGTATGGCTGTGTGCCCTTCATGTGGCTCGGGGAAACTGTCAGGACTCCAGGGTGCGACATGCAGGCCCCTGCACCCTACAGCCCCGCCTTGGGTTTAACTGTCATCCACTTGCACTGTTTTGGGTGTGGTGCTGAGCTGGAATTCTCTGGGACCAGAAACTTCCCCTTCCTCTGCCCAGAAAAGTGGACAATCAAGGTTCCCAGGCTCACTGATCTGGGTATTTCTAAAGCCTCTCTCTTCCTGCTTGAGAGCTGTTTCTGTCCTCAGAGAAGGGATAAACTGAAATCCCAGATTTTGTCATCCTTGATCTCCCTCTCTTTCCCTTCCTCCTGCAACCTCTCAGTTCCAGAAAATGCAGGCTGTCCATTTCCTCCAAGTCAGAACCTCCTGCTAAGGATGCCACTGAAGGACTGGAGGGATTTTTCTAAACTGATCCGGGCCTATGATGTGGGTCATCTAATTTGGTTTTTGACCTACTAAGAAAACCAGAAAACCCTCTCAATAGCAATCTGCTTTCCAGCTGATTATCTTACTACAGACATAAACAGAAATTCAACGTGATGGTCAGCGTTGAGCAGAGATGCCACGGTGTTGGTGGGTACTGCTTTTCCCCTGAAGCGCTCCACTCCAGTCTGTCAAAGGGCAGCAAGCCTCCAGTAGTTACAGAAATGGTAACATTGCCAAGATCTGCTTCATCCTTTGGCTGTTGAACGGGTGGCTTATGGCCCCTGAGCTCACGACAAGGAAAGAGAGAAAGAAAAGTGAAAAAGAGGGCCCCCACCACCTACCTACCTGCTGCTGTTCCAGCTCATCAAAAACAAAAGTCTAAAACAGTGGCTGGAAAGTACCTTGCATGATCCCTTCACAGAAACAATAGAGAGGAGCAGCTGCACAGGGACCACGGGACACCAGGCAGACATTCTCCCATTGCTTCTCCTGCCTTTAGCATCCTTTTATCTTGCTTCTCCCATAATCCAAGCATCAGATCCCATTTCCCTCTGAATTCTCCTACTTCTCCCAGCACTTTATAAAACCGAGTCCTGTCCCCAGAGCCCCAGGTCAGTGCTCCCGGCACACCCAGCAGGAAACAGCAGGGTGGGGGCCAGGCAGTGGGTGGAAGGGGCACAGGAGTGGGAGAAGGCAGGCCTGGGGCTGAATCTCGGTGCAAATGCGTGAACTGCAACAATTTATTTATTCCGAGTCTCAGTTTCCTTATTTGTAAAATAAGAATATTATCATCTACTTAATGGGCTGTGGGAGTTAAATATGCTCAGGAGTGTGTAACTGATTCTCTGTGAAGAAACCTGTCCTTGTGTGAAGAAGCCAACCATGCTTTTGTGAACAAATGTGCACCTGAAAGAGCCAATCCTTCAAGATAGATCCTGAGCTGCTAACTGGGCCTACGTTTATAACAGAGCCAAGCGGCCCTTTGCTGGCTAGAGGTCACAGATGTACTCTGAGTTCTGGGGAAACCTACACCTATGTTTAACTGTGGACTTTCAGAGCTTGCCTGAACCAACCAATCAGAGCTCCCCCACCTTGGCCAATCAGGGCCTAGCTGTGTCAACCAATCAAAACTCAGCTGCATTGATCAATCAGAACTAAGCAAGTTTGAATCATTTATTTGCATAAACAGACCTGATTTAGAACCTACAAAAGCCAAACCCTCTCTTTGTTCTCTGAAATGCACACCTTCCTTATACAGGAAGACAGTGTCTCCCCAGTTTGCAAACTGTTCACTGTAAGAAAGTGTCTTTCCTCCAAATTCCTTTTCAGAAAACTTTTGTTCAAACTTCAAACTATGTAGCTGCCCACAAGTGCCACAGCTGAGCTCTGGGGACATAGCTATGGCCTTTATTGCTGATTTTTTTTTTCCAGGGCACTGCCCGCACAATTTCAAAAACAGAATTTAATCCATGGGAACAGTTTTTATATCTAATTAAATGTGTTAGAGTTAATTGATGCGAGAAACAACAAATATGTTCAACTGCAAAGAGCTCGGAACCACGAGTTCAAAAGCCAGCTAAAAGCCCTACCCAATCTTATGACCTTGAGCAAGTCATCCAACTTCCTGAATGTTAGTTTCTTTATCTGCAAACACAGGGTCAGAACCAGAGAGTCTCTGAGCACCCCTCAGCTATACATGCCTTGATTTCTAATAACATCTAAGAATGCAGCTGGCTGTTTTTCCTTTTCTAATATTCTCTGGTCATTACTTGGATCACTGACTTTTGAGTCCTTTACTGAATATGAGACTGTAATTCCTGGTCCTCAGTTCCCCAGGTCCCCTAGTCCCTTCCATAGACACAACCCTCCAACTTCCCTTTTCAGTTCATACCTATAAGGAGGGTACGCTAATGAGAGCTGGGCAGACTCAGCTGAAAGATGAGCCCAGAGGCTCCCCATTACTTCAATCCCCTTGCTCTTTTTCTTCTCCTGAAAAGAAGCCATTCATACGCTCCCTGCCTTATACTACAATCATGCCATTTGAGAACGGTTCCAAACAGAGGCTCCTTGGCTCTTCTGACAAATCCATTCAAGACACTCTTTTAAACAGTAACCAGATTCTTGATTCATTAAAGACCCATATAGAAATGTTCCCACTAGTGTCTCCCTGTCACCGTGCCCCTGTCTGTCTTAGAAAGGGCCTCATGTGGCACTGTCTCCAACAGAGCATGCACTGGCTGGATAACTCCAACCCCATCTCCAAAGCTAAGAGGAGCTGAGATCATCAGCCAAGCAGGGTTCCTGAAGCTTCCTGTATGTAACATGAGAGTTGCAACAACAAAAATAATTTTAACAACTGCACTGAAGTGTTTTGCGGGCAGTTAGAAAAAAATGAATAATATAAATCTTGCCATTCAAAGTGAGGTCTAAGAACCCGTGGCATTGGCCATCATCCGAGAGTCTTTGAGGAACACAGAATCTTAGGCCTACTCCAGAATTACTGAATCAAAATCTGCATTTTATCAGAATCTGTAGGAGATTCCAGTGTACATTAACATTTGAAAAGCAGTGATCTAAAATACTGTAAAAGAAACTAGAGGAACTCTGTGTTGAAAAGTCAAGAACTTATGTTGCCAGCTCTCAAGTAAAACAATCTCCAAGAAAGGTATCGTTACATGTGAATTTAGATTCATTTTTTAAAAAGGTTTATTTTATTTTATTTTTCTAGAGACAAGGTCTCACTATGTTGCCCAGGCTGGAGTGTGGTGGCTATTTACAGGTTGGATCTCACTACTTATCAGCACAGAATTCTTATCTGTTCTATTTTAACCTGGGCAGGTTCAACCCTCCTTAGGCTACCTGGTGGTTCCCCACTCCCAGAAGGTCACCATATTGATGCTGAACTTAGTGCAGACACCCAGTGGACATAGCACACTACAGCCCAGAACTCTTGGGCTCAAGCCAACCTTCCTCCCTTAGCCTCCTGAGTAGTTGGGAATACAGGCATGTGCCACCACACCTGGCATACATTCATATACTGTACGATAGAGACAAGTATACAAAGATCCTCTTCTCTTCCTCTTGCCTTTTAATGGTAATGGGAAGAGCTGTAGATATAAAAAAGCTTAGTGTAGGCAAAGAGACGCTAGAAGGTTTCCTTAGGTGGAAAAGAAAAAAATCATAAAATTGGAAAGGAAGAAAGGAAAAAGATGAAAAATGTTGGCAGAGCAGCTTCTGGGATGAATGAAATTTAATAAACCTTTGCTGAGATGGGTTATGACTTTGCTCTCTGCTTTTGGAGTTGATTTTATTTTATTTTTTTTAGATATAATGGCACATGGAAGTGTGTCATAAAGTGGGAGAAAAAGTGCAAGAATTCCTCAAGACCCATATGTAAGGTTTTCTATAATTCACTTTGTATGCTACAATTGTTTGCCCTGCATAGTGCCAGGAAGATATAAAAATGTGAAATGAACAAATATTGTTTAAGAGTTTAAAGATACTTTGGATGTCATGACTCCAATAATATTACCTTACAGATCAACACCTGTGTTAGTCCATTCTCATGCTGCTATGAAGAAATACCTGAGACTGGGTAATTTATAAATAAAAGAGGTTTAATTGACTCACAGTTTCACATGGGTGGGGAGGCCTCAGGAAACTTATAACCATGGTGGAAGGCACTCTTCACAGGCAGCAAGAGAGAGAATGAGTTTGGAGTGAAGGGGGAAGCCTCTTATAAAACCATCAGATCTTGTGAGAACTCACTCATGGTGAGAACAGCATGGGGGAAAATGCCCTCATGATTCAATTATCTCCACCTGGTGCTGCCCTTGACACATGGGTATTATTACAATTCAAGGTGATATTTGGGTGGGGACACAGAGCCAAACCACATCATTCTGCCCCTGGCCCCTCCCAAATCTCATGCCCTCACATTTCACAACACAATCATGCTCTCCCAACAGTCCCTCAAAGTCTTAACTCATTCCAGTATTAACTCAAAAGTCCAAGTCCAAAGTCTCACCTGAGAAAAGGCAACTCTCTTCTGCCTATGAGCCTGTAAAATCAGAGGCAGGTTAGTTACTTCTAAGATACAATGGGAGTACAGGCATTGGGTAAATGGTCCCCTTCCAAATTGGCCCAAACAAAGGGGCTACAGGCTCCATGCAAGTCCAAAATCCTGCAAGGCAGTTATTCAATCTTAATGCTCTGAAATGATCTCCTTTGACTCCATGTCTCACATCTAGGGCACACTGATGCAAGAGGTGGGCTCCCATGGTCTTGGCAGCTTTGACCCTGTGGCTTTGCAGGGTACAGCCCCCTCCTGCCTGCTTTCACAGGCTGGCATTGAGAGTCTGCAGCTTTTCCAGGAGCACAGTGCAAGCTGTCGGTGGATCTACCATTCTGGGGCCTGAAGTATGGTGGCCCAGTAGGCAGCGTCCCACTGGGGACTGTGTGTGGGGGCTCCAACCCCACATTTTCCTTTCACACTGCCCCAGCAGAGGTTCTCCATGAGGGCTCCACCCCTGAAGCAGACTTCTCCCTGGACATCCAGGCATTTCCATACATCCTCGGAAATCTAGTTGGAGGTTCCCAAACCTCAATTCTTGACTTCTATGCACCTGCAGGTCCAACACCATATGGAAGCTGCCAAGGCTTGAAGCAATGGCCTAAGCTGGATCTCGACCCCTTTTAGCCACAGCTGAAACTGGAATGGCTGGGATGCAGGACACCAAGTCCCAAGGCTGCACAGAGCAACAGGTCCCTGGGCCAGGCCCAGGTAACCATTTTCCCCTCCTAGGCCTCCAGGCTTGTGATGGGAGGGGCTGCTGTGAAGTTCTCTGACATGTCCTGGAGACATTTTCCCCATCGTCTTGGTGATTAACATTCAGCTCCTCATTACTTGTGCAAATTTCTGCAGCCTGCTTGAATTTCTTCCCAGGAAATGGGTTTTTCTTTTCTATCACGTCATCAGGCTGAAAATTTTCCAAACTTTTATGCTCTGTTTTTCTTGAACACTTTGTCACTTAGAAATTTCTTTTGCCAGATATCCTAAATCATCTCTCTCAAGTTCAAAGTTCCACAGATCTCTAGGGCAGAGACAAAATGCCACCAGTCTCTTTGCTAAAGCATAGCACGACCTTTATTCCAGTTCCCAACAAGTTCCTCATCTCCATCTGAGACCACCTCAGCCTATACTTCACTGTCCATATCACTATCAGCATTTTGGTCAAAGCCATTCTACAAGTCTCTAGGAAGTTCCAAACTTTCCCGCATCTTCCTGTCTTCTTCTGAGCCCTCTAAGCTATTTCAACCTCTGCCTCTTACCGAGTTCTAAAGTTGCTTCCACATTTTTCCGTACCAGTATAGCAGCACCCCACTCTTGGTACCAATTTACTGTATAAGTCTGTTCTCACACTGCTGTGAAGAAATACCTGATACTGGGTAATTGATAATGAAAAGAGGTTTAATTGACTCACAGTTCCATATGGCTGGGGAGGCCACAGGAAACTTACAATCATGGCAGAAGGCACCTCTTCACAGGGCAGCAGGAGAGAGAATGAGTATACAGCGAAGAGGGAAGCCCTTTGTAAAAGCATCAGATCTCATGAGAACTCACGGTCATGAGATCGGCATGGGGGAAACTGCCCCCATGATTCAATTATCTTCACCTTGTCTCACCCTTGACACGTGGGGATTATTACGATTCAAGGTGAGATTTGGATGGGGACACAGAGACACACAAACTATATCAACACCCTTTAGTCTTGACACTCACAGGTACTTGCCCAAATCCACAGGGAAAAGCTTGGCTCAGTTGCTGGGGTGTGCCATCCACACATTCATCACAAAGTAAAATAATGCCTAACAAAACTGAACACCTGACTCTTTTCCTGAAAACTTTTAAAGCATTAGGCCTATCAAGTGTCATGCACAGCTCAAGAGGAAATGCTATCTGGAAATCCCCCAACTCCCATGGAAATTCCCAGCTGGCTCCCTGTACACTGCAGATACCTGAAGTGGTTTTGAAGACTGGGCAGCTAAGACCTAAGTGAAGAAGAATTCCTCCCCTGCAAGGATGACCAAGAACCCAGCCGCTCTGTTTCCTTCCCGACTGGAGTCCTCTTCTCCACTGGTAGGCACTGACCCCTGCAGAAGCTGCCCCAAGCTTCTGGGACCCAGTAGCACCTTTGACGTGGTGGTCGGTGTTCCCAGTAACATCTCCTTTCTCTGCAGCACCCAGCTCTTAGACTGAAAAGCACAGAGCTTTCCCCACTTCCTTTAATAAACTCAGGAAAGAGTGGGGCTTGGATGGGCTATTTCAGCAATCCGGAACACTTAACAGGCCCAAATACTTTTCTATTTCATGCCTCAGCCCAACTCAGGCAACTCCTATTTTCCTCCTGGAAATGAGAAGTGGACATCCAGGAAGGGCTGTGGAAGAGGCAGAAGTCAGGAGGCTGCGGGTAACTGGGGGCGAGTCGAGTGGTTCTGAGGGCCAGTGTTAAGGTGTAGGCAGCAGAACAGCAGCGAGGGTGGGGTAGGCAGTGGAGTATTAAGAGGGACTGTCACCGAGGGGCAGCTCCACCTGCCCCAGCTGTTGGTCTCAAAAATAAACCAAGCCAGATGCTAGTTAAGTGGTAAAGAAGGATTGTAATATCTATTGCAATAGGGAGAAGGCCCAGCCCAGACTGAACTCCAGTTTGATTTGTGCAGTAGAGACTGGGCGTTTTAAAGGGAGAGTGAGAGAATTGGGCAGGGGTGACCAGGGCTCAGTGGGGTCAGAGAAGTGGAAAACTACAAACAGCAGAGCGGGCTTGGTCCATGAGAAACCCACCTGGGTTTGTTAACAGCCTCCCTCACAGACTGGGGCACAGGGGCCCGATCTCTGGGTGTTGGCTGGAGCAAATGGCAAACTTGTTTGGCAGCCTTGTGTGTCCTTGGGATTGCCTCCCAAGGACACCCAAGGTGGCTGGGGTCACCTAGGGATGCGGCCTTGAGCTATGAGAAGCCATGCTAGTGTTTGTCCAAGTCTTTCTAGGCCAGGGTTGAGGCCTAGTTGAGAAGAGGGCTCAGGGGAGCCTCAGTCGAGTTTGGTCCAGGAGAGAATCTGTCACTGGCCTGAAGTGGTCTCCTTCATACTGAGTGTCCTCAACAGTGGCTTTGATTCTGGGGCCAGGCTGCTAAACACATGGAGCTGATAGTCAGGGCTGTGCTGAGCTGGGAGCCTGACCACATGATTCAGTGTCCTTGGGGTAGGGCTCAGAAGGGTGATCACAGATTTCAGCTCCGACCCAGTATGCACAGATGGTGAAAGGGGCGGCCCACTCTGGAGCCACGGCCACATCCAGGCTTTGGGGTGGAGTTGGGGCTGGCTGTTGGTTCTGCCGAGCCCAGGGGGAAGATAAACCCTTTCCTCTGAGCCTCCATTTCCTCGCTTGCAAAATGAGGACAGGGCCTTTCTCCTGGGGCTGGTGGATCAGAGAGAAGCATTCCAGTAATGTGAGTAGCACTTAATTAGCATTCAGTAAATACTCATTCCTCTCTTCCTTCAGAGGAAAGTTCAGGCAGTGTCTGATTTAATAAACAGGTTAAAGACCAAAATGCCCCCTGTAAGTTGGTTGGTTGTAATTTAGAAATGTATTATATTTAGATTCCCAAGACCACTCATAAACACTCATTTATGCTGTGTGTAACTTAGAAACATGTTATATTTAGATTCCCAAGACCACTCACATTCATTTATGCCAGATATGGACACTTCACCACAGGCTTATAACAAAAAGTACAGAAGAAAAAAACAATCTTTTTGCCAGCTTGTTTCCATGTGCCAGACGTTTGTGAGTGAGGGGCCCGAACTGTGAAGGGTGCCCATGCTGGTGCCTCCTCCCGAGAGTGCAGAAGGCAAGCACCCGAGCTCAGCTCTTGTCGTCCTCACCCGGAGTTCCTGTGAATGTTAAGAGAACACAGCTTAGTGTCAGCTTTGAGTTCACATTTTGACTCCCCTGCTGAGTAATTCTGTGGCATGGGGCAAGTCATTTAACCTATCTAAGCGTCAGTTTCCTCATCTGTGAAATGGGCTAAGAACAGTCACTCCTCAGAGGGTTCTTTCGAGGGTTAAATGAGAAAACTCATGAAAAGTGCATGGTGGAGTATCTGGCCAATCACTAGGCCAAGTGTCCCCTTGGGGCGTTCATCTCTGTGCTGCAAGAGCTTGCTGGCTTGGCGTGGTGGCTCATGCCTGTAATCCCAGCATTTTGGGAGGCTGAGGCAGACCGATTTCTTGAGCCCAGGAGCTCGAGATTAGCCTGGTCGACATGGCGAAACTGCATCTCTGCAAACAATCCAAAAGTTAGCCAGGCATAGTGGTGTGCTCCTGTAGTCCCAGGTACTTAGGAGGCTGAGGTAGGAGGATTGCTTGAGCCTGGGAGGTCAAGGTTGCAATGAGCTGAGATAGATTGCAACACTGCACTCCAGCCTGGGCGACAGAGGGAGACCCTGCCTCAAAAGAAAGAAAGAAAGAAGAGCTTGTGCACAAGTGGTGTTCAGGGAATGTCTGGAGACCTGATCTCAAGTGCTGCCTTGGTGTATGGGCTGCCTCCCGCCTGGAGGCACAGAGCTCAGGAACAGAAGGTGGGAGGGCAGCAGGACTCCCCCAGCCTTCAAGACAGCCTCCTTTACGACAGCCACAGATAGGGATGGGATGGTGGGGTTTCTGCTGAGCAACTTTTATAGACTGAATAGGTGTGAAGCCAGAGGAAACAGAACTCTAGAAAACAACTGGCCTCCCAGTTGTTTCTGGAAACCCAGACGGGAAGCTGCATCAAGCTCTGAGGCTTCCTAGGAGTCAGAACTCTGGTCTTGGCTCACAGTGACTGAGAAGTGAAGGGTAGCCGAAACTGTAGAGTCACAAGGGACACTTTTATTTCATCTCAATGAATGCTTTTTGTTGGAGGAGGGATGAGATTCTAGAACCAAACTGCCCATTGTTGATGCATCTGTGAGGCCAGGAGAACCCACGGGTTTTGACCCGTAACCCTGGCGAGTATTAAATGTGATGATGGTGACTATGTACCCAGGCAGCTAGCCTCCTTATTGATTGATTGACTGACTGATTCATTGATTGATTGATTGATTCATTCATTCATTCACCAAACGTGCTCCTGTGGTATGCTGGACACTGTTCTAGTACTACAGGCACAGCAGGGACCAAAGCAGAAAAACGCCTGCCTGCCTTAGGGGACCAAGGGGACACAGATACGCTCCTGCCCTTTGGAAATAATTCCAGAGTACGGAGTGCAGGAAGGAATCAAGAAGAAGGAGGAAAAAGGACAGTAAAAGAAACATAAAAGCAGGAGGGGAGTGCAAGAAATGAAGACCCCCGGGTCAGAGCCCAGAGGAATCCACCACGTGGCTTGGGTGCTTCTGGTTATTACCATGGTTACCGGCCCTGATGGCCACCCCTGAAGCGGAAAGCCCATTTCTGTTATTTCTGTAACATTCATAGATGACAGTTCCAAAGCCTCTGTGTGGGTTGATTAAAATCTGCTAGTGAACATCCAGTGCTGAGGAAATGACCCAGAAATTCTCAACAGTTGATTTTTTTCTCCAAGACTGGGCATATCTACAAACAATTCAAATGTTTTACACAACGGGTGGTGGGGATTTCATTTGACCCTGTGATGTATTTATCAAAATATGGTTGCAGATTAGAAAGCAAGCCATGTACGTGGGAAAAGAGGGAAGCCAGAGGGTTGAGGGCCTAGGAAAGTCTGAACACGGGCATTGCTGGGTCAGGCCTTGGGGAGGGGAGCTCCCATACTAAGACGCCCAAGTCAGCAGGAAGCCTTGAGCCTGTGGGCACTGGATGGCCACAGTTTTGGGCAGAGCATGATTATGTGCCAAAAAGGTTAACTTACCCCTTTGCCATTTTCCCAGGGACCAGCTGTATCCACCTGACCTCCAAGAGCACTCTCCATGCCACGCACAGGGCACTGAGTGAACACCCACCTCATTTCTCCCAGCATGGAAAGTCATTCCAGGAATTCTGTGGGCAGTGGAGAGGCCCTTCCCCTTCCAGCATGGGAAAGCCAGGCTGGTTGGGAAGCAGCTCAACTCAAGCTGCTGCTGATACAGGTGCCCTCTCCTAGCCCCTCCCTTGTCCCCACCTGCATTTCACCTCAATTTCTATCTGCATATGTGTCAAGTTCTCCCAAATCCAGCAGCCACCATGCCTGGCCTCACCAAGGGCTTGCCTCATCTGAGCTATTTCAGTATAAATATTGAAAAAGAAAAGTATCCTTTTCCACTGATTTCAGCCAAGGCAGTTGAGATTTTTCAGAAGATTGCTCAGTAGAGCAAGAAGGAAATGGGAAGAAAAATTCAAAAGCTTAGACGTGGATGAGCTTACAAAGCATAGGTCTCTCTTACAAGCATCTAAATTCTCCTTCCAGGCTGACTTGGGCTCAGGGCATGGGCCCCAGGTAGTGGGAAACCAGACTAAGCTCTTTGCCTTTTAAAGCAAATTTAGTTGGCACGATTGGACTTCACGTTCTTTCAGAACCTGCTTGGAAAGTTAGAAGAGTGGGATTGGGGTCGTTTCCAGGCCATCCTGCTGCTTTGTGGCTATGCTGTAGTTTTGATCCCCCTGCCCTGGTTCTGTCCACTGGATGAAGACAATGCACTCTACCTGACCTTCTTGTCCTCCTCAGAGCAGTGTCTTATGGTATGCACCCCGCTCCCACACAGAATGAGAGATAGATGGATGGATGGATGGATGGATGGATGGATGGATGGAGAGATGGATGGATGGATGGATGGATGGATGGATGGATAAACAGATGGATTGATGGATAAATAGATAGATCAATACATAGATAGATAGATAGATAGATAGATAGATAGATAGATAGATAATAAACAGATGGATGGATAAATAGATGGGTAGTGGGACAGATGGAAAGATAGATGGATAGATGCGCAGATAGACGGATAAATGGATGGATGGATAGATGGATGGATAGAGGGATATATGGACAGATAGATGAATAAACAGATGGATGGATAGATGATAAATATATGGATGGATAGACAGACAGATAGGTGGATAGAGGGATAGATGGATAGATAGATGGATAAGTGGATAGATAGATAGATAGATAGATAGATAGATAGATAGATAGATGAATACATGGATAAACAGATGAATGGATAAATGGAGAGATGGATGGATGGATAGATAGACAGGTGGATAGAGGGATATCTAGATGGATCGATGGAAAAATTGATGGATGGATAGATAGGTTGATGGATGCAATGGATGGATTAGACAGATAGGAGAAATAGTAGCTGTTTGAATATTCATAATAATAACAACTCGGCAGAGACCCTGGAGTGCATGTAGGAATTGCTGGAGTGGTAAGAGGCCATGGATTTAGCACACAAGGGAAGCAGCAGCCTTCAGCAGGTGTGTGTTCAGGGAAGGAGGTGTGGTTAAGGCCGATCAGCCAGTGTTTGTGGAAGTTTTATTCTGATAGCTTCTGATTTATGATGAAATGATAACCCCTGTCAGGGGCTGGGCTTTGTGCTCGTGGAGACGCTGGTGGTTTGTAGAGAGAGAAGAGGTGAAATCAGAGTGGGAGGGTGACTGGATTAGGGAAGGGGTACAAAAAGTGCCCATCTGAGATTTATGATGATGAATTAAGGGGTGGCCTGCCAACAGGGCTTGGGGATTTCCTCCAGTCCCATTCAGCTGCAGGGTATGTGGAGAGTTGGCTTTAGTGAGGGTTGTGGTTTTGTCTAGAGTGTGACAAAGCCAGGGGGCAAGGGAGTTGATGGTGTACGGGTGGGGGGCGAGGTTACAGTGAATTCCCATGGGGTTAAGAGCTGTGGGAGAGGACAGAGGACAGAGGGCATCAGGTAGGTGGAGGACAGTGTAGAGATGGCAGGAGCTGTGTATTGAAGGACCTCACAGGGTCAAAGGACTATCTGAGTCTGGGTCCTAGAGGGAGTGAATGAAAAAGATAAAAAGTGGAGGCCCCAGAGTGGGCAGATATAATTGAGGTTGTCGGGGGTGGCAGTTATTGATAATGGTTTGATCACAGCTCAGGATATGAGCGTGAGAGTGGCCAAGGCAGGGAAGGGGGCATGGTCACTAGAGAAATAAATTCACAAACTGAGGGGACTGGTTCGGAAGAATCAACTAAATCAGTGGTTGGCAAACTGTGGCGCACTGGCCAAACCCAGCCTGCCACCTGTTTTGAAAATAACAGAGAATACAGACATGCCCACTCATTTGTGTATTTCCTATGATTGCTTCCATGCTACAGTGGCAGTGTCAATGCCAAAAATATTTATTATCTGACCCTTTATAGACAAAGTTCCCCAACTCCTGACCTAAGCGGATATTGCACTTACCATTGTTAGTGGGTTTAGGTGAACAAACAACATTCTACAACAAAAAATTTTAACTAACGTAATTCCTTATAATAAATACTCCTGGTGTAATGGCTATAGGCCAGCTGCCTTTGAAATTATGAAAACAAACTTTTCAACATACAGGAAAGCTCTTTGCCCTGCTTTGTATGCAGATATTTTGTTCAGCTTTGTGAGAACAAGAAACAGAGTAAGTATCAACTTAGCTTGAGTTATATGCTAACAGTTTTGTAAATAGTCACTAAACATTCCCCTATTTTACTATGAGACATAGGAGCTGCCTGTTCTATCTTCTGCGGCTACCTGTGTATCACCTAAAGCTGAATAAAGGGATAACCCGCTTTTAATTCTCGGATCAATATTGGTATGCGATCCGGTCCAACTGCGTCAGTACTGGACCTAATTAAATACTTTTGGAGTAATGTGTAAATGTTTTATCCTTCTTTCAGAGAACCTCAGCTCCACTTGCAAAACAGTCAGGAACGTGCAGCTATTTAGAGAGACCTTCTCAGACCTTTTTTATTTAAGTAGGTCCCCCTGCTGTTCTCAAACCATCACCCCACTCATTTACTCCATAGCAATTATGCAGCTATGCGAAACAAACCAAGTATCTTCACTTACTATCAAAATTTTTCATTCATATTTCCAATTTTGTAGGTATTCCAGATTTTTGATACAATTCTTATTAGTAGTATGTTTTTACACTGTATACCTTTTTTTGGTATTATTTACATTTCATTTGCTTAAAGTCTCTTCAGAAAACTTTTTTGACTTACTTCTATAACTAAATCTAAGATATTCTTACTGACTCCTTTTATGTCATAACTTTGTTCTGGAGTCACCCTTGTTAGATAGAGTTGGGTAAGGACATGTAGATGGTACATTTTCTTAGTTCTTGTAGATGTGACAATATCTTTTTGTTGCTTGCTCACATGAATAACAAGATCGGCTTGCTGTAGAATTCATGAGTCATACTTAAGCTTCAAAATACAGACACAGTTCCACTGTCTCCTGGTAATTGCCACACTGACTTTGCATTTTTCTCTACAAGTACGTTAAAATTGTTTTTTGATTATTCATTTAGGAAATTCAAGCGTTTCTGGAGGAAATAGTCATACTTTGGATTCTAATTTTCCTTGGCAAAGGGTGGACACTTTTAGACGCAGGTGCTCATTTCTGGGAACTGCATGTAAATTTCTGACTGTTGTTTTTCTTCAGTTACTCTGGTTTCTTTTTCAGAAATGCCAATCTGGTTCACAAGGCAGCTCTGCGTTCTCTGCCGCCTTCTTTCTCACCACTGTCATCTCTGTTCCTGTTTCCCGGTGTGCTGGGGACTCTCTGGTTTGCCCTCGGCATCGTAGTTCTGTTTTCTGCGCCTGCAGTTCTGCCTTCGCTGCCTGTAATGAGGTTTCGGTTTCGCTATGGCGTTGTGAGCCTCTCTGACCATCTTTCGTGGTCCTCTGCCATGCTGCTCAAGCCAGAAACCCAAATCACGCCCGATGCCTTGCTGCTCCTTATGCCTTCCTCTCGTCCATCCACGGCTGAGGTTGCTTCAACCTCTAGAATATTTCTCTCAAGGTCATTTTGTCTCCATCTTTACTGTCATCACTTCAGTTCACGGGGCCACCATCTCACCCTTCTTTTTGCCGCCCCCCCCCATTGCTCCTCCTAGTCTGTTCTCTATGCTGTAGCTGGAGTTATTGATGTTTATGCAGACATTTAAACATGTGTATGTACAGTTGACCCTCAAACAACATGGGTTTGAACTACGCAGGTCCACCTACACATGGATATTCTTCTGCCTCTACCACCCCGGAGACCCCAAGACCCAGCCCTCCTTCTCCTCCTCCTCCTCCTTAAATTTTCTCCATAACATTTCTTTTTCTTTGGCTTACTTTATTGTAAGAATACAGCATATAATGCATATAACACACAAACTATGAAGTAATCAACTGTTTATGTTATCAGTAAGGCTTTCAATCAACAGAGTACCTGAGGCTTTTGGTCAACAAGTTACATTTAGGGAAGTCAAAAATTATGGGTGAATTTTCAACTGCCGGGTGGGGGTTGGCACCTGTTCAAGGGTCAACTGTGTGCATGTGTATGTGTGTACAGATGTATACATGTGCATACACACACACATATACATACTGAATACACACACACTCACACTCTCAGTGGCTTTCTTTTGTACTAAGAATTCAAAGCACTTTTCCCAGCTGTGAAGCTTCTGCATGAGCTGACACTGCCTATGTCCCCAAATTCAGCTGTGCCATTTACCAGGCACATGGGTCTTTTTTCAGTTCTTCAGGCATGTGGAGCTCTTTCTCACCTTAAAGCAATTTGCTTCCTCTGCCAGGAATATACATGACTTGCTTTCCATATCTGGCTCAGATGAAATACTACAGAAGCCTTTCCTGCCTATTTTATCTGAGTAGGTACTACCTGCCCCCAATCAGCCCCTGGTTTGATTCATTACTAGCAATTATCATTATGAATTATTTATTAGTGCATTGTCTGTGAACCTCACCAAAGTGTAAGCTGCCTCAAAGGTGGCATCTTGTCCATTCTACCCATGTCTGGATTCTCCAGCCCAGCCCAGTGCGTGCCTCATAATGGGTTCTCTTTTTTTTTTTTTTTTGAGACAGAGTCTCGCTCTGTTGCCCAGGCTGGAGTGCAGTGGTGTGATCTCGGCTCACTGCAAGCTCCAACTCCTGGGTTCAAGTGATTCTTGTGTTCAGCCTCCCAAGTAGCTGGGACTACAGGCATGTGCCACCGCGCCCAGCTAATTTTTATATTTTTAGTAGAGACGGCATTTCACCATGTTGGCCAGGCTGGTCTCGAACTCCTGACCTCAAGTGATCCACCTGCCTTGGCCCCCCAAAGTGCTGGGATTACAGGTGTGAGCCACTGGGCCAGGCCTTCATAATGGGTTCTTAATAAACATTTGTTAAAAGCATTGGTTCATCACATATTAGTAATTTTCATCTTTACTTATTCCTTATGATTTTTTGTTTGTTTAATATAGGTTATACCTTTTGATATCCTATAGAGGAGTCCAGCGTGTTGGATCTCTTGGGTCCTCCTGTAGATTATTTTTAGAGTCTTCTAAAGTCTTCTAAATCATTGAGATGAAGTCTCTTTCCTATTTTCTGTAGCTTTACAAAAAACTACCTCCCAGACCCCGCCCCGCCCCATAGAGTTTTTCCTCCCTTATTTACTCATCCTTAAAGGAAGTGACATCTGTAGAGAGCCAGTGCTTGTTAAGAGCGAGGGTGAGCTCATCATCGAGGTCCGGTCCTCCTGTGTGGAGTCCTATCCTGGTGCTCTCGGGGTAGGACAGGTGGGCAGTGCCTGCTCCCAGCCTGTTCCTGATTCCTCACAGTTGCCTACGGAAGCTCTATTTCCCCAAACTTCTAACTTTTCCTGCCTTATCTGATTGTTCTCTGGTATTGTATTCTGAGTCCAAGGAGGGCACGAGAAACTAGTTTCTAACATGCTGCTAAGCGTGTTTCTTTCCTACTCTTCTCTTACTAAGACTGCTTTACTCGTGCGCATTGTTTTTCCTAAAATGCGATGAGCCAGCAGCAGTTTCTTCTACTTTCCGCACAGGTGATTTTTCTTTGCTTGCTTTTTAAGCTCCTTTCTCTGAATGAATATAGATTAAAAGAGGGATGGGACGAGGGGTGGACAGCACTAAGGGTAACTGCATAGCAGCAAGAATGACTCACGTCTGTGTTGCTGGTAGTTTCTGAGTTCAGGTCCTGGGTGCTGGGAGGAGACAGCTGCCTGCAGAGTGGTGAGAAATTCTTCCAATCTTTTTTAGATGCTTCCCTTTTCTGAAGTAAAGCCTGAATATGCCATTAAGAGAAGCTGTGGTAGGTTTTCCTCCCACCTAGTTCCATCTGCCGTGTGGTTAATGAAACATCTTTCCATATTTTCCATGTGGTTATTCATCAAGCCTAGTTTTGGGGATGGTGTGAGTTTTGTTTTGTTTTGTTTTGTTTTCTGGAGGGTGAGAAAAGTTGCATTTTAGGGTTGCTGATAAGATCTAATTAAAACCCATTTTTAAAATATTAGACACTGAGAGAATTTTCCTCAGAATAGCATAATAATGGCCATTAAATATGTGCTTCCCCCACCCTTAATCAGCTCTATACTAGGAATTAGCACTAAAAATATTAGAAGAGAGATGTTATATTTACATATTTGGTTGAGACTAAAGAACTTCTTCCTCTTAGCTGCAATAGACTCTTATTTTACTCTGGCTTTCTCTCCCAATTAAGCTAGGAACAATAACTATTGTCTATTTCCCTTCAATTTCAATCCACCGTTTCTTTTTTATTTTCAGCTATACGTGAACAGATATGGGCTAGGGAAACATAAAAATTAAATAACTTGAGTGGGTCAATAAAAAGGTTATTCTGTTTCTTTCAGGGTTTTTGAGGATTATAATGAATAAAACAGAACCAGAGAAGTTACGAAGCATGTGTTTATCACTCAGCAATAGAGAATTTTAAACAAGTACTTTAAATCATTATTATATATAAAATACATTTATTATATTACTGTACATATAAATATAATAATATATTTAATAGGTGTTTTAAATATAATTTGAGCTTTCAAGCATGTGTTTATCACTCAACAGAAAGAATTTTAAATATATAATGTAAACAATGCTATATAAATACAATAAATATGTATTTTATATACCTAAAAATATTTAAATATGTACTATATATAATTTTATATTAAAACATTAAAAATGTTTTATATTCTATTTATATGGTGTATATTAAATATGTACTGTATATGTTTAAAATATATTTAAAATTCTGTTGCTGATAATACACATTTTTTAACTTGTGTTTTTGTTTTAAGTATACATACATATATACATGATGTATTATCATATGTATATATATGTCACACATGTATGTATTTCTCCATTGTACCGTATTTACTTTTAAAACAATAATCTAGGGACAAAAATTGAAAGCTTTAGCTCCTAGTGACTACAAGCTGTAGACTGTAGGTTGGCACAAAATCTGAATGGGAGCCAGTGGATTTGGTGAGCAAATCCTTGCCACAAGCCCTTTGATGTTCTAAAGCTGAAGCCATTTCAGCTGAAAGCCGGTTGGGGCGCGGGGATTAGGACTGTAGTTTCTAGATTTTGGAAACAGCGCGCCCCCTTGTGGCCATTCACATGCTGACTTCTAAAATTGAGTTCTGAGAGCTCTTCCGGCTTGAGGAGCATCTCTCCCAGTTTGTTTTCTTTCTGCTTTTATACTGTGGCCCTGTCTTTGAGGAAGATTTCAGTCCCCGCTCGCCCCCTCGGTCAAGAAGCCTTGTTTATTGTTATTAGATATCGATGATGTTGACGGACCCTACGTGGAGGGTCTGTGATCAGACAGAAGGGTGATGGGTCAGGACTCACTTCTGCTGCGTTTGACGTCATGCCAGGGTTGGAGGCCAGTAGTGGGGAAGTCACCGGGCTAAGACTCCCAGGACACCAGGTTTGGGTCCCGGCTGTATCATTAACTGGTAGAGTTATTTCCGGTCCAGGGGTCAAAGCCGTAATTTATGTAGCCAAAGGCCTCAAAGATGATTGCTCTCCAGGACGCCTTCCCATTCTCAGAGTCTAGCTCTAGAGTATTTGGGAAGCGGGGTATGTTAGACCCTGGCTTCTGCCATTTTTCCTGGGAGCTTATTCCACAGCCTGGCCTTCTGCGAGTTCAATCATGTGGTTGCCTGGGAGCCTAGTGAGAAGAAAATCCAAGCCCAAGTCCACTTGGAGAACTCCAGCATCATTTTAGTGGGAAGGTGCCATGTCCTCTACATAGGGGCTGGCGGGATGGCAGCTTGTACTGGCGGAAGGGTTCTTGGAAGAGATCCCCAAGGGACACACATTCCTTAAAATGTGACAGGCACAACAAGGGACTCCATTTTAAATCGATCAGATTAAAGATTGTTTTACATTGTGCTCAATGCATGCAGGGTTTGGTTAGATGGGCAAGTTGATGGGAGGTAAACAGGTTGATTTTTGTGTGGGCAGTTTGAAAATATCAAGAGCTTTGAAAATGATGGTTACTTTTTTCTTGAAATTTCCATCACAGAGGCAGAATGTGAGCAAAGATGACTATACAGAGACATTTATTCTGGCTTCCAGTCTGTGGTTAGAAAAACTGGAAGCAACCTAAATGCTTAGCTTTAGGGAAGAGGCTTAAGATGGTGGTAACCAAGGGTTGCTTTTTTTGTTGTTGTTTTGCCATGGATGGAGCCTTTCTTCAGGTGCACTGTTATGTGAAACTCTAATGATGTACAAGGGGATTGATTCAAGTTGGTTGGTAGTGGGGGGTGGTTTCTGTTGCAGCATCTCACCCAGACTGCATGACCCAGCCAGTCCTCAGGCTCCCCAGTGGCAGCTCATGAGGCACTTCCATGGCAAACATACCCCATGACTCAGACAACTGTGGGATGTCAGTATCAGCCTTTCCTTCTGACTGGTGGAAATTTGCACAGCTCTCTCCCTAATTCTTCTGACTTTTCTGTACTTGCCAAATTTTTCATTATGAATATATTACTTATTGCAATAAAATATCTAAGATGTTAAAAATGATGTCAGTTTATTATTTTAGAATTAGAAGTATAATTGTCACAGAAACCACAAAACTTGGGTCAGCCTGGCCAACATATTCTTTCCTTTTTGGCAGATCTTCAGGCTCGTGTGGAAAAACCGATAAAATAGAAAAAGCAATCGGAAGAATATAAAAATCACTGATAATCCCGCCACCTAGAGAAAACTACTGTTAGTATTTTGAGTGTATTTCCCTCCAGCTTTTTTCTATATATGTGTATGTATTTATAATATATAAATAATATACTATATATTAATCAAATACTATATATAATAAATACATTATATATCTTACATAGAACACATTTTATTTATTGTATTATAAACACAGTTTTGTGTCCTGTTTATTTTTGTAAACGTTATATTGTATAGTCCCTAGATATTACCATTTGAAAACATGACATTTAATGGTTTCCTAATATTTAAATCTATTGACAAACATAATTTTATAACCAATATTTCTTCTATAACGGATAGCACAGGATGAACATACCTGTACGTAAATCTTGTCTATATTCGTACTTTTGCCAGTCGCAGTTTCCAAGAACCTATTCATGATGTTAGGTGAGGACTTACTGTACTTGAAAAAAAACCTCCCCAAAAGTAGGTAAGAGACTTTCTTGTAGTCATTTCTCTTGTAGTCATTTGATTGATTAGAAATATATGTAAAATATGGCTTGTTCATCTATTTAGACAATAATTACAAACATACCAAATTAATTTACATTTAAATGTTTTTCATTCGTTTCAAATTGAGCTATGATCTGTGGAATGTCAAGGCGTCTTTTTGCTTTTATTGGCTTGTTATGGACCATCAATATTATGTTGTTAATTAAAGGAAATAACTGGGCTAGGTGTGGTGGCTCACGCCTGTAATCCCAGCACTTTGGGAGGCTGAGGCGGGCAGATCACTTGTGGACAGGAGTTCCAGACCGGCCTGGCCAACATGGTGAAACCCCATCTCTACTAAAAATACAAAAATTAGCCAGGTGTGGTGGCGCACGCCTGTAATCCCAGCTACTTGGGAGGCCAAGGCACGAGAATCAGTTGAACCCAGGAAGCAGAGGCTGCAGTGAGCTGAGATGGTGCTGCTGCACCCAGCACTGGTGACAGAGCAAGACTCCATCTCAAAAAAAAAGTAACTGGTCCTAAGTTTTCTGTGAGCAGCTGTAGTCAAGCAAAGACTGAAAACATTCCATTTTGGAAGGAGAATTAAGATAAAAGCAAGCAAGCAAACGCCCCCTTCCCACCATCCACCCAAATGTATGCAATCTTTTGCTTCACATTTTTGTGTAATGCATGGTGTTTTCAGAATCCTCCTCAGAATCTTGCCTCTCCTATTGCTTTGTGTTATTGAACGCGGACTTGTGCAAGCAGAAGCTCTGCACCTCTTCCTCTGCAGAAGAGGAAAGGAGCTGGGTCCTTTCCTCTTACACACCGGGGCACCTCCTTATTGCCTCACCAACCAGTTTGTTTTACAACTTGCAGGAGAGTATTATTACATCTGAGCACTCAGAAATTAGATGCTGACACTGAGTATTGATTTACATAAAAATCTACATATTTGTGGTTTTTCGAGAGCTACTCACTTGGAACTTTACAAGGTCAGGCATCCCCTGAGCCTAGGACCATGCCTGATACAAAGGGCGTGCTCAACAAAAAGTTGCTGAATTAAAAATCATCTTGGAATGTAAAGGTGACTAGCATTATGGAAATAGTTTATATTGACATGATTATTATTATTTACTTTATTTTTTTTTATTTAGGTGCTCACTCTGTCTCCCAGGCTGTAGTGCAGTGGCGTGATCTCAGCTCATTGCAACCCCCGCCTCCCGGGCTCAAGCAATTATCTCCCTCAGCCTCCCAAGTAGTTGGGTTTGCAGACACGTGCCACCACGCCCGGCTAATTTTTGTATTTTTAGTAGAGACAGGGTGTCACCATGTTGGCCAAGCTGGTCTCGAACTCCTGACCTCAAGTGAACTGCCTGCCTTGGCCTCCCAAAGTGCTGGCATGAGCCCCCGTGTCTGGCCTATGTTGACATTACTCATCCTCCTAAAATAATAATAAAATAACTGGAAAAAATAGCTTGGAGAAAATTAAGCTTTTTGTCTGGAATTTTGGAGAATTTCTTTTTTTTAACCGCCTTAAGTGTTTGTATCTTTTCTTTGTCCTAATCACGAACAGGAAATTTCAAAGCATAACAAAGACCCAATTCTTGCAGCTCTGGTGTGTGGCTTTGGTGGGAATTTCAGCAGCGGTTCTGTTGATTGTCCTGACTGATGCCCCCACTTTTGAACACTGGTAAATTTAAACAGTGTAAATTGCATTTGCTGTTTACAAGGATTCTCTCATGCATATTTTCTCATTCAATTTTTAATTAGCTACAACTTGATTGCTACTTAACGCATAATTGCATGCTTTAAGTATATGTGTCCTTGTTATTTCCATTTTATAGCCAAAACTTGGACATGAAAATTTAGAGATTGAATAGCTTACTCACTCAAATGTTCAAGTTAGCAGTCGAAACCCCTATTCTCTGATCATTTTCCCTGCACCGTGAGGTTTCTAAAAATGTGAAATAAACTTGGTTTTATACGTAGAGCCAGACTCTTCAGATTCTTTCCAAGTACAGGAAGTTGTGAGAACGTCTTCTCCCTGGCTTTAAGAAGGTGAGAGGCTGCAGCCCTTAGAGAGTCCACGTGGCTCCCAGGGGCAGCCCCTCCTATGCTGTCCTTCAGTGGCCCCGTCTGTTGACCCGTGAGGAGCGGTTTACAAGTCTGCAAGCACAGGTTACACAGAGCCCAGGTCACAGACAGGATGCCAGGCTCCCACCCCATAGCCTTTTCTTCCCCCCACTCTCCCCTTGACTGGTGCCTTAAGAATACAGTGTCACAGTCACCAACACTGCAGTTACAGGGAGTAGATTCGAGCTTCTAAAAGTAGGGTGAGCCAATGGTTTATTGGCAGAAATAGGACCCTCTTACAGCAGTGTGGTTGTCCTGGCTGCTCATGGCAATGCACAATGAGCTGATCACTCAATTTTCTGCAGCCAGGTATGAAGCGCATCCATTATTAAATAATGCACACTGAGACGATGCTGTGATTCCTGCAACTCTATGAAGGCAGCATGATTGTAGTGAGTAGCGCTGCAGCTGAAAGAGGTTTCTGTTTAATGAAAATGATTTTCATGAGGATGAGAAATTGTTTAACGTTAGCGCACATATCAGATTTAGCAACAATAAACTTATTGGGAAAAGAATTAGCAGATTGGAATGCATCTCCATTTGACAAATCATGGTTGAATTACAACCACAAGTTGACTAAGAATACAAGGTTTTAGCAAAAATCAACCAAAAATTTTCACAGAATTGTATTCTATGAGAATCGATGGCTATGTGAAATTTACATTAAAGAAAAGCATATATTTTATTATTGATTGTAAATCATGTATTACACAGCCTTGATCTCAAATATGTGTATGTATGTGTGTATATATTGTCATAGTCCCTTTAGACTGCTATTACAAAATACCATAAACTGCATGGGCTAGAAACAACAGAAACGTGTTTCTCACGGTTCGAGAGGCTGGGAAGCAAGCCCAGGATCAGGGCACTAGCAGATTCTCTGTCTCATGAGGGCCTGTTTCCTGGTGCATACATGGTGTCTTTTCTCTGTGTCCTCACATGGCAGAAGGGGCAAGGGAGTCTCTGGGATCTCCTTTATAAGGGCATTAATCTCATTCCTGAAAGCCCACCTTCATTGACCTAATCACCTCCCCAAGGCCTCATCTCCTAACTTTGGGGGTCAGGATTTCAACATGTGAATTTTGGGGGACAGAAACATTCAGTTCATTGCATATACATACACATATATTCACATATATTCACACACACATACTGTATGTATAGATATAGTGTATATATAGTATATACATACTATATGTGTATGCATATATACATAATACAATACATATTGCATATATGTATACATAGACATATATTCACACACATTGTATGTATATATATGGTATATACATACTACATGTATATGCATATATGCATAAGACAATAATATATACTGCATATTGTATATGTATATGCAATATGTATTATTTTATTATGCATATGTGTGTGTATATATGTATTTGAAACCCTATTTTATACATTCACCAGCACACCACTGCTTTTGTGAATGAAAGGGGTGCCATTATCACATATGTCAAAATACCGGGTGAAATCAGGACAGTCCCAGGCAATCCAAGAACCTGTGGTCCTCACCAAACTTTCCAGGTCCAGTCCAGCACACAGTCTCCCTCTGGGCTGCCTTTTTCTTACAGCTCCCTCCCCCACCAGAGACCCTGCACAATCCCTCCAAAAAGGCTCTTTCTCGCTGAGTCCCTTTGCCACAGGGAGTCGCAGGAGCATTAAGTGACCTCCTGAGCAACTGTCTTCATCCTGCTTCATCCCTTTCCCAGGCCCTTCATGGAAGCACCATTTCTGGCATTTATGAGCTCTGAGGCTATAGAAGCATCTCATAAAGTTTGTGGGTCTTAATTTTCTTACTGCAAAACGGGACCAATAGCACCTACCATGCAAGGCTGCTGCAAGGATTAGAAATAGCACGTGTAAAGTGCTTTCTATGTGCTTGGCACAAGATACGTGCTCAATGAATGGCACTGTTTTTGCTATCATTACTGCTCCTGCCGCTACTTTGAGTCTCCCCTGGGGCTCTGATGGTTTCGACTCCTTTCACCCACTCTAAAGCTGAGGGTTTCTCCACCCCTTCCCGTGCCCAGTCCAGACTTGTGGGGTGGTGGTGACAGTGAGGGGTGACCAGTGGTCACTCTGCTCTTTTCCTAGAGGGCCTGATACTTAGGGGTGGGCCTCCAGAAGCAGCTCTGGGTCCTCAAACCTGCCCCTTGCCCTAGCTACATGATCCAGCTGTACGCATAATACCCAAGTCAGGCCAACCAGACCACTTCAGCGCTGCCATGGTGGTCAGTCCAGAGGGCCTCCTTGTCCAAGACAGGCCAATGAGAACCCCTCCCTGCACTTTTCTGAGTTGGAATGAAGGGACGGAGTCAGTGCCCCTGATTGGGAGCTGGAGGTTCAGGAGCTGATGGAGATATGTTGGCTATCTAGAAGAGCCAATGACAGAGTGTCTGAAGCCAATGACAGAGTGAACTAGACTCCAGATGGCAGAAGAGTCCTGCCAGGACAGAGGTCACTGAGGCCTGACTGCATCCTGACCCTCTCTTCAGGCACATTGAGATCTCCACTCCCATCACAAGGCAACATCACAACTCCCCTCCCCACTCCCACTCCTTCCCTCCTTCCCTCCTTCCATAGCCAAAATTTGGACATGGAAATTTAGAGATCGAATAGCTTACTCACTCAGATGTTCAAGTTAGCAGTCAAACCCCTATTCTCTGATCATTTTCCCTCCTTCCTTCCTTCCCTCCCTCCCTCCCCACTGCCTGCCTGCCTGCCTGCCTGCCTTCCTTCCTTCCTTCCTTCCTTCCTTCCTTCCTTCCCTCCCTCCCTCCCCACTGCCTGCCTTCCTTCCTTCCTCCTTTTTCTCAAGTCTCACTATGTTGCCCAGGCTGGGCTCAAACTCCTGGGCTCAAGAGGGCCTCCTGCCCCAGCCTCCTGAGTAGCTGGGTCTACAGGCACCCACCATGCCAGGCTCTCTGTTTTTCTTCATTGAGTCTCCAATGAATGGGAGGCTTTGAGCCTGAAAAGTGTGACACTGTATTTCTTTAAGCCCCAAAGACTCCAAATTACTACCCCTGTGCTTTTGAAGGGTTTCTTAAGGGTGATGTATTTCCAGAATGATTTATAACACCTTTGTGTGCCAGGCAAGACGACTTTGCATGTGTGCTTGTTGTCCAGCCCCTGAGGCTGTAGCAGGGGATTCCACAGGACTTTTTTGGTGGGGTATCACTACCATTTACTCTCAACCTTTGCCTGAGCTAATTCAAGTCAGCTTTCCTTCACTTACGTAACAACAAAAACATTCCTAATGAGTCCTCCTAGAGTCCCCAGTTTCAGGAGAGGGAAATCAGACAGGCTCTGCCCCTGCTCTAGGCAGAATAGGCCCCCATTTCATATCAGGGCTCGCTCTTAGTGGTCTGTGTCAAATGCTCAACAGAAGCACATGTCTTGACCCAAATAAAAGGAATGAGACACCAGGCCCAAGACCAGAGGAACCTGATTCTAGAAGGGTCCTGTGCTCTAGGAGGGTCAGAAAGAACTTCTACTACCATCTTGCTTTAGGAGTCCAAGTAAATAACTGACTGAATACACTTTGCTCTGAAGTAGACATATGGTGTCTGATTCGGGGGAACCTGTGCCTCTGCAGCCCCCAAGTCTGTGGCAGGCATTGCCCATCGATCATGACACGGTCCTTGCAGCTTGGGTGCGCCACCAGAGTGCTTCTCATCACAGGGCTGCCGGCCGGCCCTTCTCTGGTGCTCTTGGTCCTTCTTGGAGAAGGACTCAACGGAGCTTGTCTTCTTGGCTGAGTGGGCCTCCGTGTCGAGAGACCACAGCCTATGAAATGGCTGTTTTGGATGTGGTTTTGTGAGTTCTTGCATACGGATATTCTACAATCCACAAAGCCACTCTAGTGTCTCCAAGTCAAAGGTTAATACCCAGGGAAGGTGAAAATCTCCTTTAAAATTGCTAGTGAAAAGTGGGATAAGCCAGAGGAATATAGAATTAGGTTTATGTAGCAGCCTGGGTTTCCATAGCAACGAGATGCAGTTGCGTCAAACACACGACTAAACTTTTCCACACTGGTTTTTAGCCTGGAAGGAGGCTGGAAGAGGGTATTTACTGACCGTGCAGGCGCAGTGAAAATTTGACAGCAAAGCCCTCCGAAAAGTCTCAGTCAAAGCAAATGGCAATGACTCCCCACAAAAATACCACGTGTCAGCCCCCGCTACAGCCTCGCGGGCCGAACCAGAGTGGCACATATGCAAAAGTGTCTCGCTTGTGGGACAAAAGGTATTGTAACTCATCCTGGAAACACACTACCCTTAAGAAACCCCTCAGAAGCACAGGGGCAGTCATTTGGGGTCTCTGGGGTTTCATGAAATACAGCATCACATTTTGCAGCTCAAAGCCTCCTATTTATTGGGGACTCAGTGAAGAAAGCCAGAAGTGTGATGTTGCCTGGGTAGGAGAGCCCGGCCTGCAGCCTTCTGCTAGCAGCAGCAGGAAACTGCAGCCCTGAATCAGGGCCTTTGTTCTCCTGAAGCCTGCAGGGAGTAGGCCCTTCTGCTCACACTGCCCTTGGGCAGCAAGCGTGTGTCCCTGGGAGCCCATGGTGGCGGCCCCCTAGGTGCAGCAGGAGTTGGGCCTGGAGGCCTGGCTGGGGGCAGCTGGGGACAGCACTCATTGTTTCTGCCCCTGCTCCTCTCGCAGCAGTGAGGACTGGGCTCCCATCCAGCAAAAAGGGCTGGAAGCTTTCTGCAAGAAGCACCCAGGCTTGGTTGGTTGGTTGGTTTGAAATGTATCCATTATTTAATTAGGTTCTTTGCAAGAAATTGAGAACCGCAGTTGGTCAGGACACATTGCGTTTGTGAGTGAGAACACAGAATGAAGGTAGCCCTAGAGCTGAGGGACAGCTTTGGTTCGGGGCAGCATTTGTGAGTCCACAGCTTTCTGATCTGTCTCGCACTGCTGTGTAAGCCGCATTTCCTTCTCTGTGTGGAAGTGCTCACCTTCCTGGTGTCTGTGCGTGTGCAGCAGCCAGATGTGGGGGATTTTCACACTGCTCATCGCAACTTTGATGGAGGTGCTGATGACACATTTCCAGTATGTTCCACACAGAGGAACTCAGTTGAGAAGCAGAGGTCTAATTACTGCTCAGCTCAGGAAAACCACCCTCTGGACTCCGTGGCGCCCAGTGAGGATGATGGGAGCAGTCCCGGGGGAGTGAGGCTGCCTGCAGCCTTCCCACGTTCTGACTGAAGGGTTTTGTTTTGTTTGCCAGGGCTCCATGATTCCAAGGCGCATCTTGAGTAGGCACATAGGTAGGCATTTCCGGAAGTTTTACCATCCAGGCACCTCCATTCTTATCATCCTCTGCTGGTTTTGTGACAGTAGCAAGAACCATTTTTTTTTTTTTTCCAAATCTGGATTTAGCGGCTGAATGCTTCCTCTTGTACATGGCTTTTCTGGACTACAAGCAGGTCAGGAATATCTGCCCATACCCCTGATGGGACAGGGTTTCTGCTACAGAGGGGCTTCCCCATCCTGGGCTCTTTGGGTTTGAGATTACCCTTCTTAATCTTGCCACTGGCATGAGCCTTCTTGGCTACAGGTTTCTTTCCTTAGCTTCCCGCTGCTCAATTTTTCACTCATCATCTTGCGACACGGGAAAGCGTTGGGTCTTGTTTTGATGCAACTCACTACGGAATAGATGCAGAGGCAGAGGCAAAAGTATCAGTGTTTTATCAATTGCTTGAAAGGCTACAAATAGATTCACAGAATGTGTAGTGCTGGAGGAGACAAACATACAACACAAGAAAGATATTCAGCCTGCAAATATACTTAATGCCTGGCCAGTGTCAGGGAGAATGGCAGGACCAGCTCCTCTCAATATGGGAAGGAGTACTGAGGAACAAGACCCTGGTGTGTCCGGAATTGGTGGGTTCTTGGTCTCACTGACTTCAAGAATGAAGCCACAGATCCTCGTGGTGAGTGTGAGAGTTTACTTAAAGATGGTGTGTTGGGAGTTTGTTCCTTCTGCTGTTCGGACATGTTCAAAGTTTCTTCCTTCTGGTGGGTTCGTGGTCTCGCTGCTTCAGGACTGAAGCTATATACCTTCACGGTGAGTGTTACAACTCTTAAGACGGTGCGCCTGTAGTCATTCATTCCTCCCATCCGCAGTCGTTCATTCCTCCCAGTGGGTCTGTGGTCTTGCTGGCCTCAAGGGTGAAGCGGCAGGTCTAGGAAGTGACGGTTACAGCTCATAATGGCAGTGCAGGCCCAATGAGTAAACAGCAGCAAAATTTATTGCAAAGAGCAAAAGAACAAAGCTTCCACAGACCGGAAAAAGACCTGAGCAGGTTACCACTGCTGGTTGGGGCAGCCTGCTTTTATTCCCTTATCTGGCCCCACCCACATCCTGCTGATTGGTCCATTTTACAGAGAGCTGATTGGTCTGTTTTACAGAGAACTGATTGGTCCCTTTTGACAGGGTGCTGATTGGTGTGTTTACAATCCCTGAGCCAGACACAGAGTGCTGATTGGTGCATTTACAATCCTCTAGCTAGACATAAAAGTTCTCCAAGTCCTCACCAGATTATCTAGACACAGAACACTGATTGGTGCATTTACAAACCTTTAGCTAGACACAGGGTGCTGATTGGTGTGTTTACAAACCTTAAGCTAGAAACAGAGTGCTGATTGGTGTGTTCACAAACCTTTAGCTAGACATAAAAGTTCTCCAAGTCCCCACCCCACTCAGGAGCCCAGCTGGCTTCGCCTAGTGGGTCCCGTGCCAGGGCCGTGGGCGGAGCTGCCCACCAGACCCGCACACGGCGCCTGCACTCCTCAGCCCATGGGTGGTCAATGGGACCCGGTGCCCCTGAGCAGGGGGCGGTGCCGGTCAGGGAGGCTCGGGCGGTGCAGGAGCACATCACGGCGGGGGTGGGCCGCTCGGGCATGGCGGGCTGCAGGTTCCAAGCCCTGCTCTGCGGGGAGGCGGCTGAGGCCCTGTGAGAATTCGAGTGTGGCACGGGCGGGCCGGCAGTGCTAGGGAACCTGGTGCCCCCTCCGCAGCTGCTGGCCTAGGTGCTAAGCCCCTCACTGCTGGGGCTGGCAGTGCCAGCCTGTCACTCTGAGTAAAGGGCCGCCAAGCCCATGCCTACCTGGAACTTGCACTGGCCCGCGGGCACCGCGCGCAGCCCCGGTTCCCGCCCGGGCCTCTCCCTCCACACCTCCCTGCCAGCAGAGGGAGCTGGCTCCAGCCTCGGCCAGCCCAGAGAGGGACTCCCACAGTGCAGCGGCAGGCTGAAGGGCTCCTCAGGCGTTGCCAGAGCAGACTACCAGGCTGAAGAGGCGCTGAGAGAGAGCGAGGGCCACCAGCACCTTGTCACCTCTCACTGGGATCCACGTTCTAGAGTCTGAATCTCAGTTGGATGTGAGACTTCTGAGCTCATGGTACAAACGAGGCTTACTGGCAGGTCACTTCTGATTAGGAAGAGTGACTTCAACGTCTGTCAGTATTTCCGTTTCCTCCAGAAGAGCAAATACAGCATAAAGTTTCCTATTGCTGTTCTTAGAAATGTATCAGAAATTGAGCAGCTCAAAACAACACAAATGTATTATCTTACACTCTGGGTTGTCACAAGTCTGAAACGGGTCTCCCAGGACTGAAGTAAAAGTGTTGGCAGGGCTGGGTTTCTTTCTGGGGGCTCTAGGGGAGAATCCTTTTCCTTGACCCCTCCAGCTGCCCACGTGCCTTGGCTTGTGATCCTCTCCCTTTCCCACCAGACAGCACCAGACAGCAGCAGCTGTGCAAGCTCTTCCAGTTCTTTTCATGACACATTGCTCTGACCTCCTCTTCTCCTTCCCTCTTCCACATTCAGGGCCCTTGTGATTCCCCTGGATGGACCCCAATAATCCAGGATAATCCTATGGCAACTTTAATTCCATCTGCTACTTTAATTCTCCCTTTTCATGGAACCTACTTCATCTACAGGCTCTAGGGATAGGACGTGAACACTTTTGAGGGGCCATAATTGTTTTAGGAGTTATTAAGAAATTATTTTAGGCAGAGAGGAAGAGGGGTCCTTGGGAAGTTTTTTTTTTTTCCTTTTAAAGCAGCTCCAGAAACATTTCTTGTCTAGCAGGAAAGCCCCAACTCTTAGTATGGGAGTTGGGGGGCAAGCTTTGATACACAAATGCCAGCTGTTAGAAACTGGGTCCACCCAAACATGGCAATTCCCACTGTCTTCTTCTTGCCCCCTATGTGCCTGGCAACATGGCCGCCCCCACATATACCTACGTGTGTAGAACATCAGGGGGCCCTGCATTTGCATATCAAAGGACTAGGATGGGAAGGCCAGTTTTTTCCACTGGGCTATGTGAATGACATGCCTAGTGAAACCAATCCCTGAGCCCTATGCAAATCAGACACCGCCTCCTCCAGCCTCCTCATATAACTGGGGGTTTTCCACCACACCCAGGGTTCCCTCTTTCGGCTTGGAGATCCCTCCATCTGTCTCTGTACAGGGGGAGCCTCTTCCTTCTTTCTTGCCTATTAAATTCTCCACTCCTTAAAACCACTCCACATGTGTCCGCGTCGTTTTATTCAAACTGGCGCGAGACTAAGGACCCTGGTGTTCCTCCAGTCATGGGAGCCATATCGTTACGTCTACCACGGGGCAGCTCCAGTTTGTCAGGATACCTTTGACATTTATGGTCTCAACAGCTGAAGTCCATGTCTTCAGCTATCTGGGAGTGACAATGAAGGTGCATGATTTGTCATTGCTCGCCGTTTTACTTCTAAACGCTTGTGCCAAAGCCAGTAAGGTACTAGCGAGTAAGCCTCCCAGTTGTGACGTCTCAACACCTTGCCAACCTCCCAGTTGTAACGTCTCAACACCTCGTTGCTGATCTCATTTAGTGATACTCAGATTAGTTCTCACAGTAACCCTTTGAAATTGACATAATCCTTCCCAGATTCATAATGAGGGGACTTATGAAATTATATGCTACAGTGATACCTCCAAATTCAAGGACTCTTTCTATATTCCCTGCAAAGGTGTAAAGGTTTTATGTCCTTAGTGACTCCAGTCCCTTGCAGGGTTCTTTTTTTTTTTTAATCTTTGGCCACTAGAGGGAGACAGCTCTTTGAAGAACTGAGGCCATTTTGCACGTTTGTGGGTATAGATGGAGGAAAACACTGTGTTTAACAACAGTATCCAGGCTGGGCACGGTGGCTCACGCCTGTAATCCCAGTACTTTGGGAGGCCGAGGAGGGCGGATCACCTGAGGTCAGGGGTTCGAGACCAGCCTGACCAACATGGAGAAACCCTGTCTCTATTAAAAATACAAAAAATTAGCCGGGCTTGGTGGCGCATGACTGTAATCCCCACTACTCGGGAGGCTGAGGCAGGAGATTTGCTTGAACCCGGGAGGCAGAGGTGGCGGTGAATCGAGATCGCGCCATTGAACTCCAGCCTGGGCAACAAGAGTGAAACTCCGTCTCAAAAAAAAAAAAAATTGGTATTCAGGGCTGACCTAACAGGTCGAAAATGAAGGGGATCATGCCTGCCCTTGTGCTCCGTGCAGACCTCAATGGACAATTTTCCCCAGCATCTTCAGGGCTCATACTTCCATAGTAACAAGTGCCATTCAGACCAAGGTCTTTTTTTTTTTTTTTTAACCCAGCCATCGACGCTGTAACATTTTAAACAATCTTCTCTATCTTTGAAGCCTACTTCGTGGAAAGAAAGGCCAATAAGTGATCAGAACTGACACTATGTAAAAACATAGAATCTCCAAAATTCGAAGTCTCTAAGTGCTGCATGTAGGATCTAAAACGGTGGGCATTGCTTACCTAGACAAGGCGTGTTCAAACCAAATGTCATCTAAGATTGCTCCAAACTGGGAATGAGGATTCATTTTCTCTGTTAGAGAGTTCTGGGTTCCCGGTCACCAGATATGCTCCTGACACCTCAGAGTGTACAATATGCGACTTCTGTACTAAAGAGGTTGCTTCCAATGAGGTAAAATGTCTAATATGGTAATCATGTGCGTCTAATTAAGGCTGTATGCACAAAAATCAGCCACGATGCCAAATAGCCAACTTAGGAACACAGGGACCACAGAGAGAACTCAGTAAGGATGACGTGGAATGACTTTAGTTTAATGCTGCGTATGACAGATCTTTATGTTATTATTAGAAAAGTAATTATATACTTACCTTTTAATGTTGATTTAAAACTTAATTAGCTATGACCAGAGGATATTGGTTGTATGATACCAATTTTGAAATTTGTTATTTTATGGTCTATTTTTCATAGCTATTCCATGTATACTTGGAAAAAATATGAATTATCTGTGCATTTGGTGCAATGTTCAGTATCTATCCATAAGATTATTCCTGTTGATTATGCTGTTAAAATATGCATCTTCAATGATTTTGAACTATCAATTACTTGGAGAGGTGTTCTGAAATCTCGTCTTTTCATTACGGCTTCTCCTTATCTCTAGTTATGATTTTTCCTTAAACTCTATTTTGCCAGATGTTCATATAGCCATGCCTGTTGACTTTTGTTTAGAATCTATATGCTGTGGCTTTTCCTACCTTTTTATTTTCAATGTTACCAACATAGCCTTACATTTTAAACAATACTTATAAGTGGCATATAGTTGCATTTAAAAAAATTTTAATTTGGGGTACATAGTAGGTACATAAGTTTATGAGGTACATGAGGTATTCATCGCATCAGGGTAACTGAGGTACCCATTGTCTCAAGCATTTGTCATTTCTTGTGTTAAAAACAATCCAATTATACCTTTTAAGTTATTTATAAGACTGTAGTCAACCCTTGTGCTATCAAATACTAGATCTTATTCATTCTAACTACATATAGTTGCATTTAAAATATCCAATTCCGTAATCTTTGTCTTCAAAAGGGTGGATTTAGTCCTAGCATTGGTTATAAGTAATAATACATCTGCATTTATTTCTCTCATCATGTTTTGCCCTTACTATTGTTCAATCTTTTCTATTTTTTTTCTTTCCTTTTTGTCTTATTTTGGATTGATTATTTTTGCTCACTTTCTTCTTTTTCCTACTACCTTTAAGTTATACATTTACTTACAAAATTTAATGTAAAGTTTTCAATTGAGAAAACAATGACTAGGTCTTTTTCAATTTATATGCAATTATTGTAGTGTATTTTATTTCAATTTTTGATTCCATGGAACCTTATTATTAATATTGTTTTAACTGATATTTCTTTTGATTTGGTAGCATATTTAACATTTTTTAAAATTTCTTTTTGCATCTTAAACTTCCTAACTGGGCTAACTTGGCTCATGCCTAAAGCACATCCTTTAGAATTTCTTTTTAATGAGGATCTATGAGGCAAACTCTTTCAGTCTGTTTAAAAATACTTTTTCCAGGGCCTACTTGAGGGTGGAGGGTGGGTGAAGGGAGAGGATTGAAAAGCTACCTATCGGGTACTGTGCTTATTACCTACGTGATGAAATAATCTGTACAACAAACCCCTGTGGCACGCAATTTACCTTTAGATCAAACCTGCACATTTACCCCGAAACGAAAGATTAAAAAAAAAAAAAAAACTTTTATTTTGTTCTAATCTTCAAAGTTATTTTCCCTGAGCACACAATTCTAGGTTCATAATTATTTTTTATTTAGCACCTTGAAGATATTGCTCCATTGCCTTCTGGCTTCCCTTGTTGCTATTGAGTAATAATTTGTTATGTTAACTTTTGGTCCTGCTGAGTAATCTCTTATTTCACTATGTCTGCTTTTACAATTTTTCTTTTTGTCTTTGATGTTCTGCAATTTCACTGTGATCTGCCTGGATGAGTATTACTTTTCATTTCTCCTGTTTGGAATGTATTGAGCTTCCTGAATTAGACAGTTGTCCTTCATCCTTTCTGGGAAATTCTTAGCTTTCATCTCTTTGTATATTACTTTACTACTTTCTCCTCTACATTAGCAATTTTGCTTAAATGTTTGTTAGATGTTGTCAGTCTATCCTCCAAGTTTCCCAACCTTTCTTTCATATTTTCTTTCTCTTTGTCTGTCTGTACTATATTCTGCATAATTTTCTCAGACCTATCTTCCAGTTTATTAATGCCTTATTTAGCTTTGTGTTTATTGTGTTTATTTTACTTTTCAGTTTTGGAATTTTTATTTTTAAAGTATATGCTTCAGCTTTAAACAGTTTTTTTTTAACCACTTACTCATATTTTTACCTGCTCTTTTATTTCTTAAGCATATCAAATATATGTATTTTATATTGTAGGAGAGCAAAAATGGCTTCCCTCCAGCCTTGTAGGTTCTTTAGCTGAGCCATAAATTAAATTGACATAAGACAGATTAACAAGAGAAAAATCACATTTAATTATGTACATACACACAGGAGTCCCACAAAATATGAGACTCCAGGAAAGGTCAGATGATTGAAGTTTATACAGCATCCTGAGCTACAGAAAGGAATAGGAGCTCGGGGCTTCTGAGGGCAGGTGGTGACATAAGTTGAGCAAGGGTGAGGGGAGGCAATGTAAGATGAATAAAGATTATTTTGTTAGGCAGATAAAAGGTCTCTCAGGTGATAGGGTGGGGGCAGTAGCTCATGCTTGTAATCTCAGCACTTTGGGAGGCCAAGGCAGGAGGATCACCTGAGGTCAGGAGTTCAAGATCAGCCTTGCCAACATGGTGAAACATCATCTCTACTAAAAATACAAAAATTAGCTGGGTGTGGTGGCACACGCCTATAGTCCCAGCTACTCAGGAGGCTGAGGTAGGAGAATCATTTGAACCTAGCAGATGGAGATTGCAGTGAGCCCAGATCATGCCCCTGCACTCCAGCCTGGTGACAGAGCAAGACTCTGTCTCAAAAAAAAAAAAAAAAAAGTCTCTCAGGTAATAAAAGTTGTCAGGAGCAGCCGTCTTCCTGATACACATACTTTTACTAATGTAGATTTCCTTTATAAAGGTAAATTTCTTTTACTAAAGGACAAGACCAACTTCTGTGTCTGCAGTTGCTCAGAATCATCAGCTCAAAATATGCCAAAGAAGTATATTTTGGGGTGGCATATCCTGGTCTCTATTGGGAGGGATATTTTGGGGTGGTGTGTCCTGAGGCCTAACAATATTGAGTGACCAATAATTCCAACTTTTGATAATTCTATTTATTATGCCTACCACTCTTCAGTGAAATTCCTTGTTTCCTTTTGGGCTGTTTGTTTGTGTGTGTGTATGTGTATGTGTGTGTGTATGTGTGTGTGTGTGTGTTTAGGCTCCTATTCCTTGGAATTTTATGTGTGAGGATTCTTTGGGTCTCAAGTTCAAGGTGAATTTCTTCAGGGAAGGCAGGCACATGTGGGACCATCACCTAAGGGTAATCTAAGGCAGGGGTGCCCAGTCCCTGGGCCGTGGACCAGTACCCATCCATGGCCTGTTAGGAACGAGGCCACACAGAAGGAGGTGAGTGGTGGGCAAGTAGCATTACTGCCTGACCGCCGCCTCCTATCAGATCAGCAGCAGCATTAGATTCTCATAAGAGTGCGGACCCTATTGTGAACTGCATATGTGAAGGATCTAAGTTGAGAGCTCCTTATGAGAATCTAACTAATGCCTGATGATCTGAGGTGGAACAGTTTTATCCCAAGCCATCCCTACGCCCATCCTGGGCCATGGAAAAATTGTCTTCCATGAAACTGGTCCCTGACGCCAAAAAGATTGGAGACCACTGATCTGAAGCCACATTCTCCTCCTGAGGTTTATTTGACAACATGGTAATGTGAATTGGGGTTCAAACTCACCTGAGAGCTGGCTTGTGATTTGGAATTCTCAGGGGACTTTTCATCCCTCAGGCATCCAGTCATTCCACGTTAAGGCAGGTGGTTTTCCTTTCTTGTCTTCTCATGGTGACTGTTGTTGATGATGGTGTGAGGTGTGTGTGTGTGTGTGTGTGTGTCCCCCTTTTTGGTGGTGATGATTTCTAGAATGCTACCTTTATGATTTTATAAGATCCCCCATCTTTATCTGGCCTAGGATTTGTCTCTTGTTCCCTGCCAGGAGTGAAACTTTAAAAAGCAAACCTCTAGGTGATCAGCTTGACAAGTGTTTTCCGGTTGAGAACTGTTGTTAGTGCTCTGATCACTCTGGTTTCTTCTCTTTTCTTTTCTTTTTTTTTTTGAGACGGAATCTCACTCTGTCATCAGGCTGGAGTGCAGTGGCGCAATCTCAGCTCACTGCAACCTCTGACTCCCTGGTTTAAGTGATTCTCCTGCCTCAGCCTCCCGAGTAGCTGGGATTACAGGCACATGCCACCACACCCACCTAATTTTTGTATATTTAGTAGAGATGGGGTTTCATAATGTTGGCCAGGATGGGCTTGATCTCCTGACCTCATGATCCGCCTGCCTTGGCCTCCCAAAGTGCTGGGATTGCAGGCATGAGCCACCGCACCCGGCCCACTCTGGTTTCTTGTGTTCACTTGATTTCAGCCTCCAATGATTGTTTTCTTTATTGACAGCTTATTAATGCATATAACAATTATCTTAAAGAAACCACTCAGCATTTTAGTTGTTTTAGCCAGCAGGTCAGTCTTGGTATTTAATTCATTACATTCCTGGAAATGACATCGCCATTAGACTTTTAAAAAGTTTTATTTACTATACTGGATTTTTCTATAACCCAATTTAAAATTAAACTTCAGTTGCTAGTAGTACACATTGAGTTGGAATATATATTCTCTGTGATGTATGTATCTAGCTCTTTTATAACTTAAGATCTGAGAGTGTTGCACAAATTTTACATAATGACAGCATTTGGTGTTTAAAAACAGTCACTATTTCCAATACAATAAACTGTCTCTGTAATAAATTTGTATTTGCAAATTGCTTCAATCCGTGTATATCTTCAGAGGATAGGCTCCCAATAACTAGATGTTATGGTCCAGCCTCTTGCAATCAGGGGACAGCTTGGGTCAAATCAAGACCAAACTCTTTTGGCTGAATAAACATGGGCCTAGAGAGTGTATTTGTAGGTGATGTGGGCCACTTCCGGCTCCACTTGAATCAATTCAAGCAGATGTATAATTGACAACCTTAAAGTTTCTCAAGGAAGGAAACTGGAGCCCGCTTTCTGGAATCCACTGGTGAAACCCTGGAGAGGAAAGAGGTACTTTGTGTGGCTTGGCAGCTACTAGCCTTAGTATGTGGTGGTGGTAGAAAGATCAGAGTCTCACTCAGACCCCCTCATGAAAAAGGAGATTTACTGAAAAAATGACATGGGCTAGAAATGGAGTCGGCAAAGATCCAAGGCAAAAGTAGTCCTGGCTGCACCCTTCTTCTCTAGGTTATAGACAGTCTCTCCACGTACATCTGTTTCTCTTTCTTCATTTGCTCCTCTCTGCCATCTTAATTCCTCTGCTTATTTGTGGTTTCTGCTTCTTTGCGGTTTCAGCTCACATATGTCTTTATGTCTAACATGGATCCAAGTTCCAGTTCCCAGAAGAGAGAATTTGATGGTGATGGCTCATGGGATCCTATGAGGATCCTATCCTTCTCACACTGTTGGATTGGCTACTCTTGGATCAGTGGCCCACCCTTACCCAATCAGCTGTGGCTAAGCCCCCAGAAAATAGCCAAGTAACACAAAATGGCTACCATAGAATTTTCTCTGCAGTAGGGGTTCAAGGCTGAGCATGCCTACATGGCAGAGAATACTTAGAAGGGGATTGGCCTGTCTTAAGAGTGGCCAAATGCCTGTCACTGAGAATTAAATGAATATCCTACAAAACAAAGATAGTTGGTAATTTTGTCCTGACAGCCACGTACATGTTTATTGTTTTCCAGATTAGCAACTCCTTCCTTTTCTGTACTTGTTTCTAGGCATTCTTACCTTCTTAGTTTCCCATGACATGGCATCTCATTGGGATATAGGCAGGGCCTGCCCTTTCTAACCATGCTTTACATAGACAAGGCCTAACCAAGCCCTATGGACTAATAGCAAAGTATATATCCTTACCTGATCCATTTAGAATCTTCTAAGCACAAAGTTTATGCTCCTATCCACCATAATTCTGGAATTCAAAAAGCTCTGAAGGTACTTCTGGTTTCCAGTTCTGCATGTACAGAACTTAGAAATCACCACTCTGACCAGGTGCAGTGGCTCATGCCTGTAATCCCAACACTTTGGGAGACCGAGGTGGGAGGATTGCTTGAGCTCTGGGGTTTGAGACCAGCCTGGGCAACATAGTGAGACCTCATCTCTACAAAAAATTGAAAAGAAGTTAGCTTGGCATGATGGTTTGTGCCTACAGTCCTAGCTACTTGGGAGGCTGAGGTGAGAAGAGTTCTGGAGACTGGAAGTCTGAGGCTGCAGTGAGCTATGATCATGTACTGCACTCCAGCCTGGGTGACAGAGTGAGACCCTGTCCCAAAACAAACAAACAAACAAACAAACAAACAAACAAAAAACAAGAAGAAGAAAGAAAAGAAATCATGACTGTATCCACTTTATCCTAACAACAACTGAAAACCTGAACAGAATAAAAAATCAGCAACTCTTCTTGGATCCATAAGCTAGCTGAGGACACAGGGCAAATGGCTGCCCCCAAGATTGGAGAGACAGATAGGAAATACAGGGAGTTACAGCTTACGAGAGTAGACTCATGAGCAGAGACCACCTTGGGAACTGGTTTTGTGGTAGGGAAATATGAACTGTAATTGACAAATGTTGGAGACTCAGTGTGGACAAGCTAGGAGTTAAAAACCGCAAGCAGACCCAGTCATCAGGTGACCATGCCCCCAGCCACTTTCATGAATTTTACCTCCAAGAGCCCTACCAAGTTCTCACAGTAGATAATGGAGAAAAATCCTCTCGTTCTCTGGCAGAAGGAAAGGAAAAGGTACCATTTTGAAATATGCCAGAGCACTCTGTTCTTCTTCACAAGGCCTGGCCTCAGGGGAAACTACTTAACCAGACCCTCACCTGCTGGGGTACGACCAGAGCCTAACTGACCTGGAGGAAGGGAAACAATCAACTTCAGTCGGCTCTAGCTTTCCACATAGGAGAAAACAATACTGAACTCCAACCCACTCTAGCCATCCTGTCCCACCTACGGGGGAAGAAAAAAATGGAGAAACACAGTCCAAAGCATAGGCTTACTAAAGGACTGAGACCTTATCTTAGGTCTATAGAACATTTCCTCCACACATACACACCTCACCACAACATTACTAAAGGGCTGTTTACAGCAGCTTCTTTTACCTGCTACCATGTCTGGCTATTAAGAAAAAATTACAAGGCCTACTAAAAGGCAAAAGACACAACTTGAAAAGATAGAGTAAGCATCAGAACCAGGCGTGGCAGGGATGTTGGAATTCTCAGATTGAAAATTTAGAACAATATGATGAATTTGCTAAGGACCGTAATGAATAAAGTAGACAGCATGCAAGAACAGATGGGCGATGTAAGCAGAGAGATGAAAATCCTAAAGAAGATTTAAAAAAAATTATAGAGATCACAAGCACTCTAACAGAAATGAAGAATCCCTTTGATGGGCTTATTGGTAGACTGAACATGGCTGAGAAAAGAATTTCTGAGCTTGAGGATAACTTAATAGAAACCTCCAAAACTGAAAAACAAAGAGAATCAAGACTGAAAAAAGCAGAATAAAGTATCCCAGAACCGTGGAACAACTACCAGAGTTTTAACATGTGTGTAATGAGCATATCAGAAAGATAAGAAAGAAGGAACAGAAGAAATATTTGAAACAGTAATGATGGAAAATTTCCGCCAAATGAATGTCAGATCCAAACAACAAATCCTAGCAATCCCAGAGAACACCAAACAGTAAAAATGCCAAAAAAACACCCTATATATAGGCATATCATTTTCAAACCACAAAAATTTAAACATAAAGAAAACAGTCTGAAAGAAGCCAGAGGAAAAATACACCTAACCTATAGAAAAACAAAGATAAGAATGACATTGGACTTCTCCTCAGAAATCATGCAAGCAAAAAGAGTGGAGTGAAATATTTAGTGTTGAGAGAGAGAGGAAAAAAAAAGCTAGAATTCTGTACCCTGTGAAATTATCCTTCAAAAGTGAAAGAGTAATAAAGACTTTCTCAGACAAACAAAAATTGAGAAGTTTTTTTGCCAGTCGACCTGCTTTGCAAAACTGTTAAAAGAAGTTCTTTAGAGGGAAAGAAAATATGTCAGAAATTTGGAGTCACATAAAGAAAGGAAGAGCATCAAAGATAAAGTAAGTGGAGATAAAATAAAAACTTGTGGCCAGGTACTGTGGCTCAAGCCTGTAATCCCAGCACTTTGGGAAGCCAAGGCTGGTGGATCACTTGAGGTCAAGAGTTTGAGACCAGCCTGAACAACAACATGGTGAAATCCCATCTCTACTAAAAATACAAAAAACTTAGCCAGGTGTGGTGGCACGTGTCTGTAATCCCAGCTACTTGGGAGGCTGAGACAGGAGAATCACTTGAACCCAGGAGGTGGAGGTTGCAGTGAGCCGAGATCGTGCCACTGCACTCCAGCCTGGGCAACAGAATGAGACTTCGTCTCAAAACAAACAAACAAACAACCCCCCCCCCAAATTTTTATTTGTATTTATATTCAATTGATCTAACAGAAAACTGTTGAAAATAACAATAATGTATTTGATGATGTATGCTTATGAATATCTTATATGTGTACATATACATATATATTATTATGCAATTTATATATAAGTAGAATTAATAAAAGCAATGAAACCAGAAACAGGAACGAGGAATTTGGATTATTTTGTTATAATAAGGTAGTCACATGCCCCATGAAGTGGAATACTGTTATTTGAAAGTGGACTTGGATTCAGCCTAAGTGTATATTGTAAAGTCTAGGGCAACCACTAAAAGAAGTAAAAAAAGAAGTATAGATGATATGCTAAGAAAGGAGAGTAAATACAGTCATATAAAATGTTCAACTAAAACTACAAAAGGCAGGAAAAGAGTGAACAAAAAAAATAGGAACAAAGAACAAGGGCAACAAATATTAACAGAAAACAGTAACCAATATGGTAGACATTAATCCAACTCTATAAAAATATCACTTTAAACATCAATGATCCAAATCCACCAAATAAAAGACAGACACAGAGTGGTGTTAGTAAACAAGACCATCTCTATATTGTCCACAAGAAACCCACTTTAAAGATAAAGACATATATAAATTAAAATTAAGTGAATGGAGAAAAGTGTATCATGCTAACAAATCAAAAGAAAGCCGGGTAGCTATATCAAAGACAAAGAAGGCATTGTATAGGGTCAATTTTAAAAGAATACATAACAATCTTAAGCATACATACATCTAACAACAGGGTACCAAACTATGCGAGACAAAAGCTGATAGAACTGTAAGGAGAAATAGATAAATTCACTATCATGGGTGGAGACTTTAACACCCCTCTATCATAAATGGACAGATCCAACAGGCAAAAAATCAATAAAGATGACATACTTGATATCATCAATCAATTGAATATATGTATAGGCTACTTCATCCAACACCAGCAGAATGTCCATTCTTCTCAAGGTTACATAGAACATTCAGCAAGATAAATCACGTTCTGGGCCCTAAAACAAAGCATAACAAATTTGAACAAATAGAAATCATACAATGTCTGCTCACAGATCCAATGGAATTAAACTAAAACTCAATAACATTCAGATAATTGGTAAATTTCCAAATATGTGGACATTAACACACTTCTAAATAACACATGAGTCAATGAAGATATCTCAGGAGAAATTTCAAAATGTTTTGAACTAAATGAAAAGGAGAACATGACTTATCAAAATTCGTGGGATGCAGCAAAACAGTCCTTAGAGGGAAATTTAATGAATATACTAGGAAAGAAGAAAGATCTAAAATCAATTGTCTAAGTTTTCATTTTAGGAAATTAGGGAAGAAAAAGAGCAAATTAAATTCGAAATAAGCAGAAGTAAAGAAATCATAAGAATTAAAGGCAGAAATCAATGAAATGGAAAATAAGAAATTTATAATAGAGAAGACCAATAAAGCAAAAAACTGGTTCTTTGGAAAGATCAACAAAATTAATAAGCCTCTAGCCAGGTTAACTATGAAAAAAAAGAAAGAGGGCACAAATTATTACTATCAGAAATGAAATAAGGGACTTCACTGCAGTCCAGGAGCAACCAAGATGCGGCAATTCTTTGTCCAGGCATTTTCAGTTTACATGCTACTACATTGTTCCTTCACATTGCACATTTTAATGTCAACTCAAACATATTCCTTTGACTAACCATTTTTTTCCAGTTTTCTTTACAAATCACTAAGCAGTTTTTATTGGTTTTAAATGAGTTTTTACATTTCAACTCTCTTATAATTATTAAATAATCCATCTTACTTCCCTCTACATACTTAATGATTTTTATTTATCTGCCAAAGACATAAAGAAAGAACATTAGGTCATTTGTACCAGAGACTTTGAGCCAGGACTCAGAATTGCTCATTCTTGACGGCTGTGCTGAGATCACTTCCCCAGTTCTAGTTTGAAGATACAGTTCCTTTGTTACCTTGGATTATGGTTTGAATTAGGTTAACGTCCCTCCTTTTTCTGATTTGTATGATGAAGTGATTGCTTAAAGATGGCAGGTCTTCTAGAGTCCTGATCTTGACAAATGGTACCACTCTGTCATTTAAGGCAGAACCTTGGGAGTCACCCAATACCATTTCCTCTCCCTTACCACCCACATGTTCAATTAATCTCCAAGGCCTGCTGATTTTTTAAAAATAAAATTATAATATGTTTCTGGCCTATAGAAAATCAGAGCACATAGTATTAACAACATCAATGAACCAACCCTCACGTTTGTGAAATGGTAACATTTTTAATATATTTATATGTGTGTAGGTATATATATGTGTGTGTATATACACACACATATATATACCTACACACCACACTTCAGTTGTTTTTTAAAGTAAATAGAACATTATAGACAAAGTTGAAGCCCCCATTTCTAATTTTGGTGTTTATTATTTTCATAATGTTTGTGCAATTATTATAGAGAAGCCCCCAATTCTAATTCTGGTATTTATAATTTTCATGGTGTTTGTACTACTATTATAGAGTATTGTGCTGCGTGTTTACATGTTAACATTTTATAGTGCATGCATCCATCTGCAGCTTGTTTTTTATCTCACTTAACATTGGTCTTGAGATTATTCAAGAACTAGACACCTAAGTCTAGTTCATTCTCTTAAACAGATGTATAGTGTTCCATTATATAAATACTGATGTCATTTATTGATACCCTTGTTAATTGACATTTGGATTATTTCTAGTTTTTTGCTATTACAAACACTGCTGCAATAAATCTCCATGTGCCTGTCTCCTTGTGCAAGCGAATATATGAGAGCTTCTCTGGGGCACAGTGGACTGTGGTGTGCCAAGATTTTTATCTCCTCCACTGATGGGGACAGTGGGTGGGGCCAGAGATACAGAGTGGAGTCTGCCATTTTAATAGTGTCTACTATGGGGGGTCAGACACCATCTGTAAAGGACCTTGCTTTACATAAATTAACTCAGTCAATATCCATGATAACCCTGTGGGAAAGATGCGAATGTTATCTCCATTTTACAGACAAGGAAGCTGAAGCACAGGAAGCGATTAAATAACTTGACCAGAGTAAGCCATTTATAAGTGTCAGAAGCAGACCACGGTGCTTCTCTAGGTAAGTGCCCGGGAATGAAATTGCTAGATACAGGAGTAAGTGTGGCCTCAACTTTACTAGATAATGCCACATGGCTCTTCAGAAAGGCGTTATTAATTTACAGTCCCAGCAGCACTATGTCAGAACTTCTTGTGCCAATCTGATGGAGGAGAAAATGGTGTCTTTGTTGTTTGCATTTGATTTTCCTTGATTTACTAGGAGGTTGAATATCTTTTTGGAAGGCCTTTGGCTGTTCATATTTTCTGATTCTGTTGCTTCACGGTTCCTATTCGTTGCCCTTTCTCTTACCTTTTTCCTTATTGATTTTGGTGAGTGTATTACATATTCTGGTTACTAAGCCTCTGTGTTCTATTTTTTTGCATATATCTCCTCTCAGATGTCAAGAAAAACTGATGTACTGAGCTATAGTTCAAATAATATATGAGACACTATTTTAATTTTAAATTTACTTTGTTAACAAGAAGAAATGCCTATAAGCCATGTTCGATTTCTGAGAATATGTGTACCATCTTTTCATATACTGTCTGAGCAAATTAGGATGACATCAGTGTCAGACATCAGAAGAGGTTAATGACTCATCTTCCCACGGAAGGTGAGTGTGGCCAAACTTCTCTGAAAATTATAGCTTGTACTGCAAGTGAACAGCTTTCCACAGCACTCATGGTTTCCATTAACAAGATTTTTTGTTTTTGTTTTTGGTCACAGGACTATAAACTATTTGTCACAGGAATAAACAGATTGATACTACAGATAATCTTTTAGCCTGCTTTAGTAAAGAGATGTAGAAGCTTTCCTATGGCAAGACGCTGAGTGAGCGCAGATTTAATGTGGTAGTAGGTTGCATTTGAAACAACATTTTCTCCTAGCTTCTAAACAAAGGGCAATTGTTACTCAATTGTTTTGTATTCTCAAGGTTTCTGTTACTGATGACTAGGCTTCTGGTTTCAATTTAATTTTTTTTAGCTTTTAATTTTGAACATATTTTAGGTGTACTGAAAATTTGCAAAAGTAATGCAGAGTCTCAATAAACCTTTTACCCACCTAACCCCAATGTTAACATCGTACATAACCGTAGTACCAAAAACTAAGAAATTAACATTGGTACAATACTATTAACTAAACCACAGACTTTATTTGAATTCGCTGATGTTTTCCTTACTGCCTGTTTCTGTTCTAGCACCCTCTCCAGGACCCCACATTACATTTAGTTGCCATTTCTCCCTAGTTGCCTCTGGCTTCTTGGTCTACCCTTGTTTTTTATGACCTTGACAATCTTAAGGAATATTTGCCAGCCTGGGTTTTGCTGGCATTTCCCCTTGATTATGTGGGAGTTAGGAATTTTTGGAAAGAACATCACAGAACAAAGTGCCCCTCCCACCTCACTATAAGAAGAGGAATGTGACATCTACATGACACCACAGGTGATATTAACCTTCGTCATCTGGTTAATGTCGTGTTTGCCAGGTTTTTCCACTGCACAGTTGCTATTTTTCCCTTTCCCCATTCTGTTCTTCGGAAATGAGTCTCTAGCTCTGTCCCACCCTCAGTGGAGAGGAGTGGGGACTGAGCTCCTTCCCCTGGCTGGGGAGCATCTACATACATTGTCTGAAGTTCATTTGTAAGGAAGGTCTGTCACTTCTCGCTTGTGTGCTTATTTATTTATTCGTTCCATGGTTTATTGTGCCAGTATAGACTTGTATATTTATTTTATACTTCGGGTCATGGTCCAATGTTCTATTGTCTACGTGGTGGTTCCAGTGATTTCAGCTTTGGTTAGTGAGTGCTCTCCTAGCTTGGCTCCTGGGTCCCTTTGACACACCCCATCCTTTGGAGTTTTGAACGCTTCCTTACTTTCTAGTTCTCCCAATAATTTCAGCATCCACCCGTAGGTGCTGTCTGCGCAGTCATTTCTGTAGAGTTCTAGTGGTGATTTTTCCATTTCTCCCTCTCAATTTCATCAAGATAACTAAAGATATTTAACATATAGGCTGTCCGAGAGATTTGGGTTTGAATTTCAGTTCCAGCACTTCAAGCTATCTGCTGTTAGGGTTCTCTGAACCCTGATTTCCTTTGTGTCAGAAGGCAAAGTGTAAAACTGTTTCTATACTCACAATACTTCTGATACCAAGTGTGTAGGGGTTTTATCCATTCCCCGCAAACAAGCAAATTTCCAATTCTCTGTGGACACCAAAATTGGGCATCCTATAATTTAATGAATTTGATACTTACTCCCGGGAGTTAGTGGAGACCCCACAGGCTCAGTCCCAGAAGACTTCCCGCTACTTCAGACACCAACCAAAAGTCTCAGGTTACTTCTTGCACTTATGGCTGACGTTGTAAATTAAGGGTTCCCATGACCCCCTCCTCACCTTCAGTAATTTACTATAACAGCTCACAGAACTCAGGGAAACACTCCACTTACTATTACTGGTTTATTATAAAGGATGCAGTTCAGAAACAGCCAAATGGAAGAGATGCACAGGGCAAGGAGAGGGGTGCAGAGCTTGATGCCCCCTTTGTGGGCACCATTCTCCCAGCAACTCCAAGTGTTTACCCACCCAGAAGCTCTCTGAACTCCATTGTTAAGAGGTTTTATGGAAGTTCCATTACATAGACACGGTTGATGAAGTCACTGGCCACTGGTGATGTCTCCAGGTCCTCTCCCCACCTGGCAGTCCAGAAGGTGGGGCTGAAAGTTCCAACCCTCCAATCACAGGGTTGGCTCCCGGGGCAAACGGCCCCACCCTCCAAGAGTCACCTCATTAGCATAAACTCAGGTATGGTTGAAAGGAGCTTATTAAGGGTAACAAAAATAGCTCCTCTCACCCAGGAAAGTCCAAGAGTTTTTAGGAGCTCTGTGCCAGGAACTGGGGACAAAATCTTGCACTGTCCCACTCCACCAGCCTGGGAAGGGAATTATCCCTTTGGCACTGATACACTATCTGTCCTCTAGTCACTTAGTAGGCATCTGAGTTACCAGATCAAAAACCATGGTATATATAGGGTTCTGTACTATCTGTGGTTTTAGGCATCCACTGGGGGTCTTGGAACGTATCCCCTGAGGATGAAGGGGAGAGCTGTATGATTATTATTATTGCTTCCACCAGCACTGTTGTCACCTCCATACTTCTTCCAGAGCCTGCTTTCTAAAATGCAAATCTGATGATGACACGGTATTGTTCAGAGTAACTCATTGCTGCCTGTTATTGTCAGCAATGGTTCCTAAGCCTGACTTTTGATCGAAGTCATATGAGGAGCTTAGATAGATAGATAGATAGATAGATAGATAGATAGATAGATAAATGGACAGACAGATAGATAGATAGACAGATAGATATATAGATAGATGCCCAGTCTTAGTCTAGACCTTATTGAATTTTGATGGGGTGGGTCTCAGCCTTTAACTCTCCAGGAGAGAGGTGAGAGCAGGGGTCTGTGCAGCAGGAATGAGCCTGGGATCCCTGTAAAGGCTGACAGCTGGTCCCACCCAGTGATGACTCACAGCAATAAAGAGAAGACCCTGGTTCCCACCATGAAGTAGCCAATATGATGCCCAAATGTGAGATGAGGAGTCTGAAGAACTGTTTCTAGCTATTCCACTTAGTGCCTGTGCATTCCTATTTAGTCAGTTGGAAGATAGCTGCCTTTTATATAAGGAATGTGTTCTTAGAAGCCTTGTTCAATTTAAAACACGCACAAATAAAGACTATTATCCTAATAGGAATAAATATAAACTGTGTATTCATAAACCTAGTGTTAAATCAAGTTTAGCCTAAAGCTGCCTCCTTACATATTTTAAATTCAGCCTAAAAGTTTCTCTGTATACAGGGAGCCATAACCTAAATGGAGGTGTAAACAGATTGTAACCTATCTTTAAAAGAAAAACCTTAGCCAAATTAAATTTAAAAGAGTTTAATTGAGCAAAGAACAATCCATGAATCGGGCAGCCTCCTGAGCCACAGTAGGCTCAGAGAGATTCCAACACAGCCACGTGGCAGAAGAAGATTTATGGGCAGAAAAAGGAAAGTGACTCAGAGAAAACAGAAGTGAGGTGCAGAAACTGCCGATTGATTACCGGTCAGTGTTTGCCTTATTTGAACATGGTTTGAACAATTGACCATATTTGATTGGCCAAAACTTGGTGATTGGCACAAGAGTTGGTTACAGTCTGTTTACAACTCTATTTAGGTTATAATTCATGATGTACAGAGAAACCTTTAGGCCAAACTTAAAGCAGGTAATGAGGCAGCTTTAGGCTAAACCTGATTTAACACTTCTCTTGTGCCAATCACTGAATTTTGGCCAAAAGGGATCAACTGTTCAAAACGGGTTCAAGTAAATCAAAAGCTGATCTGTAACCAATTTGGCTGTTTGTGTACCTCACTTCTGTTTTCTGTACATCACTTTTCTTTTTCTGCCCATAAGTCTTCTTCCACCACCTAGATGCACTGGAGTATCTCGAGCCTACTCTGGCTCAGGAGGCTGCCCAACTGGCAAATCATTCTCTGTTCAATTAAACACTATTAAACTTAATTTGGCTAGGGTTTTTCTTTTAACACTAGAATGACTGTTGTGAACACTTTCTTTACTACTTCGTTTCACCTTGAACTCTGATACTTTGCAGAATGCTGTCCTCTTAATTAACAGTCTGGGACAACATGGTACTTATGTATGCCCATCTTCTTAGCACTTTAACACACAGAATTTCTATTTCAAAGTTGATTTTCCGAGTACACTTTCTTTTCAGCAGGAGCATGAGCCCCACCAATAAACACACAGATGGCATTATTAATATAAAAAGAATTTTAAATTATAATGTCACAGTGTATTAAAATATTAGTACAAAAGTGTTCCATTGTCTATGAGGTAAACTACTTAAACTACTTCAGAATAGAAAGTGTAACTTATGTTATATTAGTCAGGGTTCTCTTGCGGGACAGAACTAATAGGATAAATGTATATATAAAGGGGATTTTATTAAGGAGTACTGACTCACACGATCACAAGGTGAAGACCCACAATAGTCCATCTGCAAGATGAGGAACAAGGAAGCCAGTCCAAGTCCCAAAACCTCAAAAGTAGGAAAGCCGACAGTTCTGTCTTCAGCCTGTGGCCGAAGGCCCAAGAGCCCCTGGCAAACCACTGAGTCCAAAAGTCCAAGAGTCCAAAAGCTGAAGAACTTGGACTCTGATGTTCTAGGGCAGGAAGCATCCAGCACAGGAGAATGATGAAGGCTGGAAGACTCAGCAAGTCAAGTCCTTCTATGTTCTTCTGCCTGCTTTATTCTAGCCATGCTGGCAGCCGATTAGATGGTGCTCACCCAGACTGAGAGTGAGTTTGCCTCTCCCAGTCCACTGACATAAACGTTAATCTCCTTTGGCAACACCCTCACAGACACACCCAGGAACAATACTTTGCATCCTTCAGTCCAATCAAGCCGACACTCAGTATGAACCATCACATATGGGTACATGAATTACCTTTCATCTATACTCCAGGGGTAATTACTCAGCATTTGAACAGAAATTTATAATCAGAGGTGGTTAAAGAAAATGTTTTCTATTTTATTATTATAGATACTAAGTCTTCATTAGCTAGCATAAGGCATTTTAGAAATAATTTTCCACAGATAAAATAAGTGGTGTTCAAAAAATACAGTCACCTGAAAAGACTGAATGGATCCCAGCACCTTGCTTGGTTGAAGTATCAGAATCAGGCCAGATTCTGTGGGGGTGGGGCCCACATCCAAAACTCATGCCCTCTGGGCACCCCATGTTGCAGAGGACTCTGTCATAAGTTCTATCTCAAGGTTGGCTGATCTCAGAGTTCATGCAGGGAACTTGATTGTGGCCTGAAGACAGAAAGAGGAGATCTCACCAAGCTAAGGAGAACAGGTATGCAACTGTTTGTGTAATAAAGCACTGGACTGGCCTTTGTCCCTAGTTCCTGGGAGAGAGACTCTGAGTACTCGGAATTTCCTGAATAATAGGGGCATCTTTGGTCACCAGAAAGACCAACCATGTGATCTCAGGAGGTTAGGACTTTGAGCCAGTCTGATCTCCAGGGAGGGGAAAGGGGCTGGTGACTGAGTTTAATCCTTGGTCAATGGTCTGACTAATCATGCCTATGTCAGGAAACTATAATACAACTCTGGACACAAGCTCAGAGGAACTTTCTGTTTGATAAACACATTGATGTGTCAGGAGGGTGATGCGCTCTGATTTCATGGAAAGAGAGCGTGGGATCTCTGCGTTTGGGACCCTCTCAGATCTTGTCCTATGTATCTCTTCATTATGCTGGTCCTGATTTGCAGCCTTTATAATAAAACTGTAATTATAAGTCTAGCACCTTCCTGAGTTCCAGGAATTGTTATGGAGAATTGTCAAGCCTGAGAGTGGTTGTAGGATTTGTAGCTAGTTAGTTGGTCAGGCACAGGTGGTCTGGAGACCTGGAATTACAGCTGGCATCTGAAATGGGGACAGTCTTGCTGGGGACAGTGCTCCTAACATGAGGAATCTGACATTAACTCCAGATGGTTATTGTCAGAATTGTACTGCAGGACACCCAAACTATCTTTAGCCTGCTTACTAATAAATAGTTGTCCGCTTGGCAGAATATAGCCTTAACTTCATTTTGACAGACCAACTAGTAGTCTGAGGCTGGGCTTGTATAGGCCATACCTAGCTCTAACCTGGTAGGCTACCGGTGTCCACCACAACAACCTGACAGTTGGTAAAGGGACAAATTTGCTTAGACCAGCCTCACAACCACACACAGAAATCCCTCCTGGAAGTTCCAACACCTGAAATAGCAGCATGATTTCTAGGACACTGAAAGCGGGGGCTGGTATTTCTGTTTTCCTGTTCATATGGTGGTAGCTTGTGGCAACAGTATAAAAACATTTTACAATTCACTGGCTTTCAGCTTTGGAATTATGTAGTGTTTTATTTTTTCTGGGGTATTTGAATTCAAAATTTGCTTATACAGTGATTTTATTATAATTTTTGTGACACTATTTTAAGGAAATAACAGTGCATAAATGCAAGCACATTTAATTCTAGATATCAATGTTTTCATCTATAAACAGAGAAAAGTGAGAATGGCCCTACCTATTTGTATTGAGGTTCAAAAAAAATGAAAGAGCTTTGAAAACTATATACATGATTTCTCTAATGGAAAGATTTCCCTAATGGAAAGATTTCCTTATTTTTGCATATTGGAAACAATGCTTAGAATAAAAAAGACTTCCTTTTTTTTTTTTTCTTAAGATGGAGTCTTGCTCTGTCACCCAGGCTGGAATGCAGTGGCATGATCTCGGCTCACTGCAACCTCTGCCTCCTGGGTTCAAGCGGTTCTCCAGCCTCAGCCTCCCCAGTAGCTGGGACTACAGGTGCGTGCCACCACATCCAGCTAATTTTTTTCTTTTTAGTAGAAACCAGGTTTCACCATCTTGACCAGGCTGGTCTCAAACTCCTGACCTCAGGTGATCCACCCGCCTTGGCCTCCCAAAGTGCTGGGATTACAGGCATGAGCCACCATGCCCAGCTGGGACTTTTGTTTTTTAAAAGCAATTTATACTCGGAGGTGGAATTATTTTCTCTCACAAATGCCCAGGTTTGGGACCCACAGGATGGAAGGCAGGAGGGCTGAGCATTTGTGTATCTGGAAACCTCACCTCCTCCTGGGGGCTAAGGGCAGGGTTTAGTGATTTGCTGTGCCGAGCAGTGCGGTCTGTCTCCTCATCCAGGAGCTGCAGTGAAATGGCCCCACATTGCCCTCTCTGAGAAGGACTAGGGGACATTCTTTGCAATGAATGGGCCTATGTAGTCCCTCCAGTATCTGGGCGGGTAGAGTCCAGGGAGAGAAGGTGGAAGCTGACAACGGGCCCACATCTCTCAGATCCAGTGCTGCTTTCTGGGCTTTCTGGCTGGCCGGGGGCTGGCAGGGAGAGAGGGGCTCTGCGGTTTCGTGCCCAAACCCAGCATCTTCTGGGGACCTCACCCGTTCCTTCCCCGAATTGTGCTCCAGGTCTTAGTTACAGGAAGAAGCATTCAGCAGTCTGAGACTCTCTAAGTTCCTGCCCCCAGGAAACAGTGGTTACGGAAGCGGAGTTATTGCGTAGCTCCCTGGTCCTAGCCACGGTGCTGGAGGCTTGGCTTCCAGCCAAGCAAGAGTCCCACAGGGTTGAAGCCACCACAGAGAGGCTGCCCCGTGCGATCCAGAGATCATAGACTGGGTTGTTAGGGACTCTCTTTTCCTCCTTTCTTCCTTTGATCATACGTACTTGAAGCAACTCGTGAATTTGTTTCCCTTCTGAAGAATACATCTTCCAAGAGAATGTTCATTGTGTGTGTGTGTATGTGTGTGTGTGTGTGTGTGTGTGTGAGAGAGAGAGAGAGAGAGAGAGACAAAGAGAGTAAAGGGGTCTTGAAGGCTTGAGAACATTTTCATCAGACCCCTCAAATTTTCATGACAGTTTTAAGGCTAGCTTAATTCTTGTTCTTGTGTATACTATCTGCTTTTTATCTCTGGAAGCTTTTAAAATGTTCTTTGTGGCTTGCTGTCTTCAGTACTGAGGGGAGGGTTTCACTAGTCCTCCACTGGTTCTCCATCTATCATGCAATTCACAGAACAATTGATAGAACAAGCAGACTGCCCTTACAATCACCCCACTTCCCCCCAAATTCTAGGTGATCCCCCATCCCAGTGTGCCCGGGAGTGATGGCTTTCCTGGGACATGGGACTTTCAGTGCTATTACCAGGAAACTCTTAGGCAGATCAGAACAAGTTGGTCACCCCACCATACTACTTTTCTCCACTGGGCACCAGAGACCCTGATCCACTTAACAGATTCATTTATTCAACAAGTGCTTAGGGAGCCTTATTTTGTTCCAGGCTCTTGGAATACACAGTGAATAAAACAAAGATCTTTGCCCTCACTGAGCTAACATTAGAGCCAGAGGTAAGTGGACACAGACCATAAACAATAACCATAATAAAGAAGTCATCTATATAGTGTATTAAAAGGTGATAAACCTATTAAATATTACAAACCATAAAAAGCATTATAAGCTTTTCAGGATGTGCGGTTGCAACTTTAGATGGGATTAGACCTCATTGAGAAGATGACATGTAAACAAGGACTTGAAGAAAGTGAGGGAGCTATGTGGATGCGGGGGGAAGAGCATTCCCAGGTAGAGGAAATAGCCAGTGCAAAGGCCCAGAGGCAGAGAATATCTGGCTTGAGCTACTGTCAACAAGGAGGTTATTGCAAGTGGGACACACGCATGATTGAGATTAGTAGGAAAGGAGGTCAGTGTAATGGGAGGCAAGGTAGTATAGGGCTGGTTGACCACAATGAACACTCGGTTTTTTTTCTTTTCTTTTTTTTTTTAGACGGAGTCTCGCTCTGTCGCCCAGGCTGGAGTGCAGTGGCGCAATCTTGGCTCACTGCAACCTCTGACTCCTTGGTTCAAGCGATTCTCCTGCCTCAGCCTCCCGAGTAGCTGGGATTACAGGCATGCGCCACCAAGCCCAGCTGAAACACCCTGGTTTCCACCCTGAGTAGAATGTGAAGTTATTGGAAGGCTTCGAGCAGGGGAGTGACATGCATTGAGTTGAATGGTGTTTCCTGCCCCACCTCCAAAAAGATATATCCACACCCTAATTCCTGGAACCTGTAAATGTTACCTTCTTTGAGAAAAGGGTCTTTGCAGATGGAATGAACTTAAAGATCTTGAGATAAAGACATCATCTTAGATCATCTGGCAGGCAAAGTCCAGTGACAAGTGTCCTTATAAGAAGAGAAGGGCAGAGGGAGATTTGAGACAGACAGAGAGGAAACACGACACACAGAGGAGAAGGCACGGCAAAGATGGAGGCAGAGACTGGAGCAATGGGGCCACGAGCCAAGGAGTGCCAAGGATTGCTGGAAGTCACCACGAGATAGGAGAGAGGCATGGAAGGGATTCACCTTTAGAGCCTCCAGAAGTAATCAACCCTGCCAGCACTTTGATTTTGGACTTCTAGCCTCCAGAACTCTGAGAGAATAACTTTCTATTGTTTTAAGACACTCTATTTGTGGTAATTTGTTACGGAAACCACAGGAAACAAATCTAGGAAGCCAGATAGCAAGGGGCCCAATACACCAAACTGAGGAGACTTAAGGGTTCCACTCTGAGGGGAACTGGGAGCTACTGGAAGGTTTTGATCAGAGTAGCGACATGAACCTGATTCTTGTTTTAAATAGTCAGTTAACTTATCCAGCATATAACCCTCCTCCCTCACACATTTTTCTGCCGGGTGATTGGATACATAATTGGCTAGACATGGCCAGAGGCCGTCTCAACTTTCAGTTCAATTTCATTCCTTCAAGGAAGCACTCCTTTGGATATTAAGCCTCTAAACTGGCTGTGTCCATTAGAACTGGATTTGGATGCATTTAAGAGAAAACCTGGCCAGGACCCGTGGCTCCCACCTGTAATCCAAGCACTGTGGGAGGCCAAGGAGGGCGGATCATCTGAGGTCAGGAGTTCAAGATCAGCCTGGCCAACATGGTAAAATTATGTCTCTACTAAAACTACAAAAAATTAGCCGGGCATGATGGCGGGCGCCTGTAGTCCCAGTTACTCAGGAGGCTGATGCAAGAGAATTGCTTGAACCCAGGAGGTGGAGGTTGTAGTGAGCCGAGATTGTGCCTCTGCACTGCAGCCTGGGCGACAGAGCAAGACTGTCTCAAGAAGGAAAAAAAAAGAGAAAACCTAATAGTAGTTTAAGTAGGAGAGAAGTTTATGTCTCTCTCAAGCAATAGAAACTCTGAGCTGGGCAGTCCAGGGTTAGAGTGTGGCTCCATAGGCATCATGGAATTAGAGTTCTTCTGGTTTTTCATCCTATTGTCTTTAGCATGCAGTTTTTAGCTTCAAGGTTGCCTTATGGTCCAAGAAGACAGCTGTAGTTCCAGCCATTATTTGAAAATTGCACAGTCAAGGAGAACAGAGGAGCAGAGCATACTGGTTACACCTCCAAGAAGAATAAAACCTTTCAAAACAGATTTCCTGGAAGGCACAGTCAGTTACTTCTGCTCACATCTTATTGGCCACCCTGTTTTAAAGGAAGAAGGGATATCACATGCCATCAAGAAAAAGTTATGAGAACCACCACTCAAGTTAACAGATAGAAAGAACATTTCCAGCATTCCAGAGGCCGCTTCCTTCCCTTCCTAAGTCACCACCTCTCTCCGCACCTCCACCAAGGTAACTATCAACTTAACTCTTACTGGAATTACACCTTTACTTTTCTTTAGAGTTTTATTACCTGAATATGTATGTATTTTTAAATATTAAGATTTAGGTTTGCTTATTTGTTTGGGCTTTACATAAATGGAATTATTTAACAATAATTTTTAAAGCTTGTGTATTGCAGAAAGGGGAGAGAAAGGATATTAGGTGGGCAACTAGTAATCTCCACTACATCAGCAGAACCCAGAGTTAAGGTTCTTTCAACCATTGGCTTCATTAATGTATCTTCATGATTTACCTGGATCCTGAGCAAAGCCAGTCTATTCCATGGCATAAGCCTCCCTTAGTATTCTAGGAGAAAGTATTACAATTGCTTATCACCATCTTCCTATCAATCTAGGAAGACCAAGTGTTTTTGGCCGTACTTCCTTGCTCATTGAAATTTTCAGTGTGCTACATCTAGTAATTGTTAATATGGTTTGGTGGAAGTCTGCCATCTTGTTATTTGTTTCCTACCAGTCCTATCTGTTTTTATTCTTTTGTTTAATCTTTTCCTATCTTCTTTGAGGTTAACTGAGTATTTTTAGTATTTTTTCTATTAGCTTTTGTTGCTTTTTATTATAATAAACAACACGTAATATGAAATTTACCATCATAACCATTTTTAAATGTACAGTTCAATAATGTTAGGTATATTCACATTGTTGTAAAACAGAAGATCTCCAGAAATATTTCCTCTTGAAAATCTGAAACTCTCTATACCCATTAAACAAATCTCTTCTGCTCCCTCCTCCAACCCCTAGTGGCTACCATTCTACTTTGTGTTTACATACATTTGGCTACTTTAGATAATGAATGTATGTGTAATTATACATTATCTGGCTTTTTGTGACTAGAGTATTTCACTTAACGTAATGTCTTCAAGGTTCATCCATGTTGAAATCGTATGATTTCTTTCTTTTTAAGGATGAATAATATTTCATGTATGTGTATATCACATTTTCTTTATCCATTCGTCAACGGAAATTAGTTGTTTCTATAGCTTGGCATTGTAATAATCTGCAATACCGCGATGCTCCCAAAATACCTGGGAGTGCAGATACTTCTTTGAGATTCTAATTTCAATTCTTCTGGATATATACCCAGGAGTAGGATCATTGTATCATATGGCAGTTCTATTCTCAATTTCTGAGGAACCTCTATAGTGATTCCGCGGCAGGCCAATAGCTTGAACCCTGGAGGTGGAGGTTGCAGTGAGCTGAGATTGGGCCACTGCGCTCCAGCCTGGGCAGCAGATTGAGACTCCATCTCAAAAAAAAAAAAAAAAAAAAAATTAATTACCTGGAACTGAACTAATAACGGATTATTATAGTTTTTACTGAAATATTGCGATTCTTTTTTATGTTTTGTTTTCCAGATTTAAGGGAACTTTTTGTAAAGCTATATATAGTTTACAACAATTTGGTAAATTATACTTTTGTAAATAAAATTAAAATATTTACATTTTTTTCTGCTGACCTGATCCCTCTAGAATTTGGAAACTATTGTTGAATATTCTTATTTTGTATGGCAGTATAATTATTTGCATAAGTTCAATAAGAATCTGTTCTTGCAACAGTACATAATTGGAAACACTGGTTATACTATCAAGGCTATGAGTGGAACGTCATGTTTTCTGACATGAGCAGCCATCTTTAAAGAACTAGGGTTGACTTTCTGCAGCCAATACATCCTTTGGGGGGTAAAAACTGGCCTGGTACCTTGAATAAACAGTTCACATAGTTGTCTCACACATAAGAAAGGAATCTCACTTCCTGGCAGGCCCAAGATCATCAGAATATTTTGGGGACCTTGAGGAAAAAGAACTTCACCTATATATCTGCAGGTATTTCAGGCAAAGTTTGATGGTGACTTCTCAGCTTGGCTTCTTAGCCTTGAGAGCCTTTTAAAAGTCCCATCTGAGATTCCTTATTAAAAGTTCCAGCAAAGCCGACTTAAAAGCACCTATTTAATTATCACTATTCTTGTTGCACTTATATAAATAAACAGGCCAAGTTTAATGAAACTATTTTTCTTACAAATAAACTGATCTTACTGTGATTATTTTTTGTAGAAATGGGGGTGACCAAAGAGAGAAATTTATGTTTCAGAAGAAAACTATAGTTCACCCATTATTAAATTCTAGCTCATTGTTTTTGAGCATCTGTAAACTGGATCCTGAAGTCTTCTAGGTTTCTCCAAAATCTGGCGCTGACTTTCCAAACTAACATTTTCAAGTTTCCTCCTGCTCTTCTGACATGGAATTACTGAAATTAAAACTGGCCTTTCCTGAAGCCCTGAAAGCTGAAGCTGGATGACTTACTATAGAATTCAGATAAGTCACCATAATAACTTATGTATAAACAACCTTCATGTCTGTTGGTGTATGCATTACTCAGAAAGTTCCCTGAAACACATCATGCAAACTGCAAACCAGGAAAACCTGTCAGATTGCCATTGCCAGTCTCCACTGGCGATGTCAGTCACAACAGCTTAATTCCAACTGAAGATGCTTCAAACCCAGCATCTAGAAATCTCAACTGGATGCCCTCCAGATTCAGAAACTAGTTTATAGACTGCTTCAAACATTAATCTTTATTTTTTTGTTTCCCTAGAAATGCATCGTATTCATACCTATTTCCTTGCACCATACAGGTGCCTAACTTTGATGGGAACTCATCTGCAACACCACCTCCTAAAATGAGGCCACAACTTTTTCATTGGACTGACCTATTCCCAGGTCCCTTACCACTCAGCTACTAAATCCATTTTTCTCTCGACACCCACCAACTCAGCTTTTAGTGTGTGAAACTTCTAGGGAAGTTTCAGACAAAGGAAATGGAAGAGTTTGGGAAATACCATCCCAAAATACAATGCTTTGGTATGTTGATTATTTTGAACTAAGGACATGAGGAAGGGTGGATGCAGGCAGAAGCTTTCTTGAGCTCCCCTTATCTGCCTAAAGATGAATCCTCCAAAGGGAACTCAGTTGTCATAAATCTCCTCCCCCAAAATCTTACCACCAGGGAAGATTAACTTGCACCAAAGGAGAGGAGGCTGGAGCTTGACACCATGTCCAGAGATACTATAACCTATTCTTCTGAGGGCTGCTCAGGGGCAACATTTATTACTTGAGAGACTTTTTATCTGCTTAACAAGATAATCTTTATTCACCATACGTTTCCTCCATTCATTCTTCCATAACTTGTGTCACCACCTTCCCCAGAAGCCTTAAGTCCCATTTCTTTCTGTAGCTCAGGGTGCTATATAAGCTTCAATCATCTGATCCTTCTTCAGGTCTCATATTTTTAAGACTCCTGTGTGTCATATGTAATTAAATATGATTTTTCTCTCATTAATCTGTCTCATGCTAATTTAATTATTAGCCCAGCCAAAGAATCAAAAAGTGTGAATGAAAGCCATTTTTCACTCCCCTACAACACCTTTGTCGAATATCAATTGAGTGTAAATGTGTTGGCTTATTTCTGGCCTCTCTATTCTGTTCCTTGGGTCTATGTGTCTGTTTTTATACCAGTACCATGCTGTTTTGATAGCTATAGCTTTGTAGTATGTTACAAAGTCAGATAGTATGATGCCTCCAGCTTCATTCTTTTTATTCAAGATTTCTTTAGTTATTCACAATTCTTTCTGGGTCCATACACATTTTAGGATTTTTTTTTTCTATTTCTGGGAAAAAATATCATTTGAGTTTTGATAGAGATTGCATTGACTCTGTAGATCGCTTTGGGTAATATGAACATCTTAACAATATAAATTATTCCAATCCATGAACATGGAATATCTTTCCATTTATTTGTGTATTATTCAATTTCTCTCATCAGTATATTGTCATTTCGGCATACAGATCTTCTACCTCTGTGGTTAGATTTATTTTCAAGTTTTTGTTTGTTTGTTTGTTTGTTTGTTTGTTTTTTGAGACAGAGATTTGCTTTTGTCACCCAGGCTAGAATGCAGTGGCACGATGCAACCTCCACCTCCCAGGTTCAAGTGATTCTCCTGCCTCAGCCTCCTGAGTAGCTGGAATTACAGGTGCTTGCCACCACACCTGGCTAATTTTTGTATTTTTAGTAGAGACGGGTTTTGCCATGTTGGCCAGGCTGGTCTCAAACTCCTGACCTCAAGTGATCTGCCCGCCTTGGCCTCCCAAAGTGCTGAGGTTACAGGTGTGAGCCACCACACCCAGCCTATTTTCAAGTATTTTGTTCCCTTTGATGCTATTGTAAATGAGACTGTTTTCTTATTTTTATTTTTGGACTGTTTATTGTTACTTTATAGAAACACAACTGATTTTTGGATGATTTTATATCTTGCAACTTATATGCTCTGTGTGTGTGTGTGTGTGTGTGTGTGTGTGTGTGTGTGATCTTTAGGAGTTTGTACATGTAAGATCATGTCATTGTCAAACAGAGATGGTTTTATTTTTTTATTTATAATTCTCTTGCCTAATTGTCTGGCTAGGACTTCCAGTATGTTGAATAGAAGTGTTTAGATCAAGCATCCATATCTTATTACTGCTCTTAGAGGAAAAGCTTTCAGCTTTCCACCACTGGGCGTGAAGTCAGCTGTGGGCTTTTCAAATATAGCCTTTATTATGTTGAGGTATTTTCCTCTTTCGCTACTGACCTTTTAGTCGAAAATCTTTGTATTTTTTTGTTGTTGTTTAGTAGTTACTCTGAGGATTACAATATGCATCCTTATTACAGTCTAGTTAGAATAAATATTCAATCACTTTACATTTTGCTCTTGACATCTGACTTTTCCCATTTCATAAATTTCAAGGAACTTCACAACAGCTTAATTCCATTCAAACATTCTACCCCTTTCATTTAGGCTGTTGTCTTTATATCCTTTAATTCTTCGTAAGTCATCACTCGCAGCATAGTGTTATTCTTTTTACTTTAAGCAGTTATTTTTAAGGACATTTATGAAAGAAAAACATAGTCTTTTATATGTACTCACATATTGATCATTTATGAATTTTTTTCCCTTCCTGTGTATATTAATTTTCATCTTGTGTTATTTCCTCTCAAAGGACATTCTTTAGTATTTTTTTGTGGTACAAGCCTGTTGGTAACTAATTCTCTCATCTTTTGTTTATCTAAAAATGTCCTTATGTCGTCTTAAATTTTAAATAATATTTTTCCAGATACAAGGAGGGTTGACATGGACCAACAAAAGGCCAGCAGGGCTGCAAAAGCTGGGATGAATTAATTAATAGGACCAACAAGGGTGGATGTTGGCCGACATGGGCTGACTTGGGACCTCACTCTCAAATTGCATTGATTCTACAGCTAGAAAGTAGAAGCTAGAGCTTTGTCACTTTTCAGAGGTGAAAACTGAAGCCCAGAAAGGCAATTTCTTCAGAATCACACAATTGCATCATACCAGGATCTTGACTCTGGAATCACGTTTTTTTTGTGTTTTTTGTTTGTTTATTTTGTTTTGTTTTGTTTTGTTTTTCTGAGACTCTTTCCCTTCCATCTCACCTGTCTCTCCATAAAGGGGAGGCACCAGGGTGCTGACTAATCTGGACAGCACATTTCCTGAGAGCTCATGCATGTCCCTAGAGAGACTTGCAGCAGCTTTAGGACAAAGGTTCTTTCAACTTCTGGAGTAAATTTTTCATATTTTGCATTATCTAAGTGAAACCCCTGTGGACAATGACTTTACAGTATTGCCAACCCTTGAAAACAAGTTGCAATAAGCACTTATAAGCATTAGGTACTGATAACCACTCCCAAGTGAAGACATCCAGATCATAGACACATAGGTTTTGGATCACAAGACTTTGGGCACTTAATGTTAACCACCTGTATGACATATGGCTTTTAACTATTGCTTTTTAGCTTTCATTTCCAATCTTTTCTAGGTTAGACGGTTCAAGACCTGGAGACTGGCTTTGAGCAACCCTAGGATTACCTTGGCTTGAATTCCATCCAATACGTCTCTTTCTTCATATATTGGTATGTATATTAGAGATTCATATTGGCAATCATTTATTGATCCAAAGCTTTAGAGACATTGTCTAAACATGGTCATAACACAATATGATCATAAACATTATCATAAAACAATGATGACCCCACCCCAGATACATCACAACAATCTTTGTGGAGCCTTGGGAGCCTCTGGGGACCTGTGAACACGCTAATCTGAAGCAAGTTACTTCTGAGTTGACACCCACAACAGCTCAATGAGGCACTCAGGGAGCCATATTTTGAGTGTACCCTTGTTAGTAGTGGAGAAAAGTGGAAGTCCCTCTTATATTCATCTTTAACATTTGGAGTGCTTAACCTCTCCCAAAGTGAGCTCAGAAGCCATCCCAAAGTGAGCTCAGAGGCCATCCCAAAGTAAATCACTTGGACTTGCACTGTGACTCCAGCTTCGCAGTCCAGACAATCCCTGAGCCTCTCAGGAACTCACAGAGCACAGCTATCTGGGCCTCCTACCTCCATGGGCCCTCACCAGGGGAAGAAGTTCTCCTTCTAGCACATGTGATGTTCAGTGTCTAGGAGGCCCATCAACCCATCAGGCTGCATCTGCCTTTTCCCCTCCCCTCCCCTCCCTTCTCCTTCCCTTCCCTTCCCTCTCCTCCCTTTCCCTTCCCTTCTCTTCTCTTCTTCCCTTCCCTCCCTTTCCCTTCTTCCCATCCCTCCCTTTCCCTTCTTCCCATCCCTCCCTTTCCCTTCTTCCCATCTCTTCTCTTCCCTTCTTCCCTTTTCTTCCCTTCTTCCCTTTTTCCTTTCCCTTCCCTTCCCTCCCCTCCCTTCCATTCCCCTCACCTTCCCTTTCCTTCTCTTCTTCCCTTCTTCCCTTCCTTTCCCTTCCCTTCCCTTCCCTCCCCTCCCCTCCCTTCCCCGCCCCTTTCCTTCCCTTCTCTTCTTCGCTTTTCTTCCCTTCTTCTCTTCCCTTCCCTTCTTCCCTTCTATTCTTTTTTTTCCTTCCCTTCCCCTTCCCCTTTCCCTTTCCTTTCCCTTCTTTCCCTCCCTTCCCTTCCCCTCCCCTTCCCTTCCCTTCCCTTCCCTTCTTCGCTTTTCTTCCCTTCTTCTCTTCCTTTCCCTTCTTCCCTTCTATTCTTTTTTCCTCCTTCCCTTCCCCTTCCCCTTACCCTTTCCCTTCCCTTCCTTTCCCTCCCTTCCCTTCCCCTCCCCTTCCCTTCCCTTCCCTTCTTCGCTTTTCTTCCCTTTTTCTCTTCCTTTCCCTTCTTCCCTTCTATTCTTTTTTTCCTCCTTCCCTTCCCCTTTCCCTTTCCCTTCCCTTCCTTTCCCTCCCTTCCCTTTCCTCCCCTTCCTTCCCCTCCCCTTTCCTTCCCTTCCTCCCTTTTCTTCCTTTCTTCTCTTCCCTTCTGTTCTCTTTCCTTCTTCCCTTTTCTTCCCTTCCCTTTCTTTCTCTTTCTCCCTTCCTTCGTTTACTTTTCTTTCTTTCCTTTTTCTTTCTTTCTTCCTTCCTTTCCTCTTTCTTCTCTCTTTTCTTTTTCTCTGTTTATAGCAACAATACCACACAGCTCAAAGAAAAAAGAATAACATTGTTTTCAAAGTAACAACCTTTTAGGATAAACTCCCCTTTTCCTTATTTTTTAATAAGAAAAAAATTTAAATTTAATTATAAAAAGCATTACCTCTTATTGGAAAAAAGAATTCTGATCCTTGGCCAAGTCCCCTGAGAGGGGAGTGGTAATTTGGCCAATGTGTTTCTCTTTTGCAGCATAATTTAAAAAGTGACATGGTGATCCTGTGTTTGGGCTTGACTCAAATACAACAGAAAAAGAGAAGGAGAAAAGACACAAGCAGAGGGCAGAGGTGGAAGAGGGATTTTGGGGTTGACTGAGAGTGGCTGGTGTGGCTGGTGTCTATCTTCCTTCCCTGGAAAGTTTGCCCAGAGCCTGCAAGTTTCCTCAGGAGACAAGCAATGTTATAATGCGAATAACATCTAACATTTGTTCAACACTTGCTATGGACCATGCATGTTTTATGTCTTTTTTTTTTTGAGGCAGGGCCTCACTCTGTTGCCCAGCCTGGAGTGCAGTGATACAATCACAGCTTACTGCAGATATGACCACCTGTGCTCACACAATCCTCCCACCTCAGCCTCCTGTGTAGCTGGGACCAGGCACGTGCCGCCAGGCCCAGCTAATTTTTTAATTTTTTATAGAGATGGGGTCTTGCTGTGTTGCCCAGGCTGGTCTCAAGCTCCTGGCCTCAAGCAATCCTTCCACCTTGGCCTCCCAAAGTGGGCCACTGCACTCAGCCATGTTTTATAAGCCTTCACATGAATTGTGTTGTTTAATTTTATGTAGCATGACGGAGCCACTCTAGGGAACCCCTGGACTCTGGGTACTTTGTGCTAACTCTGTCTGCTCCCCAGCTCACATCTGCCTCCCTGTCACTAACCTCCTCCTATTTTCCACTCCGCCTAGTCTTCTCGGTCCCAAAGCCTGCATGGTAATTTCTAGCTCTGCTTTTCCATCTCAAGCTCTCAATCTCCAGCTCTCTATTTCATTTCCATCCTCCTGGGGCAATGCTGCTTCAGACCATTCTGCCAGTAATGATTTCCCATTGTCCAACTCTGGAAGCTTCTCATTGGCTCTAGGGCTCTTCTACGAACCACCTCCTCCTATGGGCACCAGCAGCTAAATCACATTTGAAAAATAAAATAATAACAAATAATAACACTGCATATAAAAACATAAGTGGCCAAGACATAGACAAATAACTTTTTTAAGTGCTGTGTCTACAGAGACACAGCTGGGAAGTTTACAAATGGGCCCACCGAAACGTATTGTTTCCTGTTTATGCACTGAGTCCAGAGGTTTGCGTTACTAAATTCTAAGTGAAAAAGAGTTTAAATGAGGCCATGATGTGGGATAACAGCAAATTAAAATCTTGCCCTTTTCCTTGGTTCCTCCCTTTGGTTAGCTCAACTGCAAAGTTAGTGTTGACTTTGTCATCTTCTAAAATTCCACCTCTGTGGGTGCTTGTATTTCTGGAACGTTCACCAAAAATAATAAGTTTGAACTCTCTCCCCTGGTGTTAATTCTGGGTTGTTTGGAACCCAGTTTATCTGAAGGAGTCGGTCTCTGGACTTTCTAGTAAAGGGTGAGCATAGATGTGTGGAAAAGGGGGTGCTGTTCCTTTAAATTCTGCAAGTGAACTTGACTCAGGAAGGCCAGCGGCTCAAGGTCCAGCCCCTGGAAGAGAGAATAGCTACAGATTCTCCATCCTCAGTCTTTGCAAGGCGACAGCTGTGCCAGCCGGGCTCTGGCAGGCTCCTGGCAGCATGGCAGTGAAGCTTGGGACCCTCCTGCTGGCCCTTGCCCTGGGCCTGGCCCAGCCAGCCTCTGCCCGCCGGAAGCTGCTGGTGTTTCTGCTGGATGGTTTTCGCTCAGACTACATCAGTGATGAGGCGCTGGAGTCATTGCCTGGTTTCAAAGAGATTGTGAGCAGGGGAGTAAAAGTGGATTACTTGACTCCAGACTTCCCTAGTCTCTCGTATCCCAATTATTATACCCTAATGACTGGTGAGTACCATGTCCTCTTCTGGGCAGGGAGGGGAGGGCTGGCATCCAGCAGGGAACAGTGAGCTCCTGGCATTGGAGTCTTATTTAAATGCTCTGGATTCTCTAGTCCTTTGGGACATCAAAGGTAGATAAAAAAAATCTGTGTTCTTGGCTGAGAAGACTTTTGTTTTCGTGGCGGTATTGTTTCCCAAAAGTTATCCCAAGGACCTGTTTTGGATTCTCAGTGCGGAGGACAGAGAACTATAGCAGTACATGATATTTGACGATATTAAAAGTGGTCGTTTATTTTAGAAAGAGAAATTCTAATGAGGCTCATATTTTCTAAGTTCAAGTCTGCAAAAGCAACAGGTGTCCGTGCATGTGTCCCAAACTCCTTCTGTCCCTTTTCTCTGTGGTCATGTCATCCTGGCACCCTGTGGGCTTGTTTCTCAGTGTGTTGGACTGTGAAAGTACCTGTGGGGTCCTCAGAGGGGAGTGGTGCTCCCGGATTACTTGGGGAAGGGGGGATGTTTAGGTCATATCCTTCCCTGTGACTTAGCAATGCCACCTTCCCCTTCTTTTGCCTTTTTGGCCAGGTAAAATGATACGGAGAAGAAAAAGCTTGTGTCGTTCAGGTTCCCCATTTGTGATTTGCAGCATCTACAAAAGACCAACCAGCAAAAACTCCACAAAACAAACAAAAACCTCGGCTAACCCAGACTGCCTGGGCTTGGGATAGCTGATTTTCCTAAGGACGGCCTTCATCTGAAATTGCCAGGACTCCAAACGCGACTGCATGAACCTGAGCCTCTATCCGTGCGATAATAGAATGTGCAGCCCTCTCTCTGCTCACAGAGTTGGATTCCCAGTTTCTGGTTTGTTTTTCAGCTATAACCTTTGTAAAGGCAGCGAGAGGCTCTCAGAAAGAATTTAGCAAACTATCCAGGGAGGCTGCTAAGAATGCACTGTTATTGCTGGTTATGCGGGACTCAGCTATGCACTCTGAGCACAGAGAGAGCTCTGCTAATTATGTTAACAGAAAGAAAATGAGATCTCTGATATCTCATGGACCTCCACAGAACACTAAAGCCAAAAGAGTCTAAAACAGACATTTATATCTCTGACTTTGTGCATAGATACTATATACACATGTACGGAAAAATGCCATAAACTGATGCCCCAAACTGAAGGGGAGAGATACTTCGGAGAAATAAAAATGAGGGCATGAGAGAGAGAAAAAAATCAGACTGCACACAAGCAAGGAAGTTATGTATTTGTTTTTTATTTCCCCCAGCAGACAAAAAAACAGTCTCTAAGATAAACAGAATTAACAAAATTCTCTGGCCCTCCCCTGGCATGTGTCTCCCCTTGCAGGGAAGCAGTTTGCAGGCTGCCGGCTCTCACATAGACGTGATTGTGTGGACAGCCGACTCCAGCTCTGTGCAGCGGCTTCACACACACAGCCCACCCCCACTCCAGCTGTCTTTCAGAGCCTTGCCAGGGGACCCAATTCATAAACTGCCACGCCACGTGCAGCTTCTGCAATCTTAGTGGAAAATGAACAAAATCCATCTTAGAAAGGACTCAAGTAAGTAAAAGGACCATTACAGACTCCACAGAGACACTAAGCCAATGACATGGCCTTTTGTTTGTCAGATCCACACTCCTGATATTGGCACAAGGAATAATTTGCACACAGCCTCCGTCATGCTGAGACACACCTTCTTTTCCGGCTGTGGGTGTTTTCCCTTGTGCTGTCCTGAGAGAAGGGCCCCTTCCTTTATGGGCAGCACAGGTCCCGTGAGTGTCTGACAAAGATCTCACCCTTGCTTTCAAACTGAGGCTGGCCCGAGGAAGCCACAGGTCTCCATATGTGTTAAGTCTCTGTATTTTCAGATGGCCAAATGTATTCACTGATGTGGAAGTCTGCTTGGTCTATATGTTTCATAGAAGCTACCCTGCACAAGGGAGGGATCTAGCAAGGCTCATGTTTCTGTACAAATGTCCTTGGGTATGATTTGTCTTGTACCTACTGGGCAGACTTGCAGACTTGAAGCAGAATTCGCAGGCTGGGAAATGCCAGGCCATGAACCTGGTATCACCTCCACTGTCTTGGAACTGACTCAGAGTTAAATTTAGACTATTTTCCCCAATACCCATACTTATTTTTCCACCTGATGCTGAAAACCTCCTCTTTTACTCATATAAAGAAGGATATAGCCATTGGGAATTGTAGCTAAACATATGGTTTGAGCATTTGAGCATTTTATGAACCAACAAAATTGCTATGCTAGATCTTTTTGGAAGCAAAAGATATGCTGTTTTAGGGTTCCTCAGCATTCACAAGAGAGGCTAAGCTCTCACTTCATTACCCGAATTATTGCTCAGAATACAGAAAGCCCTTGGTGTTCTTCCCTTTGCATAACGAGGAGTGATGAGTTGTTGGAAAGAATGCTGGCCCTTGAGCTGGGAGAACTTGCTTGGAGACTTCAGGCAAAATAAAATGAGATGAACTGCCGGGGCTGCATCAGGCCGGGATTTCAGGTGCTGCTGGATGCAGACATAGAACTAGGCAATGCATGGGGAATTTTATTTTATTTTATTTCACTTTAAATTCTGGGACACATGTGCAGAACGTGCAGTTTTGTTACAGAGGCATACATGTGCCATGGTGGTTTGCTGCACCTGTCAACTCGTCATCTAGATTTTAAGCCCTGCATGCGTTAGGTATTTGTCCTAATGCTCTCCCTCCCTGTGCCCCCGATCCTCCAACAGGGCCCAGTGTGTGATGTCCCCCTCCCTGTGTCCATGTGTTCTCATTGTTCAACTCCCACTTATGAGTGAGAACATGTGGTGTTTGATTTTCTGTCCCTGTGTTAGTTTGCTGAAAATGATGGCTTCTAGCTTCATCCATGTCTCTGCAAAGGACATGAACACATTCTTTTTTATGGCTGCATAGTATTCCATGGTGTATATGTGCCACATTTTCTTTATCCAGTCTATCATTGATGGGCATTTGGGTTGGTTCAAAGTCTTTGCTATTTGCACAGGTAATTTTAAAGTTAGGGCTGGACCCTCCTAGGAGGCCTTCGTGTAGAAAGTATGCAAATAGCGGAAACTCCCTTGAGACAGAGAATTTCACAGTGGATGGGGATGGGGAATCAACAGGCCTATTTGTGAGCAACCTTGAAACCATCTAGCCCAGTTGCTGCCATGAAGCCACCATGGCTGATTATTTATTTGCCTCAAAACATGTTTATATCAGGACAAAAGCAACCAAAATGCCAATCATGATCATGAAGATGAATCAAACAATTGAATGCCAGGAACATTGAATCTTTTTTCTTTTTTTTTTTATTATTATACTTTAAGTTTTAGGGTACATGTGCACATTGTGCAGGTTAGTTACATATGTATACATGTGCCATGCTGGTGCGCTGCACCCACTAACTCGTCATCTAGCATTAGGTATATCTCCCAATGCTATCCCTCCCGCCTCCCCCCACCCCACAACAGTCCCCAGAGTGTGATGTTCCCCTTCCTGTGTCCATGTGTTCTCATTGTTCAATTCCCACCTATGAGTGAGAATATGCGGTGTTTGGTTTTTTGTTCTTGCGATAGTTTACTGAGAATGATGATTTCCAATTTCATCCATGTCCCTACAAAGGACATGAACTCATCATTTTTTATGGCTGCATAGTATTCCATGGTGTATATGTGCCACATTTTCTTAATCCAGTCTATCATTGTTGGACATTTGGGTTGGTTCCAAGTCTTTGCTATTGTGAATAATGCCGCAATAAACATACGTGTGCATGTGTTTTTATAGCAGCATGATTTATAGTCCTTTGGATATATACCCAGTAATGGGATGGCTGGGTCAAATGGTATTTCCAGTTCTAGATCCCTGAGGAATTGCCACACTGACTTCCACAATGGTTGAACTAGTTTACAGTCCCACCAACAGTGTAAAAGTGTTCCTATTTCTCCACATCCTCTCCAGCACCTGTTGTTTCCTGAGTTTTTAATGATTGCCATTCTAACTGGTGTGAGATGGTATCTCATTGTGGTTTTGATTTGCATTTCTCTGATGGCCAGTGATGATGAGCATTTTTTCATGTGTTTTTTGGCCGCATAAATGTCTTCTTTTGAGAAGTGTCTGTTCATGTCCTTCGCCCACTTTTTGATGGGGTTGTTTGTTTTTTTCTTGTAAATTTGTTTGAGTTCATCGTAGATTCTGGATATTAGCCCTTTGTCAGATGAGTAGGTTGCGAAAATTTTCTCCCATTTTGTAGGTTGCCTGTTCACTCTGATGGTAGTTTCTTTTGCTGTGCAGAAGCTCTTCAGTTTAATTAGATCCCATTTGTCAATTTTGGCTTTGGTTGCCATTGCTTTTGGTGTTTTAGACATGAAGTCCTTGCCCATGCCTATGTCCTGAATGGCAATGCCTAGGTTTTCTTCTAGGGTTTTTATGGTTTTAGGTCTAACGTTTAAGTCTTTAATCCATCTTGAATTGATTTTTGTATAAGGTGTAAGGAAGGGATCCAGTTTCAGCTTTCTCCATATGGCTAGCCAGTTTTCCCAGCACCATTTATTAAATAGGGAATCCTTTCCCCATTGCTTGTTTTTCTCAGGTTTGTCAAAGATCAGATAGTTGTAGATATGCGGCGTTATTTCTGAGGGCTCTGTTTTGTTCCATTGATCGATATCTCTGTTTTGGTACCAGTACCATGCTGTTTTGGTTACTGTAGCCTTGTAGTATAGTTTGAAGTCAGGTAGTGTGATGCCTCCAGCTTTGTTCTTTTGGCTTAGGATTGACTTGGCGATACGGGCTCTTTTTTGATTCCATATGAACTTTAAAGTAGTTTTTTCCAATTCTGTGAAGAAAGGCATTGGTAGCTTGATGGGGATGGCATTGAATCTGTAAATTACCTTGGGCAGTATGGCCATTTTCATGATATTGATTCTTCTACCCATGAGCATGGAATGTTCTTCCATTTGTTTGTATCCTCTTTTATTTCGTTGACCAGTGGTTTGTAGTTCTCCTTGAAGAGGTCCTTCACATCCCTTGTAAGTGGGATTCCTAGGTATTTTATTCTCTTTGAAGCAATTGTGAATGGGAGTTCACTCATGATTTGGCTCTCTGTTTGTCTGTTGTTGGTGTATAAGAATGCTTGTGATTTTTGTACATTGATTTTGTATCCTGAGACTTTGCTGAAGTTGCTTATCAGCTTAAGGAGATTTTGGGCTGAGACAATGGGGTTTTCTAGATATACAATCATGTCATCTGCAAACAGGGACAATTTGACTTCCTCTTTTCCTAATTGAATACCCTTTATTTCCTTCTCCTGCCTAATTGCCCTGGCCAGAACTTCCAACACTGGGTTGAATAGGAGTGGTGAGAGAGGGCATCCCTGTCTTGTGCCAGTTTTCAAAGGGAATGCTTCCAGTTTTTGCCCATTCAGTATGATATTGGCTGTGGGTTTGTCATTGATAGCTCTTATTATTTTGAAATAAGTCCCATCAATACCTAATTTATTGAGAGTTTTTAGCATGAAGGGTTGTTGAATTTTGTCAAAGGCTTTTTCTGCATCTATTGAGATAATCATGTGGTTTTTGTCTTTGGCTCTGTTTATATGCTGGATTACATTTATTGATTTGCGTATATTGAACCAGCCTTGCATCCCAGGGATGAAGCCCACTTGATCATGGTGGATAAGCTTTTTGATGTGCTGCTGGATTCGTTTTGCCAGTATTTTATTGAGGATTTTTGCATCAATGTTCATGAAGGATATTGGTCTAAAATTCTCTTTTTTTGTTGTGTCTCTGCCTGGCTTTGGTATCAGAATGATGCTGGCCTCATAAAATGAGTTAGGGAGGATTCCCTCTTTTTCTATTGATTGGAATAGTTTCAGAAGGAATGGTACCAGTTCCTCCTTGTACCTCTGGTAGAATTCAGCTGTGAATCCGTCTGGTCCTGGACTCTTTTTAGTTGGTAAGCTATTGATTATTGCCACAATTTCAGATCCTGTTATTGGTCTATTCAGAGATTCAATTCCTTCCTGGTTTAGTCTTGGGAGAGTGTATGTGTCGAGGAATGTATCCATTTCTTCTAGATTTTCTAGTTTATTTGCGTAGAGGTGTTTGTAGTATTCTCTGATGGTAGTTTGTATTTCTGTGGGATCGGTGGTGATATCCCCCTTATCATTTTTTATTGCGTCTATTTGATTCTTCTCTCTTTTTTTCTTTATTAGTCTTGCTAGTGGTCTATCAATTTTGTTGATCCTTTCAAAAAACCAGCTCCTGGATTCATTGATTTTTTGAAGGGTTTTTTGTGTCTCTATTTTCTTCAGTTCTGCTCTGATTTTGGTTATTTCTTGCCTTCTGCTAGCTTTTGAATGTGTTTGCTCTTGCTTTTCTAGTTCTTTTAATTGTGATGTTAGGGTGTCAATTTTGGATCTTTCCTGCTTTCTCTTGTGGGCATTTAGTGCTATAAATTTCCCTCTACACACTGCTTTGAATGCATCCCAGAGATTCTGGTATGTTGTGTCTTTGTTCTCGTTGGTTTCAAAGAACATCTTTATTTCTGCCTTCATTTCGTTATGTACCCAGTAGTCATTCAGGAGCAGGTTGTTCAGTTTCCATGTAGTTGAGCAGTTTTGAGTGAGATTCTTAATCCTGAGTTCTAGTTTGATTGCACTGTGGTCTGAGAGATAGTTTATTATAATTTCTGTTCTTTTACATTTGCTGAGGACAGCTTTTCTTCCAAGTATGTGGTCAATTTTGGAATAGGTGTTGTGTGGTGCTGAAAAAAATGTATATTCTGTTGATTTGGGGTGGAGAGTTCCGTAGATGTCTATTAGGTCCGCTTGGTGCAGAGCTGAGTTCAATTCCTGGGTATCCTTGTTGACTTTCTGTCTCGTTGATCTGTCTAATGTTGACAGTGGGGTGTTAAAGTCTCCCATTATTAATGTGTGGGAGTCTAAGTCTCTTTGTAGGTCACTCAGGACTTGCTTTATGAATCTGGGTGCTCCTGTAGTGGGTGCATATATATTTAGGATAGTTAGCTCTTCTTGTTGAATTGATCCCTTTACCATTATGTAATGGCCTTCTTTGTCTCTTTTGATCTTTGTTGGTTTAAAGTCTGTTTTATCAGAGACTAGGATTGCAACCCCTGCCTTTTTTTGTTTTCCATTTGCTTGGTAGATCTTCCTCCATCCTTTTATTTTGAGCCTATGTGTGTCTCTGCACGTGAGATGGGTTTCCTGAATACAGCACACTGATGGGTCTTGACTCTTTATCCAATTTGCCAGTCTGTGTCTTTTAACTGGAGCATTTAGTCCATTTACATTTAAAGTTAATATTGTTATGTGTGAATTTGATCCTGTCATTATGATGTTAGCTGGTGATTTTGCTCGTTAGTTGATGCAGTTTCTTCCTAGTCTCGATGGTCTTTATACTTTGGCATGATTTTGCAGCGGGTGGTACCGGTTGTTCCTTTCCCTGTTTAGCGCTTCCTTCAGGAGCTCTTTTAGGACAGGCCTGGTGGTGACAAAATCTCTCAGCATTTGCTTGTCTGTAAAGTATTTTATTTCTCCTTCACTTATGAAGCTTAGTTTGGCTGGATATGAAATTCTGGGTTGAAAATTCTTTTCTTTAAGAATGTTGAATATTGGCCCCCACTCTCTTCTGGCTTGTAGGGTTTCTGCCGAGAGATCCACTGTTAGTCTGATGGGCTTCCCTTTGAGGGTAACCCGACCTTTCTCTCTGGCTGCCCTTAACATTTTTTCCTTCATTTCAACTTTGGTGAATCTGACAATTATGTGTCTTGGAGTTGCTCTTCTCGAGGGGTATCTTTGTGGCGTTCTCTGTATTTCCTGAATCTGAACGTTGGCCTGCCTTGCTAGATTGGGGAAGTTCTCCTGGATAATATCCTGCAGAGTGTTTTCCAACTTGGTTCCATTCTCCCCATCACTTTCAGGTACACAAATCAGATGTAGATTTGGTCTTTTCACATAGTCCCATATTTCTTGGAGGCTTTGCTCATTTCTTTTTATTCTTTTTTCTCTAAACTTCCCTTCTTGCTTCATTTCATTAATTTCATCTTCCATTGCTGATACCCTTTCTTCCAGTTGATTGCTTTGGCTCCTGAGGCTTCTGCATTCTTCACGTAGTTCTCGAGCCTTGGTTTTCAGCTCCATCAGCTCCTTTAAGCACTTCTCTGTATTGGTTATTCTAGTTATACATTCTTCTAAATTTTTTTCAAAGTTTTCAACTTCTTTGCCTTTGGTTTGAATGTCCTCCCGTAGCTCAGAGTAATTTGATCGTCTGAAGCCTTCTTCTCTCAGCTCGTCAAAGTCATTCTCCATCCAGCTTTGTTCCATTGCTGGTGAGGAGCTGCGTTCCTTTGGAAGAGGAGAGGCGCTCTGCTTTTTAGAGTTTCCAGTTTTTCTGTTCTGTTTTTTCCCCATCTTTGTGGTTTTATCTACTTTTGGTCTTTGATGACGGTGATGTACAGATGGGTTTTTGGTGTGGATGTCCTTTCTGTTTGTTAGTTTTCCTTCTAACAGACAGGACCCTCAGCTGCAGGTCTGTTGGAATACCCTGCCGTGTGAGGTGTCAGTGTGCTCCTGCTGGGGGGTGCCTCCCAGTTAGGCTGCTCGGGGGTCAGGGGTCAGGGACCCACTTGAGGAGGCAGTCTGCCCGTTCTCAGATCTCCAGCTGCGTGCTGGGAGAACCACTGCTCTCTTCAAAGCTGACAGGGACATTTAAGTCTGCAGAGGTTACTGCTGTCTTTTTGTTTGTCTGTGCCCTGCCCCCAGAGGTGGAGCTTACAGAGGCAGGCAGGCCTCCTTGAGCTGTGGTGGGCTCCACCCAGTTCGAGCTTCCCTGCTGCTTTGTTTACCTAAGCAAGCCTGGGCAATGGCGGGCGCCCCTCCCCCAGCCTCGCTGCCGCCTTGCAGTTTGATCTCAGACCGCTGTGCTAGCAATCAGCGAGACTCCGTGGGCGTAGGACCCTCCCAGCCAGGTGCGGGTTATAATCTCGTGGTCCGCCGTTTTTTAAGCCCGTCGGAAAAGCGCAGTATTTGGGTGGGAGTGACCCGATTTTCCAGATGCCATCCGTCACCCCTTTCTTTGACTCGGAAAGGGAACTCCCTGACCCCTTGTGCTTCCCAAGTGAGGCAATGCCTCGCCCCGCTTCGGCTCGCGCAGGGTGCGCGCACCCACTGACCTGCGCCCACTGTCTGGCACTCCCTAGTGAGATGAACCCAGTACCTCAGATGGAAATGCAGAAATCACCCATCTTCTGCATCGCTCACGCTGGGAGCTGTAGACCAGAGCTGTTCCTATTTGGCCATCTTGGCTCCTCCCACTGAATCTTAAAACAGGCCTTTCACCAGGGAGATTACATTCAAGCAGGGGAGGCAGAACACTCGCGAATGGGTGCCCACTAATATTCTAAAGTGTGTAGCAAGGTGTTGTGAGCCCAAATGTGTCCTCATCCTCCTGTCCCCCAGTTCAAGTTGGGTTTCCAGTACCTCAGAATGTAACCACATTTGGAGATAAGGTCTTTAAAGGTGACCAAGTTAAAACAAGGCCATTAGAGCGGGCTATTCCAATATGACAGTATAGGAAGGCGAAGAGACACAGGCATGCGCACGTGCAGAGAAAAGGCCATCTGAGGACACAGCAAGGCGGCCCTCGCAGGCGGTGGAGAGGGGCCCAGGAGACACCAATGCTGCTAACACCTTGCTCATGAACTGTGAACAAATAAGTTGCTGTTGTTGGAGCCACTCCATCTGTGGTACTTTATAATGGCAGCCCAAGCGAATGAATACACAGAGAATAGGGAGTAGGGCCCCAGCGTGCTGCAGAGGACCAGGGAGAGGAGGCGTTCCTTCCAGTTGGAGTAGTGTGAAAAAGCATTTTAAAGAGGAGAGATCTGAGCTGGAAGAAACAGCCACCGGCGTGGTGTGTGTCTCTACATCTTACTTTAGGCATAAGCTCTCTCTCTGAAGAGCGGTGTGTGGATCAACTAGTGAAAACACAACCACAGTTTAAATGCCCTTGGAATGCTTTCTGTTTTAGTGTATCTTACCGTGGATCTTTTCGTAAAGTTATTCTCCCTTTGGGGTAAATTCACATTTGACTGAAGTGGAGTTTAACATAAAGTCAAGGAAAGAAAGCAGTGATTTGTTCAATCCAGGTCATGGGTAAGAGGGAAATGCTGCATCTGTTTTGAGGCAGCGTAACTTAGCATCATTTTGCTAAGGCTAATGGTAACATTTGTTTGCAATTTTCAAACACTTCCGGTTAAGCAGTTGAGGAAAGTGGCCCAGAAACATTCTGAGTAGCGGGGAAGCCAGTCTAGAATTTTATCTTTACTGCCAGTAAACTACCAAGAGATGAACAGATGCTGAAATAAGTTTGTTCCACAGTATATTATTATTATTTCAACATTTAGACACTAGTAAATAAAGTGCAGGGAAATTCAATGTTTTGTTTCAGGCACCAAAGAACGTCGTGGCAGAGCTGAGATGGGGGAGCAGGCATCAGAGACCCCGTTCTCACACAGCAACTGGCCAGCGCCTAGGCGAGTAGGCATCAGAGGTCCCGTTCTCACACAGTAACTGGCCAGGGCCTAAGCCTGCATCTTAGAGTGGCCAGAAGGTTGTGCGAGTGACCTGAGACCCAAGGATAGAGATCTCCCCAAGACAGTCCGGGAAGCAGCGAGAGACCGAATCATCGTGCTCCTCTGTGGAAATCAAGGCAACAACAGGGATGTTAACTACTCAGCATTACTATTTGTGCCACGGCATTTTGTCTCGCACTCCTAGAAATCACCTGTGACACAAATTCTTACTAGATATCATGTTCTGGGGTAAAACAGCAGAGTAAGGTATACTTCCTACCACCCCACCTTTTAAGAAAACATCTGATTTAAATTAAAACTGGACCAAAGGCAATCAATGCAGAAAGTACTTGAACAATCGTGTTTCGAGAGAGCCCACATCCTCAGCCTTCTGCAGAATTCAAGCTTCCTGGCCGGGCGCGGTGGCTCACGCCTGTAATCCCAGCACTTTGGGAGGCCGAGACGGGCGGATCACGAGGTCAGGAGATCGAGACCATCCTGGCTAACACGGTGAAACCCCGTCTCTACTAAAAATACAAAAATTAGCCGGGCCTGGTGGCGCCCGCCTGTAGTCCCAGCTACTCGGGAGGCTGAGGCAGGAGAATGGCGGGAACCCGGGAGGCGGAGCTTGCAGTGAGCCGAGATCGCGCCACTGCACTCCAGCCTGGGCGACAGAGCGAGACTCCGTCTCAAAAAAAAAAAAAAAAAAAAAAAATTCAAGCTTCCTTTGAGGGGCTGTTCACAGACTCTGCATACGCACAGCTCCAGGTAGGGTGGAGACAGCCTCCCTGGTCCCCTCCGCCCTCCTTCCCCCAGGATTAGCATTTACATGGGGACATTGCCCCAGCTTGTGAGCCTCCTTCAATGTAGGTACCTCCTGAAATAAATGATCTCTGTTCGGCATGCCCTCTTCCTGTCTTCCTACTCTCTCTTGCACCAAATCCAGCGAAGCTTCTGTTTGGAACAGTGTCCTCCCGGGCGTCCTGGTCATTCCCAGCCTTAGTTCCCTGGCTGGGAGCTGCATCTGCCTGACGGCTCACAGGTCCCAGGACCCTGTCCTCTCTCAGTTTCCTTTTACTTTACTCACTCCTCCTTCATCCTTTCCCTTGGTTCCTCCTGATCTCCCTGACCTTCCTCTGTCTCACAGTGAAATCAGCTGACCTTTCAAGGTCGATCCTCAGCCTCTCCTCCCCCAACCTCCATTGCTGACCCCTGGCTGAAGCCACCACCCTGACTGCCTGGAGCCTCCTCTACTCCAGCTCCCTCTCGCTGCCTGCCCCACAACTAGAGCAGCCCTGTTTTGAAAGCAGTGCCTGCCCTACAACCAGAGCAGCCCTGGGAAAGCAGTCCTGATGACACCACTCCTCTGTTCAAACCCTCCAGCGGGTTCTGTTGTACCCCAAGTGGAATCTAACGCTCTTGCAGACCTGGCCCTATAGGTCACCCAGCCCCTTCGGGGCCTCGCTCCCACCACCCTTCTCTTCGCTTGCTTGTGTCCCGCTGGGCGTGCTTGAGCACGCTGCTCCTCCTGGCTGCTTCCCTTCTGCTTGTTCCCCAGAAAGGCCCAAGCTGGGCATCGCTGCATTCTTCAGATCTGCCCCACAAGGTCACCGTGGCGGATGCGTCTTCCCCAGCCACCCCACCAGCGCTCTCTCTCCCTCTTACTTTCTTTATTTTCCATCACGGCACCAGATTATTTATTTCTGTCTTCTCCAAATAAAACTTATTATAGTGGGCTGGGCACAGAGGCTGACACCTATAATCCCAGCACTTTGGGAGGCCGAGGCAGGTGGATCATTTGAGGTCAGGAGTTCGAGACCAGCCTGTCTAACACGGTGAAACCCTGTCTCTACTAAAAATACAAAAAAATTTAGCTGGTTGTAGTGGTGGGTGCCATAATCCCAGCTACTTGGGAGGCTGAGGCAGGAGAATCGCTTGAACCCAGGAGGAGGAGGTTGCAGTGAGCCAAGATGGTGCCACTGCACTCCAGCCTGGGCAACATGAGCGAAACTTCATCTCAAAAAAAAAATTACTATAGCGAAAAAGCATTATAATGATGATTAAGACATTCAGAGTTTCAGGGAAATGAATGATCACTTTGATGTTCGACACTTCTAAACTAATAAGGAGGAGAAAAAACTACAATCATGCTTTGCTCATATGAAAGCAATTTGCATTTAGTGAACTGATTACCCTTTACGTCTAGTAATCTTACATATCTCAAAATGTGTCTTTCAGTTTTGTTTTAAATTTTGATTATAAGGTTGGAGTCAGAAAGAGGCCTGGAAGGAGAGTCACCTCCAAGGAGAGCTGTGTCAAAGTAGGAGATGAAAGAGACTGGGGATGGTGGGAGAAAGTTTAACCAGGAACCAGTGGTCAGCACAGCCCAAGGGAGAGCCTCCTTGTAGTGAAGATCGCTGAAGTCGAGAAAGTGGAGCCAACAGCCACGCATGGAACCAGGCACATGATTCAGAACCAGCGTGGAACACTGTGAGGACGGTTCAGGCCTAGGTGCGAGTGGTCTGGCTGTCGGACCTAGGGACGCATGTGGCAGCTTAAAGGGACTTGCACGGCCACTCTTGTGTTTTCAGCCTCTGTCCCAGGCTGCTTAGGTGGCCAGGCTATGTATGCCAGCATCGCAAGGAGCTACTTAGATGTTTAAAAATATCAGGCCACGTTATGGGCTAATTTGTACACCCCCAAAACCCATGTGTTTATGCCCTGCCCCCTAATATCTCCGAATGTGACTGTATTTGAAGATAGGATCTTTAAAGAAGTAATTAAGGTAAAATGAGGTCACTAGGGTGGGCACTCATCCAGTATCGCTGGTATCTTTATAAGGAGAGGAGATTAGGACCCAGACGGGCACAGAGGGAAGACCACATATAGACACAGGGGGAAGGCGGCTGCCTGCAGACCAAGGAGAGAGGCCTCAGAAGAAATCAACCCTGATGACATCTTGATCTCAAACTCCCAGCCTCCAGAACTGTAAGAAACTAGATTTCTTTTGTTTAAGCCACCCAGCCTGTGTTACTTTGTCCTGACAGCCATTGGAAAGCAATATAAACGGGATCGTGACACTAGGCTGCTAATGGAAAAATGCAGGGTTTTTTTACACAGCCCACTTCCATGACCAAACCTACTCACTGAGAGTTTCTGGTGACTTCTGCCCTGAAATTGAGGCAGTCATGGTGTGTTAGCTTCCTAGAGCTGCTATAGCAAATTTGGATTCCCAAAGTCTGAAATCCAGGTGCGGGCAGGGCCGTGTTCTCTCTGAAGTCTCAAGGGGAGAACATGTTCTGCGCTTTCCCCTGCCTTCTGGTGTCACCAGCAATCCTCGGTATTCCTTGGCCGGTAGATACATCACTCCAACCTCTGCTTCCATTGTCACGGGGCATTCTCTGTGTTCCTCTGTGCTTCTCCTTCTTGTAAGGACACCAGCCATATTGAATTAGGGCCCACCTTAATGACATCATCTTAACTTGACTATGTCTGCAAAGGGCTTATTTCTAATAAGGTCACATTCACAGGTCCTGAGGCTGGGAACTTCAGTATATCTTCTTGGGGGCCACAAGTCAACCCATTACGCATGGTCCAGTGGAGAAAGTTACGGATTTAGCTGTCAAAGATCAAACTTAATCTATTCTGTCACTTTTTGACTTTCAGAATTTGAACAGCTTCTTTTGAGTGTTAATATTTTGTTTTGTTTTGTTTTAGAGACAGAGTCTCGTCCTATCATCCAGGCTGGAGTGCAGTGGCACGATCTCAGCTCACTGCAACCTCCGCTTCCCTGGTTCAAGCGATTCTCCTGCCTCAGCCTCCTGAGTAGCTGGGATTACAGGCACCTGCCCCCACACTTGGCTATTTTTTTTTTTTTGTATTTTTAGTAGAGATGGGGTTTCACCATGTTGGCCAAGCTGGTCTCAAACTCCTGACCTCAGGTGATCCACCTGCTTTGGCCTCCCAAAGTGCTGGGATTACAGGCATGAGCCATTGTGTCCAGTGAGTGTTAATATTTTATCAGTAGAATGTAGAAAGTAAATGTTACCCAATAGGCTTGCTGTGAGAACAGAATGAGCAAATATATGTGTAAACTCACCATTAGTAAGAGTGTACATATTACCCCCTTTATCAGTAAGGTGAGGCTGAGTTATGTTGTTGCAACAAGCAATTCCACACCACGTCTGTCTTAGAATAGCTCAGGTTTATTCCTCACTCATGTGCGTGGCCTTGAGGAATGACCTCCCCTCCGATTTCCTCTTCATTCTGGGACCCAGGCTGAAAAAAGCAACTTCTAAATGAGACATGCTGCTCTCATGGCAGAGGTAAAAGATAAAATAGAACATTGTGATCATGGATAGTTTGGGCAAAGGAGGAGAAGTGAGCGTGGTCAGGTCAGAAGGAGGGGTGCTGAGCCCATTTGCCATCTGGGTGTGGGTCGGGGGTTGCAGAGAATAGAGTGTGTCAAAAACGTGCAATTGATGAAAGTCTATGAAAGCCATACCAAAGGATAGTCCAACAGGCTCCTCCTCCCCTCCTGTTCCACTCCAGACTTCACCGCATCTATCCTTTATGATGGGCTGTAAGTGAGGGGGAGAGTTGAATTTGAAGGGCACCCATGAGGCAGAACTTGCTGATTGGCTGATGAGTGAATACGAAAGAAGAGCCTGAACAGATGCCACAGCTGCAAGATCTTCTGAAGTCTGAGTAAAGGGGCTCTCATTAGCACAGATGGGAAAGTTTGAAGGGCTATTAATCTCAGTGAGATTTATTTGGAAAAGTAATTTTCATCAAATTATATTTCAATTTGAGTAAGATATTCACTTGGCATTAGCCCTTTAGGGGATCAGAGACCATGTCTTAAAGGAGAGTTCAAGAAGCATGCAGAATACCACTGAGGCAAAGGAGAGAAATTGATCCTGTGGGTCCTAGTGGACCCCAGTAAATGGACTTCCTATCTCACTGCTTGCTACCCAGCTGGTAGAGAATATTTCTCACGGATGCACAGTTAAAATCTGTCTTCCCACCTGAATTAACTTTTGTCAACATTTTGTCATATACTTCCCAGAGACACCTAACAACATTTTTTCCACTTAAACTATACTCTCTGTAATGAGCCTCGATTAAGCTGCCTAAAGAAGCAGGCATGGTAGGCGAGGTGTCCAGCAATTGAAGCTAGAAGTGGGTAAGAGCACTACTAACCAGCCATGCCCTGAGGAAAAAAAAAAATGTGTTCTAAGAATTTACTAAAATAATGTCTCCCAGCACATCATTATTTAAGCTCCTATCAACAGACCTCTCTGCACTGAAGTGTCACTTTTCAAAAAGTATGTTTCTTTTGGCTTCCATGGTGACCAGAGGGTGTTCTGATTATATGGCATTCAGCTGCTGGAAACTTGCTCCATGAAGAAGGGAGTGGTTAGAGTAGGGGGCAAAGCTGTAAAATGTGGTGAAAGCTTTTGATTGTAATAACAGCAAAGGCGTTTCCAGAAGGCTTGTCCACGTGGAGCCACTGCGGTCTACACACCATGGCGATCTCACAACACCCCCCCGCCCCGCCTCCCTCACCCCAATGTTGATTGATAGGATCATGTGCCTCCTGCCAAGGCTTTGGGGATGGCTTGACCCCTGCAGCTCCAGTTCCTGCTCAGCATGAGTGCTGTGCCAAAAGTGGGTTAAAGGGCATTTCAGATTAATTTGGAGGGAGCCTGACTCAGCAGGTTAACATTCATCTCAGAGACACCTTCAGCAACACCTGCTCGAGTTTCAGAGCCCCTCTCCATGAATAGGTCCATTGTGTCCACACGATAACCAGGCAGAGACCTGGGGCAGAGCTGGGGGTCCTGGGGGCGCGCGTGCTGTGTTTGACTCTTGTTGGATACTTTGCTTGGTCTGAACCGACTCCCATCATCAGCCCTTTCGACAGCAAGGAGAGAAGATCCAGAAGGCAGATCATGGGAGGATGCGTGGGCCACCTTATTTAGACAAAGGGCTGTCGGGGCTGAGAGCAATGGAACTTTGGTCCAGGATACTGAAGATCTTTACTTCTTGATGAAGGAACTACCCAGGGCACCTTCAAGAGCACGTGCATGGGAGAATGTGTGTACATGTCTGCAGCAGAACAACCCAGGCTGAGTGCTAGGGACCAGGAGTGGGCTCCAGGTGTGCCAGGAGGCCAGGTCCCCCGGGAGTCACCTTTGGTGGTGAGCAGTCTCATCCACTCAACCTGGGTTGCCCAGCCGATTATCTGCACAGGGCAGGCTGCGAAGCAGTGTGGGCCACAGGGCAGGGAAAGGGGGCAGAGGAGCCGGCTTCTCCTGACTGCCACAGTCCGCAGGGACTTGGATACATTACATCATCTTCCTGGGCCTGCACTCTTGCTGTTTAGCGTGAGAAGACCAGACAAATGGAGCCCTGAGGTTGGTTGTGCATTTAGTGAGTGCGCAATTGATGTTAATTAGGTTCTGGCCAACTAGGTGTGCTAACCCCAACCGAAGCCAAAAAGGTTCACAGTGACTCGATAGCCAATTACATATGCTTGAATCCACCTTTTGTTGAGAGGCCTCCACGCACCACAGATCATGTAATTAACCAACACACAAGCAGTAATAACAGTGTGGTAAGGAAACGCGGCGATGGCTCGGGAGAGCAGCACACCAACAGATGTGCCGAGTGGGTCCGGACGTCCTTGGGACGCTGGTCAATGGGGTCCTCACCGCTTCTGGCATCAGATGCCAAAATTGGGAGAAGGCTTCAGAGCTCTCATGGGCAGAGGCTCTAAGGGTGTCTTGAACGAGGCCAGTTCTTGGCTGCTTTTATTGTCCTCCCAGATGAGTTTGCTCTCATCATCTAAGCCACCTTTCACTTTCTATTGGTCTGTTTCAGGGTTGGGTGGCACTGGGCAGCAGCAGGTGTCATCACTTCAGTCCATTGCATATGTGTATATCGCTTTGAGGAGGGAGACAGCTTCACAGTGGGCTTACTGATATTTGGCATGAGTGACTCCATTTTGAGACATTAGGAGCACAAATTATGATATCAGGGATGTGTGCTGGGAGTGTTCTAGGTGCTGGAAATACCATAGAGAGGTTCTTAGGGCCCACTGAGTGGGAGCAGACGGAAAGTGGGGGGACTGGGGTGGGCTCCCAGCGAGACGCTGTGTCCCTTGCCCTGTTTTATGATCACAGTAGCTCCAATTCGACCTGTTTTGTACATATGAAGAAAGTGCTCTATAGTTAATCCCACTGGACACTGATGGCCCCTAACAAGGACTGGCCTGAGGGAAGGGTGGACGGCAGCAGACAGAAGTCCTGTGTCTGTGGATGTCACGGTGGAGACACCCACAGAATTTGCCTAAGTGGCACCCAAGCCTTGGGCTCTCCTTCCAGGTTCTGAACACAAATCAATCACAGTAGCCCATCAGCTCTGCCGCATGTCTAGCTTTCCCTGAAAGATCCTCTGTGTGTCTAAGGATTTGGCTTTCACAGGTGGACTTGAGAAAACATTATTCTTTAAAGGTTGAAAGCAGCCACCGTACAGAAACGTAAATGTTTGGGAGAAAACCTCAAATATTGTGTTCTTCAGCCACTCACTAGCAGACCATGGGCCTAGCCTGGAACCTGCCCCCCAGCCCACTTCAACCCCTGCCTGGCAGCCCAGACTCCTGACAACAGCCCCCCAGCCCGTGAGATATCTCATCACAGAGCCCACCAAAGAGGGAAGATGGGTAACTTTGAGGCTGGGGCACGTCAAGGCATCAGGGAGCCTGAGAGAAGACGCCTCGGCTCCAGCAGCCCCTGGAAAATGCTGCCATGTCACTTAGCCTGAGACGTTCCAAGCAGCGTGATCTGTGTGTTGAGTAGCCAGTTATGTTAAAACCATTCATGCGTGTTCCCTTGGTCTCTGGTCACATATGCTTCGTGGCATGGAGGCGGCCTCTCTCCTTCTCTGTTCAGCCAGACTCTTCCCAGAGCCCCTGCAAGGAGACACAGCCATTCAGGTCATCAGGGCCCCAGCATAGGGTACTTGCCAGTTGGAGGGAAAACATACCTTTGAAGATGCCTAAGAAACCAGGAATCATGGTACCTATCTGGATGGCAACTGGACAGATGAGAGACAAGATGGGACACAGACATCTTGTTGCCTATGTTTTTGAACAATGTGGATTACTTACCTATTTGCAATATTAAGTGAAAAATTTGTATCAGATCTAATGAGACTTGCTCAACTCTAGTAGAACAAGCAGACATTTTGTTCAATATTGATTAAATCCCCATTTGTGATTTAGGGAAATACATTCACATTCAAAGAGTTTTGAAATACATGTTCCTCAATCTAGTGGACCTAAAGCAATGTTTTGTGCTTTGGTTTGGTTTTCTCAGTCTGCACTGCAGACTTGCAAACGGTGACCAGCCAGGGCTCAGGACACCCAAGCTTGAGGTTTTTGTCACTATCCTTCTCTCAGTGCCACCACCTCTGGGAGCTGCCACTGCCCCTCTGAGAAGCAGGACTAAAGGCCATCTATGAGACCTCCCCTAGTGTACAGCCTCGGAAGGGCTCCCATTTCGCAGGTGGGTCCCTGCAGGCAAGACCTGTCCTTGCAGTAATCCCCACTACTGTTGGTCTACACTCCCTCAGGGGCAGTGGAGTGTGGACCGTCTCCACGTTGGGGACCAGTGCTTACTCAGAGAAGACATTGATTTGTGTTTGTTGGACTGCACTGGCTCAGAGCCAGGGCCTGGGCTTTTCCCAGCTCTGTGGCAGAAGCCTTGGGTTCCCCATCTTTCTACAAGGCTCTGGAGTTTTGCTGCCAAGCCCCGTCTGTTGGCTGAGGTTGCACTCTTTTCTAACAAACTGCCCAGTGCATCATATGCCTGTTTTGATCTCACTGGCTTCTGGATTCTTCTGGCCAAGCTCCATGGGCCTCTAAGTCCTCTCCCCTCATCTTCATACTGGATGCCTCTCTCGCCCTTAAGGCCGACAGCAACACCACTGCTGTGTTCATCCTGTTGTCCTGGACTTCCCAGCACCCAGAGCTATCCCTGGTGTTCACTGGTCTCTGTGGGAGGATCTAATTCCAGGTTCCAGTTACTCCCAGTCTGGCCCATTCCCCTGCAGCTTAGCTGGCTGGCCTTGTCCCAAACCATGACATCCCTCCTTGCACATTTCTATGAGTGACTTTCATAGTCTATTTTAGCATGCATTTTTCTGTGTAAGATATAACACTAAAACTATATGAATGAGCTTGGGAATATGTAACAAAATCCACTACATCCCAATCCAAATTTCCCCCAAAGGCATTCAGAATTACAAAATGCCAAAAGCAGAGGATGACTTAGAGATGCTAGTGCATTTGTGTTATTGTGCAGGACACAGAGGCCAAAGATGCAGATCCGGAACCAGATAAAGGGAGAAAAACCACACCAAGTGCAGGTTTCCAAGCCGGGGCCAGCATCTGGCATCCCTTAGATGATCAGGGACGGAAGCCCAGGCATTCTCTTCCAGCCCCTCTCGCCATGTACCCAAGTTGCCCTTTTTGCCTGAGCTCTCGACCTTATTCTGAGTACTCTACTCTTTCAATGCTGAACTTCCCTGGGTTGCTTTTGCTTCTTTCTTCAGCCTCATTAACATCTCCCGGGAGGTACAATCTGAGATGGAGATGAGATTCAAAGCAGTGAGAGAGAGAGAGTGTGTGGTGCATGTGTAGATTTCATCAACAATTTGGCCCAGGGGGAGGTGGAGCCACGTAGAAGATTGTGGCTGGTTTCTGGACTCAGCTTGGCCATCCTCTCTATTTTCTAGTGCCGTGAATAATAACTGAAGACTGGCTGCTTACACCCTTTACATAATCCCATCAAGCTCTGATGGAACAGATAAGAAAAGCACATTCCAAGGAATTCACTCTCAGCCTGTGTCAACATGTATTATAACGTCCAGCTAAAAGCTAAAAGAATCTAATAAAAACAAAGAGACTTTACCCAATCCCCAACCACCTGTTTGCCTGTTCTTTTGAACTGACTGGCTAGCTGTGGGGGGGTCTTGAAAGTTGACCTCATGAGATTCCCTCAGGGGACATCAGACTGATCCCTAACCTTCAAACCAGAGGACCATCAGGGTTCTTGCAGCCAGTTGTGAGACGCCTGTTGGGATGGAATTTAAACCATGATCTCTTCACCTCTCCCTTTTCACCTCCTGGTTTTTGTTGGAGGCCTCTCTGGGAACTCTCAGTCCTTCTCTTTGTTGATACCATCTATTCTTTCTGTAAGAGCTTTACTCCCATCCTCTACCACACCCACAGCCCAAGCCCTGGCTTTCCTCCACCTGTCTTTCTCTTTCAAGCCAAAATAAGATGCCCTCCTTCCAAAAGGCTTTGACATGTAGATTGTAACATTTCAGAGATGGATGGTGCCTTGAGATCTTGTTATTTTCATCCACTTGCTAACTCCTTTTCCACTTACTGTCTGAACCACAGATTTTGGTAATTACACCAACATATAGTATTGACATACATAGTCATACATTGCATTCATACATGAATAATATCCATTCAAGAATATACTGAATTTCTACTTTGTAAGAGTTCTTAAGATGCCAGGACATGGCCTCTGTCCTGAACAAGCTTGAATAAAGTTGAAGCAATTAAATATGTGTCAAAATGAATATAATCGTCGTACAGGATAGAACAGGCACAGGGGAAGCACAGCTCATTTCTGAGAGTGTATGTGAAGAGGGAAGGTTCGCTGAGGCGACAGTTATTTGAGTAAAGCCTGAAGGATCCGGACAGCTTGAAACCTGGAGGAAGGGCCTCGTGGGTGAACAGCATGGCACAAGCCAAGGGGCAGAGATGGGGTGACAAGGAGCGTTTGAAGACCAGAGCTGGGCTTTGGGATGATGACTGTGACATCTCTGAGCAGGGCAAGTTTCAGGGCCAAGGGAGGCCACTCAAGTCTAAGTTGAAAATGATGGAGCCTGGGAGTTGAGTTCCCAGGGCCAGAATGAACCTCAGGTCAAGCAGTTGATCAGCTCTGTGGAGAAGGACCTGCAGGACCAGCTGGATGTGGAGGATTAGAGAGAAAGAAGTCTTGGGTCAGATGAGAGTCTAAGCTAAACCTAGGGGAAGATTAATAAATTACTCTGTGTGTACAGTGAATTCAAGTTCACAGACTTGGGTGTATAAGAAATACTGCATTTCTCAGTTTTTATTTAAATAAACCTAAATCTATCCATGATCCTTGAACACATTCATCTAAGTGAAATCAGCCAGAAACAAAAGGACAAATATTGTATGATTCCACTTATATCAGGTTACCTAGAGTGGTCAAATTCACAGAGACAGAGCGTAGAAGGCGAGTTGCCAGGGGCTGTGGGGACGGGGAATGGGAGTTAGTTTTAAGGGGTACAGAGTTTCCAGTTTAGGATAATAAGACATTCTGGAGCCAGACGTGGTGATGATTATACAGCAGTGTGAATGTACTTAATGCCACTGAAGTGTGCACTTAAAAATGGTTAATCATGTCCTTTGCAGGGACATGGATGAAGCTGGAGACCATTATTCTTAGCAAACTAATGCAAGAACAGAACACCAAATACCACATGTTGTCACTTATGAGTGGGAGCTGAATGATGAGAACACATGGACACATAGAGGGAAACAACACACACTGGGGCCTATCGGACAGCGGAGGGTGGGAGGAGGGAGAGGATCAGGAAAAATAACTATTGGGTACTAGACTTAATACCAGGGTGATGAAATAATCCGTACAACAAACCCACGTGACACAAGTTTGCTTAGGTAACAAACCTGCACTTGTACCCTTGAACTTAAAATAAAAGTTACAAAAAATCAATATACAAAAATAAATAAAAAATTAGAAATTAGAAATTTTTAAAAATGGTCCAAATGGTACATTTTTGTGTTACGTATATTTTACCATGATAAAAAAAATCTGACTCTGACTCCCAAGCCACTGGGCTTATCAGCATTTCAGTTTTGATCACTGCTGGTTAGGTGTGGGGCGTCTTTTTCCTGCTGAGGTCTAGGAAAGGTCCTTAGGTCATAGGCAGTCCCACGGAGTTGGGGCAGCAGCACTGGTCATTGCTCCATACTCGTTCCCACCAAACGCCCATGTGCCAGTCCATGTGTCTCCAGAGACCAGGTTCTGTGGCTTTGGGCTGGACAACCTTGTGCCATGACGCCAGCCTTCCCCATTGTATCTCACAGACATCAGTCCTCCCGTGTGGGTTCTGCCACCAAGCAGGGCGTGTCTCCTACACTCCCGGGACAGGTTGACTCCTTCTTTTTCCTCCCTGGTCTGGGAAGAAGACTTCTCACCAGGGCCACCCTCGCGGGTGGGACCTGTGCAGTCCCACAGGGGCTCTGTGCTTATTAGGACCCTGTGCTTGGTTTAATGCACTGTTGTCACTGTTTTGAAATTCTTAATAATTTGTGGATGAAGGATCTCACATTTTCATTCTTCACTAGGCCCTGCGAATTATGTAGCCTCTCTTGCCTTCTTGTCTTCTTGTCTTCTCTGAAAGGCATGTGGCTTTCTTTCCTCCCTGCCAGAAACATTGTCACGATGTGCTCAAATGCACTCAGGAGGGGTGCATCCAGCAGTCATCGTGACTGTTCGTTGCTCCAGAAACACAGGAAGATGAGGGGGAGCACGCAGGGAGAAACATGCTAATTAATGTGCAGTGAAACATCTCAGTACAGCATCTCAGTGAATCGTTTATATTCTCACACTGCGACGCTTGCGGGACATTCAGGTGGTGACTTCTTAGCAGCCGCGAAGGCCCGGAGATGCTGACCGAGGAGTGGGAAATCATCTGAGTAGATGAGGGACCATGATGGTAAGAAAGAGGAACCTCGGGGACCATGCTCACATTCAGTGGGCACAGTGTGGAAGAAGAGGTATCAAAGGAGACAAGGAAGAGGCAAAGAGCTATCAGGGACCGTGGCAACAGAGGCCAAAAATAGCATTAGGATCTCAGCAAGGCCAAAGCAATCAAGGAAAGGCAAAGCTTCTAATAGAAGAAAGTCAGTAGCATCAAACTGAACAATTAAAGAATATAAGAAATGAAAACACCCTTAGGTTAGGGGATTTGTACCTCAGCAGCAGAGTTTGCAAAACCCCTAGGGAGCTGGAAAGGAGGAAAAATGCTTTGTAGGTAAATTCTGCATTTGGAGCTTTGGAGGTTGGTATTTGCCTACATAGCTGGGAATCTGGAGAATGTAACCTAATTTCCATATGCTAATTAGATCCCATATATGGATCTATAGTGGTGATCTCAACTGATCTTTTAAAATGATTACTAATAGCTTTACTGAGGTATAATTTACATGTTATAAAATCTAGCCATTTTAAGAGTACAACCCAGTTATTTTTAGTATATTTACAGAGATGTGCAACCACTGCCACAGTATACTTTTATTTAGAATATTTTTATCACCCCAAAAGGAAACTTTGTGCCCTGCAGTTGCTTCCCATCCTCACCTCCAGCCCTAAGCAACCTCCAACTCTGCCTTTATAGATTTGCCTTTTCTGGACATTTCATACACATGGAATCATACAATATGTGTTCTGTTGGGTCTGGCTGCTTTCATTCAGTAACTCTAATGATTCTGAGGTTCGTTCATGTTGCATTAGTATGTTTCTCCTTTTATTGCCAACTATTGCACTGTGTGGATAGGCCACATTTTGCTTATTCATTCACCAATCGATGAACATTTGGGTTGTTTCCACTTTGTGGCCATTGTGAATAATACTGCTGTGAACATTTGTGCACAAGCCTTTGTGTGAATATATGTTGTCATTTCTCCTGAATAGATACGTAAGAGTGAAATTGTTGCATCATAGGATAATTCTGTGTTTAACATTTTGAGAAATTGCCAAACCATTTTTCAAAATGGCTGCACCATTTTACATTTTCACCAGCAATGTGTGAGGTTCTGACATCTCCACAACCTCACCAACACTTGTTATTATCTTTTTAAAATTAGAGCCACTCTGATAAAAGAGCCATTATTGTCTTTTTTATCAAAGCCATTCCAGGGTTATGAAGTGGCATTTCATGGTTGTTTTATTTGCATTTCCCTAAAAACTAATGATGTTGAGCATTTTCTTTTCATGTGCTTGTGGACTGTGTGATAATTTCTTTGGAGAAATGTTTATACAAATCCCTTTACTCATTTTAAAAATTAGATTGTCATTTTATTTTTAGTTGTAGGAGTTCTTTCTATATGCTAGATATAAATTCCTTATGGGATATATGATTGGCATGTATTTTTCTTCCAGGCTGTGAGTTGTCTTTTCACTTTCTTCATGGGATGTCTTGCTGTACAAAAGCATTTATTGTTGATGAAGTCCTATTTATCAACTTTTCCTTTTACGACTTGTACTTTTTGTGTCATAACTACAAAATAATTGCCTAACCCAACATCGTGATGATTTACTCCTATGTTTTCTTATAAGACAAAGAAAATTTCTAGCTCTTACATTTAAGTTTGTGACCCCTTTTGAATTAATGTTTATATACAGTGTGAGGTAGTTGTCCCCGCACTATTTGTGAAAAAGACTATTCCTTTTCCATTGACTATTTCTGACAGCTTTGTCAAAAATCAATTGATCATAAATATTAGAGATTATTCTTGGGCTCTCAATTTTATTCCAATAATCTCTTGATGTTTAGGTGTATCCTTATGGTGAGATCAGACTATCATGATTGCCACGCTTTGTAGAAAGTTTCAAAATCAGTATACATAAATCCTTTAATTTTGTTCTTTTTAAGATTGTTTTGGCTATTCCAAGTCACTTGTACTTTCATATTAAATTTGGGAAGAACATGTCAACTTTTGCCAAAGCCAGCTGGAATTTGGATAAGGATTGTGTTGAATCTGTAGTCCAACTTAGGTAGTATTGCCATCTTAACAATACTAAGTCTTCTGATCCATGAATATGGGCTGTCTTTCCATGTATTTGGGTTGTTGCAGTTTCCTTCAGCAATGCTTTGTAGCTTTCAGCGTACATTTGGTACTTCTTTTGCTAAATATTGCTAAATGTTTTATTTTTTTTGACGTTAATGTGAATGGAATTATCTTCAGAATTTTATTTTTGCAGTATATAAACTGTAATTATCTTCCTACCTTACTGAATTTGTTTATTAGTTAAAAGTTTTTTGTGTATTCCTGAGGATTTTCTGCATACAAGAATATACAAGATCATATTTTCTGCAGATAAAGGCAGTTACTTCTTCCTTTCTAATCTTGATGCCTTCAATTGATCTTTACAGTCACGTTAGGAGTTATGTACAGGCATTTTACAGATGAGAGAACTTTCATCTAGAGAAGTTAAGTGCCTTGCCTGAGGTCAACTAGTCAGGAAGTGAGTGGATCAGGACCAGAACAGAGGGCTTCTGCTTCCCCCTCCATCGCTCTGCGTTCTCAACACACTGCCTCCAGTTGGCAGAGTCAGGATCTGAGAAGACAATGGATGGCCTATCTCTGTAGCACTCCTATTGTCTTCCTTTATTACAAGTAGCCGGATTCAGTCAAGCAGGGAGCAGAACGTACATTTCCCAAATGTCTACCGTATTTTGTGCTATGCTCAGTGCTAGGTACGTTCAAACACTATTCCAATTAATCCTCATAAAACCCTATAAAGTAGTCACAATTGTTCCCATTTTACAAATGAGGAAACCAAGGCTCTGAGATATTAAATTACTTGTTCAAGATTACAGGGCCCATAAATGGAAGAACTATGAGTACAAAATCCTGTGCTCCCCACAACATCATGCTGCCTCTTCCTTCTGACTTCTAAGGAAGCAGCTCTCAGGGCCGCCATCCTGCATAGGCATCTACGTGTCTCTCCCTTAGACAGTGATCTTGTAGCTGCATATGCACGTGGCATACGCCTGCACACATAGACACCCATAGTACATGAGCCACTGCCTTTCCAGGCTTCCTTCAGACTAAGCAACCTCCTGGGTAACTATTTTTTAAACCCTCCTTTGTGTGTCTCAATGGACAATGTGAACAATAAGCGCTTCTGGGGTTGAGCATAAAAGAGAGGATTCAACATCAGACACTTAGCTACTTATCTCAAATGGTCAAGGCTGCACAGTTGTGAAAAATGGCTTAAACAGGCCTCTTTTGATAAGTCACATCTGGGATACTGCCCCAGACCACCAAGATGCAGCTCTGGACAAGTTGCTTCTGATTATACTTGGTTATGGGGACCTGGGAGGGCATGGTGGTCCCAATGAGGGCAGGGTCTGACTCACCCTACATCCCACTCAATGTGTCTCATGCTCCCTGACACTTAGTAAGCACTCTATAAATGCCTCCTTGTATATGTTTTAAAGTTTCTTGAAGCTGCTGTATCCTAAATAGTTAGCCAGCTTTCCTTTTTAGCTGTTCTCTTCCCCATCTCATTTCCACTCCAAACAGAAAAGAAATTCCTGCTGCCAATCTATCAAGGGTGATATGTTTAGTCTTAGAGCAGATGAAACATCCAAATGAAAATGAGGGAGATCAGCTCAGACATATCTCCCCGATTCTCTCTGCTCTCTTCTCCCCAGTGACAGTCCACACACAAACCAGGATAAGTTCTAGAAGCACAAAGCAGAAATGGAAGGAATTAAGTATTTTGCAAACTCTGTCAAATATTGTGAGGGGCAAGAAGGCACCATACTTAAACTCTATGGTTTACCTTTTCACTAAATTCCAGATCGGTGAGTAATCCAGTACTCTGGTGGTTTAAACAACTTCTTTTGTATTACCCAAGAGATATTAGGTTTGAGAGTTCAAGCCACTTATAACAGAGAGTCTGGAAAATTTCTCAGAGACGGCGGTTCCCTGAGGCGACATGGTGTGTGGTAGGTTTTCTATTTTAGCACCCCTGCTTCCAGGTGGTTTCATGGTCAGCAAGAGAATATGATTTTTAATAACATGAAATAAAAAGGCAATGCTTCTGCCAAAATGAGATTACCTTGTATTTTACTCAGCCATATTTTATATTTTCTCAGTTCTTTGCCAAATCCAACCACTTGTCTCCTCACACGAGTTCCCTTCCTTTTCATGCTCACATGCTGATCCTGGGCTCTGGCTGGCTCGCTCCTCTCCATCTCTTGGAGATATTCATGGGAGGAGAGTCAGGATGGACCAGAAGTGGGAGACACGGGTTCTACTCCGGGCTGTGGTGAGATCTAAACCTTGTGGCTTCAGACAAAGTCTCCTTGGGTTCAAGTTGCTTTTCTTTAAAAATGAGGACATTAAGGACTCCACGGAGTTTATTTGAACATTCCTGCAGGGTCCTCTCTTTCTTCTGCCCTTCTGGCCTCCTCTGGTCTGTTTCCTCATGAGGCTTCCTGACTTTGTCCGTGGAAAGGCAGGACTGTCATTGGTCATGAGCCCCGTTCACTGCCAGTGCTGCGGACTCAAACCGGAGCTTCAGCATTGCTTAGCACCGGAAGCCTGTCCATGCTTACCTTTACTTTTTAAAGCGTGAATTTAGTCTTTCTATACCCCTTTCCCTAGATGAGACTCAAAGTTATGATTTAAAAAGAGGGAAAGTGGCCTGATTTGAGGTAGGATTTGTGGGGTTAGAAATCTAGGCCAGGAATTTCTGTTGAAAATCACATCTTTCACTACCAGTTTCCCTGAGGGACAAAGTCTAATTCTTTTTGGGAACTATCTAATGGACACCATCCCCTCTGGTTTCAACACAGCACCCCTGACTCAGGAAACTGACAGGACTTCCTTTCCTTCCATGGCCAGGAAAGGAAGGCGGCTGAGAGGAGAAATCCCCTGGCATATACATGAGGAACTATTTATTATATCAACTCCAATCCACTTTCCCAGCACGGCCCAGCTCTCTTAGTGTGCAGAGCCACTCGGCTCCAAGCTGCAGCCCCAAAGCACTTGACAGACTTGAATGGTCACCCTGGTGGGTCACAGGTGGAAAGTCCAGGAAATTACATTTTCAAAGAATGGCAAATGCATCCACTTGCTTAATCACCTTATCTGTCATTTTGCTTCCTAGGAATCTTTCTAGATCTATTCAGGTTCAAGTCTAAGTGTTAATAGGGCCAGGGTTTGACTTCTTCATGGAAATCAGTACCTCCTCCGTCACATAAAATGCAAAGCTGGTCCTACCAGTAGGCCCAGGGGATTAACAATCAGTCTCTCATGTGTGAGCGTGAGACATCTTTATCTTGAATGAAGCCTCCCACATTTAATTGGCAATACATTTTCCTGAATCTTTTCTCAGAAGACTTGCTTCTCTCTCCAGCTAAACTGTTCATAAATCTGTAGCCCTCTGGAGCAATGTGGCATCGTCTCCCCACGTGGCTTCTGAACCAGCTTTCCCTCTCACGTGAGATGCCTGTGTGTGGTCTCATGGAGCTGATTCCTAGCAGCCATATGCAAACACAGCGTGGCAAGACTGTGACACAGCTTCAGGACAGAAGCTTTGAGTCGTGTGCCAACCCTTGACTCAAGCAGAGCGTGGGACCCCAGATCGTCAATTTGGGGGGATGGGGGTGAAAATGGCAGTTGGTGAAGAAATTACCTTCTTTGTTTGGAACAAAAACCTAGGACAATATTTTCTTTGGTTGAAGGAATTGGGTTAACAACATACATTGTAGGTCTTGGAATATACCCCACAGACGCCAACCTCCGTTGATGTTTTTCATAAAGAGAAACGACTGGGAAAGGCTTCAGGCACAACGGAAACTGACAGGACTTCTAGAATTGAAACATAAACATAAGGATGGAAACAAAACACCCCTGGGTTTGTTCAACCCATGGGCCATGTTATACTCTGTCCTGGAATGGTCTTCTGTAAGAGCATGCTACCATAAAGGTAACACACAGAAGCTGACTCCAAGAGGCCTGTGCTTCCATACATCATCTATCGTGACTCTAGCATCCAGTCATAAACCTTATTTTAATTAAAGAATGTATGCTCCAAGAGCAGGACTTGGTCTTGTTCTGCGCTGTATCCCCAGCTCCTGGACAGTCTGGTTTATTCTTCATTCATTCATTCTTCATTCAACAAAATATTTTCAGAGCTTGCTATGTGTAAATAATAGGTGTCTATTCATTCATTTATTCAAGAAGTATCTCTCACCTTCTATGGAGCCAGAGATACTCTTCTAGGCCCTGGAGATACAAATGAACAAAACAGGGCAAAGTTTCTACCCTCCTGAAATTTACATTCTTGTGAAATGTTGCAGACAAATAACACATATATAAACAATGTCAGGTGGTAATAAATTCTATGGAAAAAGTTAGACGAGGCACCAAGAATGACCACAGTGCCATTTTACCTAGGGTGGTCTGCAAATGTCTTTCTGATAAGATAAAATTTGAGCAGAGACCTGAGCAAGGCCCTGGAGCTGGCCTGTAGATATCCGAGAACAAAGCATTCCAGGCAGGGAACAGCGACAGCTCTGAGGCAGGTGCATGTTTGGGATATTGGAGGAAGCCAAGAGCCAGTGTAGCAAGAGCAAAAAAGGAGCAATGAGAGTGGCAGTGAGGTCTGAGCGGTGTGCAGTGGTGTGGTGGCCTTCACGCAGTACTGCCCAGATCTGCTGCAGGGAGCAGAGTCAACCAATGGTCCCAGCTGCTGCTCCTTTAAGTCCATCACCTTGGTGCCAAAGTTTCACTTCTCCCAAGCTGACCCTGACCAATGACCAAGCAAGGTCAGGCTCCTGGTGCAGGCCTTTTCCTCTAACAGGTGACCTTGGCCCAGCTTGAGGATTCCCAGCAATCTGGTCAAACCTCCTTAGATTTGCAGACATCCTTTCTACCCAGTCCTTTCCTTCCGCATCTCCTCTCACAGATGCCAGACCTTACAAATGGGAGATTTTACGGCCTGCTTCTGCTTCCTCCCCTCCCTCTGTGTGGAACGAGTGCTTTCTTAACACATTTCTCTTATGTTTAACCTTGTCTTGGCGTCTGCTTCTTGAAGAACCTGAATGGACAAGAGGCCGCGGCAGGTCCTGTAGGTCGTGGCGCAGACTTTGGATCTTATTCTGAGTGTGGGGCTCACCTTTGGAGGGTTCTGAGTAGGGGGGTAGTGTGATAAGACTTTCATTTTAGAAAGATCACTCTAGCACCGGGGCATGGAGAGCAATGGCCAGTGAGGCTGAGGGCGGAAGCAGAGAGGCCTGTAGGAGACTTCAGCCCAGGCCACGGCGGGGCAAATGCATGAACTGGGATTCCACTACTGATGTCATCCTCTACCCTTCCTGCTCTTCCTAAATTCACTCAAAACCTCCTAATGGCCAGACCCAATGGCATCTCTCAAGATCTCTCTGTGTATTTAACCTTTTGACCATTCCTGCCTCCTAGAAACTGTCTCTTTATTGGGGTCCAAGTTTTCTCCTTCCTCTCAACCTCACCTTCTAGAACCTCCCACTGACTTCTCTTTGCTGGCCCCTTTATATTGGAGCTCCTCAGAGCCTGGTCCTTATTTCTCTTTCTTTCTTGTTCTCTCTTCTCACCTTGTCGGTCTCATGCACATTTATTGTTAATTCCCATTTGCCACCACCCCGCCCCCAGAAAACTGCTAATCTACTTTGCGTCTTTTTAGCTTTGCCTTTTGTAGATATTTTATCAAAACAGAATCATTCAATCTGTGGTCTCTTGGGTCTTGATTCTTTTACTGAGCATACTGTTTTTGAGCTTCATTTTCATTCACACTGGAACATGTATCCATAGTTTTTTCCTTGTTTACAGCAGAATAGTATCCCATTGTATGGCTATTCCTCAAGTTTTTATAATAGAAAATTTCAAAGTACAAAAACATTGAAATAGTATTATGAATATCTATGTACGCTTTATCAAGTTTCTCAAATTGTTAAGGTTTGGCACATTTGCTTTATTTAATCACTGAGAAATATAGGTTTCTCTTTTGTTTCTGCTGGACCAGCTGAGGGTAAATTGCTAACACCTGACACTTCACCGCTAAATCCTTCAGCATGGGTAAGGGTAAGATATTCTCTACACAACCACAATGCTACCCAACAAATTTAACATTGATTCAACAAATCAACTAATTAGACTATTTTCCATATTTTCAGGTTTTCTCAATGGCCAAAAAAGAATCCCTTAGAACATTATTTGAAATCTAAAATCTAATCAAGTTTCAAGCAGTACGTTTGGTTGCCATGTTCCTTTGCTCTGCATTAAGAGAAATTGTTTTGCCTTTTTGTTTTGTATTTTGGTCCTTCATGATGTTGGCAATCCTAAAAATCCCAGCCAGTTGTCTTGTACAATATGCCACATTTTGGATTTGTCTGATTGTTTTTCTTCATGAATAGATTCAAGTTAAACCTTTTTTGTCAAGAATACTACAACTTTTTTGTTTTTAATCTAAATAAGGACAAGGTGTTCTGCAGGTTAAAGAGGGTGATGAGAGTGAAAGGACCTTGGGGTCTGGGCATGATTCTCGCAAAAGGACACGGCTCCTCCTCCCTGCTACCCCACACAGAGGCTGAGACCATGTGGCTCTAGAGCGCTGGCTGGGGTGTCCCCACAGGTTTGTGTTTTGAGGTTCACAGGGATGCGTTGTCCCTCATTTGGTTGTAGATGTTGCCCGTGGGATGTTGTTTCTGGTGTTTGTCTTTATGGGAGGGTGTGAATTTAGTGACATTCAAAACCTATGCAAATCAGGATGCTTTTCAGAACGCAAGAGGAGGTAAGAATCATGACAGGAGCAACCGGTGTAAACCAGGACTGTCCTGGGCAAACTCCACCCATGACCCTGTAGTTCTACTCCCGGCTACTCTGAAGACAGGGATGTTCTGTGTTCTCAATCCAGTTTAGTATACATTTAATACAATTTGACCTGCATTTGTAAAATATGCTATATTTACTTATCTCAGGATTCATACAATTCATCGGTTCAGAAAATTCTTTGATTATCTCTCATAATATTGTCCTACCTCTGTTGTCTCCAGTCTTCCTCCCAGCTGTCTCATTAGATGTGACGCAGCTCCTCTCCTCCCATTCCTCCTGTCTCGCAGCCTTTGTGTCAGCTCCCTAGGGCTGCTGTCACACACTCCACACGCTGGGTGGCTCAGACAACAGGAATCGACTGCCATGGTTCTCGAGGCAAGAAGTCCAAAATCAAGGGTTTTGCCTTCTCGGTGCTCCGAGGGAGAATCTGTTCTATGACTGTCCTCCAGCTGCTGGTGCCGCCAGAATTCCTTGGCCTTTTTGGGCCTGTGGACCCATCACTTCCACCTCTGCCTCTATTGACATGTGACTGTCTCCCTTCCTTATAAGACCTCTTGCCATTGGATGCAGGACCATTGGATCACCCAGGACGACCTCATCCTGAAACCCTTAACTTAGTGACATCTGCTAAGACCCTTCTTCCAAATGAGGTCACTTCCGCAGGTTCTGGGTAGACACAGGTTGTGGAGCCACGATTTGCTTTCCCTCATATTTTAATCTCTTTCCCACATATACTGAATTCTGCATTATTTTTTCAATTACATCTTCCAGTTCATTATTTTTTCAGCTGCATTGGTTCTGCTATTTAGCTTACTACCAAGTTTTAACATTATTATATTCTTAATATCCAAAAATCTATTTGATTCTTAATTCTACATGGTTATTTCTTAAAGTCTCTTGTTCCTTGCTAATTTTGATTCTATCTTTTATTTCTTTAAACACGTCATAAAGCTTGTCTTTTATTCTAAATATAATCATTCCAAACTTAAAGCTCTTGGTGCTAAATCTGTGGTTGTCGTTTCTGCTGACTCTCACAGTGACTGCGGTAGTTAAGATAAAACTTACCGCTGTTCACTCACACTCTAACATCTCAGTGGTTTAACATGCTAGAACTGTTTCCTCCCTCACATGATGTCCAGTTGGTGCATGGAGGTGGGGCTCGCTCCATGTAGTCATTCACAGACGCTGACGGATGAAGGCTGCACCATGTCCAACTTCCAGGATCGCCCTGAGCACCAACATCCTGCTGGTAGACAGGGAAAGGAAGGCTCTGGCAAATAGCAGGGGAAGCATCCATGGGCCAGGGCTAGAAATGGTGCATTTCACTTCTGCCTTCTTCCCATTGGCCTGAGTGCAGTTCAGGGCTTCACCTAGATGGAAATGTGGCTAGAAAATGCTTCTGCTGGTGAGGCAGTTGCCGAGTGTTTCCCAGCAACATCTGTTCACAGTGGAAGGACAGCAGAACACATTGGTTGAGAGCTAGCCACCTCTGCCATGTGACTTATTGATATGCATGTTTGGTAAAAAACTTTAGTTCATATATGATTGAACTTAGTCTGTGGGAAGCTTGGGGACTTAAATTGAAACTGTCCTGAAAAGAAGATATTCATTTGCTTTTCCAAGAAAGAAGGAACACCACTGACCTAGTGGGATCACTTGTGAGCTTGGCAATATTTTTAAAACTCTTGTGTGTGTGTGTGAATGTGTGTGTGTGTGTGTGTATACATGCATGTGCATGTGTGTTTTATCCAAGATCTAGTTAAATTGTAAAAGGAGAATTCTACCTACAGAATATCTAATCTCTCAGGCTCTACATCCATGTTCTTAACATACCTGTCAATGGTGGGAAGTGTCTACGCTTACAATATTCATGTTTAACCTACTCCATCAGCGGTGCAAAGGATGCCAATCTAAAATTAAAAGCTATTTACATATTTCTACATACTCAGTGTCTGCCTAATAGAATCAGATATCTGATTATGTTCTATTCATCTGATTATCTGGCTTAGAACTAATAGGAAGCATGAATCCTTCAGTGCAATAGCATATACAAATACGGCATGCACATCGTGCAGGCAAACATTGTGCTATGTTTCCATAGCACCTTTCTTCCAAAGAGCTCTCAAATATTTTCATATTTATAAACTCATTTATCCTTCAGATTTCATAATTTGTTGGAAAGAGATGAGATTCTATTTTATTTTATTTTATTAAATTCTAGGGTACTTGTGCAGGATGTGCAGGTTTGTTCCACAGGTAAACGTGTGCCATGGTGGTTGGCTGCACCTATCAACCCATCACCTAGGTATTAAGCCCAGCATGCATTAGCTATTTATCCTGATGCTCTCCCTCCCTCTACATTCCCCAACAGGCCCCAGTGTGTGTTGTTCCCCTCCCTGTGTCCATGTGTTGTCATTGTTCAGCTCCCACTTGTAAGTGAGAACATGTGGTGTTTGGTTTTCTGTCCTTGCATTTGTTTGCTGAGGATAATGGCTTCCAGCTTCATCCATGTCCCTGCAAAAGACAAAAATCTCATTCTTTTTTATGGTTGCATAGTATTCCATGGTGTATATGTACCATGTTTTCTTATCCAGTCTATCATTCATGGTCATTTGGGTTGATTCTCTGTCTTTGCTATTGTGAATAATGCAACGAACATCTGTATGCATGTTTCTTTATAATAGAATGATTTGTATTCTTTAGAATATATACCCAGTAATAGGAATCCTGGGTCAAATGGTATTTCTGATTCTAGGTCTTTGGAGAATCGCCACACTATCTTCCATGATGGTTGAACTAATTTACACTACCACCAACAGTGTGAAAGTATTCCTATTTCTCCAGAGCCTCCCCAGCATCTATTGTTTCTTAACTCCTAGTAATCGCCGTTCTGACTGGCATGAGATGGTATCTCATTGTGGTTTTGATTTGCATTTCTCTAATGATCAGTGATGTTGAGCTATTTCCCTTATGTTTGTTGGCTGCATGTATGTATTCTTTTGAGAAGTGTCTGTTTTTGTCCTTTGCCCACTTTTTAATGGGGTTGTTTTTTTTTTTCTTGTAGATTTGTTTAAGTTCCTTGTAGATTCTGGATATTAGATCTTTGTCTGATGGATAGATTGCAAAAATTTTCTCTTGTTCTGTAGTTTGTCTGTTCACTCTGATGACAAATTCTTTTGCTGTGCAAAAGCTCTTTAGTTAAATTAGGTCTCATTTGTCGATTTTTGCATTTGTTGCAATTGCTTTTGACGTTTTCATCATGAAATCTTTGCCCATGCCTATGTCCTGGGTGGTATTGCCTAGATTTTCTTCTAGGGTTTTTATAGTTTTAGGTTTTACATTTAAGTCTTTAATCCATCTTGAGTTAATTTTTGTATGAGGTGTAAGGAAGGGGTCCAGTTTTAATTTCCTGCATATGGCTAGCCAGTTCTCCCAGCACCATTTATTAAACCAGGAATCCTTTCCCCATTGCTTGTTTTTGTCAGGTTTGTCAAAGATCAGATGGTTGTAAATGTGCAGTCTCATTTCTGGGTTTCTATTCTGTTCCATTTGTCTATGTGTCTGTTTTGTATCAATATCATGCTGTTTTGGTTACTGTAGCCTTGTAGTATAGTTTGAAGTCAGGTAGCATGATGCCTCCAGCTTTGTTCTTTTTGCTTAGGATTGTCTTGGCTATTCAGGCTCTTTTTTGGTTCCATATGAATTTTAAAGTAGTTTTTTTCTAATTCTGTGAAGAATGTCAATGGTAGTTTAATGGGAATACCATTGAATCTATAAATTACTTCGGGCAGTATGGCCATTTTCACAATATTGGTTCTTCCTATCCATGAGCATGGAAGGTTTTTCCATTTGTTTGTGTCCTCTCTGATTTCCTTGAGCAGTGGTTTGTAGTTCTCTTTGAAGAAGTCCTTTACTTGCCTTGTTAGCTGTATTCCTAAGTATTTCATTCTCTTTGTAGCAATTGTGAATGGGAGTTCAGTCATGATTTGGCTCTCTGCTGGTCTATTGTTGATGTATAAGAATGCTTGTGATTTTTCCACATTGATTTTGTATCCTGAGATTTTGCTGAAGTTGCTTAACAGCTTCAGAAGCTTTGGGGCTCAGATGATGGGGTTTTCTAGATATAGGATCATGTCATCTGCAAGCAGAGACAGATTGATTTCCTCTCTTCTTATTTGAATACACTTTATTTCTTTCTCTTGCCTGATTGCCCAGGCCAGAACTTCCAATACTATGTTGACTAGGAATGGTGAGAGAGAACACCCTTGTCTTGTGCCAGTTTTCAAGGGGAATGCTTCCAGTTTTTGCCCATTCAGTATGATATTGGCTGTGCATTTGTCATAAATGGCTCTTATTATTCTGAGTATTTTCTATCAATACCTAGTTTATCGAGAGTTTTTAACATGAAGGAATGTTGAATTTTATCGAAGGCCTTTTCTGCGTCTATTGAGATAATCATGTGGTTTTTGTCATTAGTTCTGTTTATGTGATGAATTATATTTATTGATTTGTGTATGTTGAATCAGGCTTGTATCCCAGGGATGAAGCCAACTCCACTACGGTGGATAAGCTTTTTGATGTGCTGCTGAGTTCAGTTTGCCAGTATTTTATTGAGGATATTTGCATCTATGTTCATGAGGGATATTGGCCTGAAGTTTTCTTTTTTTTCTTGTATCTCTGCCAGGTTTTGGTATCAGGATGATGCTGGCCTCATAAAATGAGTTAGGGAGGAGTCACTCCTTTCCAATTGTTTGGAATAGTTTCTTGAGAAATGGTACCAGCTCCTCCTTGTTCCTCTGGTAGAATTCAACTGTAAATCTGTCTGGTCCTGGGCTTTTTTTGGTTGGTGGATTATTTATTACTGGCTCAATTTCAGAACTTTTTAATGGTCTCTTCAGGGATTCACCTTCTTTCTGGTTCAGTCTTGGGAGGATGTATGTGTCCAGGAATTTATCCATTTCTTCTAGATTTTCTAGTTTATTTGCATAGGGGTATTTATAGTATTCTCTGATGGTTGTATGTATTTCTGTAGTGATATCCCCTTTATAATTTTGTATTGTGTCTATTTGATTCTTCTTTCTTTTCTTCTTTATTAGTCTAGCTAGTGGTCTATTTTATTAATTTTGTCAAAAAAACAGCTCCTGGATTCGTTGATTTTTTGAAGGGATTTTCATGTCTCCATCTCCTTCCATTCTCCTCTGATCTTGGTTATTTCTTGTCTTCTGCTAGCTTTGGGGTTTGTTTACTCTTGGTTCTCTAGTCCTTCTAGTTGTGATGTTAGGTTGTTAACTTGAGATCTTTCTAGCTTTTCAATGTGGCCATTCAGTGCTATAAATTTCCCTCTTAACACTGCTTTAGCTGCATCCCAGAGATTCTGGTACATTGTCTCTTTGTTCTCATTGGTTTCAAAGAACTTCTTGATTTCTGCCTTAATTTCATGATTTACCCAGGAGTCATTCAGGAGCAGGTTGCTCAATTTCCATATAGTTGTGTGGTTTTGAGCGAGTTTCTTAATATTGAGTTCTAATTTGATTGTGCTGTTGTCTGAGAGACTGTGGTTTTTTTTGTTATTTCATTTCTTTTGCATTTGCTGAAAAGTGATTTACTTCCAATTATGTGATTGATTTTACAGTTAGTGACAAATATGGTGTTGAGAAGAATGTATATTCTGTTGTTTTTGAGTGGAAAGTTCTGTAGATATCTATCAGGTCCACTCGATCCAGGGCTGAGTTCAAGTCCTGAATATCTTTGTTAATTTTCTGTCTCAATATTGACAGTGGGGTGTTAAAGTCTCCCACTATTATTGTGTGGGAGTCTAAGTCTCTTTATAGGTCTCTAAAAACTTGTTTTATGAATCTGGGTACTACTGTATTGGGTGCATATATATTTAGGATAGCTAGCTCTTCTCGTTGAATTGAGACCTTTACCATTATATAATGCCCCTGTTTGTCTTTTTTGAACTTTGTTGGCTTAAAGCCTGTTTTGTCAGAAACTAGGATTGCAACCCCTGCTTTTTTCTGCTTTTCATTTGGTTGGTAAATTTTCCTCCATCTCTTTATTTTGAGCTTATGTGTATCTTTCCATGTGAGATAAGTCTCTTGAACACAACATGCCAATGGGTCTTGACTCTTTATTCAGCTTGCCATTCTATGTCTTTTAATTGGGACGTTTATCCCATTTACAGTTAAGGTTAATATTGTTATGTGTGAATTTGATCCTGTTATCATGATGCTAGCTGGTTATTTTGCAGACTTGTTGATGTAGTTGCTTCATAGTGTCATTGGTCTTTGTACTTCAGTCTGTTTTTGTAGTGGCTGGTAATGGTTTTTCCTTTCCATATTTGTGCTTCCTTCAGGAGCTCTTGCAACACAGACCTGGTGGTGATGAATTCCCTCAGCATTTGTTTGTCCAAACAGAATTTTATTTCTTCTTCACTTATGAAGCTTGGTTTGGCCAGATATGAAATTCTGGGTTTGAAATTCTTTTCTTTAAGAATGTTAAATATTGGCTCCCAGTCTCTTCTGGCTTGTAGGATTTCTGCTGAGAGGTCTGCTGTTAATCTGATGGGCTTCCCTTTGTAGGTGACCTGGACTTTCTCTCTAGCTGCCCTTAACACTTTTTCCTTCATTTTGACCTTGAAGAATCTGATGATTATGTGTCTTAGGGTTGGTTGATCTTCTCATGGAGTATCTTACTGGGGTTCCCTGGATTTCCTGAATTTGAATGCTGGCCTGACTTGCTAGGTTGGGGAAGTTTTCCTGGATGATATACTGAAATATGTTTTCCAGCTTGGTTCCATTCTCTTTGTCTCTTTCAGGTACCCCAATCAGTCATAGGTTTGGTCTTTTTACCTAATCCCATAGTTCTCAGAGGTTTTGCTCATTCCTTTTCATTCTTTTTTCTCTAATCTTGTTTTCCTGTCTTATTTCAGCAAGATAGTCTTCAAGTTCTGAAATTCTTTCTTCTGCTTGGTCTGCTTGGCTATTGATACTTGTGGTTGCATTGTGAAGTTCTTTTGTTGTATGTTCTAGCTCCATCAGGTCATTTATATTTCTCTCTAAAGTGGTTATTCTGGTTAACAGCTCCCGTAGTGTTTTATTATGATTCTTAGCTTCTTTGCATTGGGTTAGAACATGCTCCTTTAGCTCAGCAAAGTTTGTTATTACCCACCTTCTGAAGCCTACTTCTATCAGTTCATCCATCTCAGCTTCAGCCCAGTTCTGTGCCCTTGCTGGAGATATGTTGTGATCTTTTGGAGAAGACACTCTGGCTTTTTGAGTCTTCAGTGTTTTTTCATTGATTCTTTCTCATCTTCATGACTTTATCTGCCTTCAGTCTTTGAGGCTGCTGACATTTGGATGGAGTTTTTGTGGGGACTTTTTTGTTGATGCTGTTGTTGTTGCTTTCTGTTTATCTGTTTTTCTTTTAACAGTCAGGCCCCTCTTCTGTAGGGTTGCTAAGGTTTGCTAGGCATCCACTCCAGACTCCATTCGCTTGGGTTCCTCCCACACCTGGAGGTGTCACCAGTGGAGGCTGCAGAACAGCAAAGATGACTGCCTGCTCCTTCCTCTGGGAGCTCCATCCCAGAGAGGCACTGACCTGACGCCAGTGGGAATGCTCCTGTATAAGGTGTCTGGTGACCCCTGTTGGGAGGTCTCAACCGCTCAGGAGTCACAGGATCAGAGACCCGCTTAACAAAGCACTCTGGCTGCCCCTTGGTGGAGGGGGTGCACTGTGCTGGAAGGAATCCCACTCGTCTGGACTGCCCAGATTCCACGGAGCCAGCAGGGGAAAAGATCAAGTCTGCTGATCCATGGAGACTATGGCCACTCCATGCCCTAGGGGCTCCATCCCAAGGAAATCAGAGTTCTATCCCTAAACCCCTGCCTGGAGTTGCTGAAATTCCTGCGGGGAGGCCCCATCTGGTGAGGAGGGATGGGTCCAAGTTTGGCCTAAAGAGGTAGCCTGGCCATGATCTGCCACAGCCACTGTGCTGCGCTGTGGGGAGTTGTTCCTGAGTCCAAACCACCCAGTTTCCCTGGCACCAGCAGGGGAAATGGCAGACTGGGGCTACAGTGATGGTGGCAACCCCTCCCCCTGTGAACTCAGTAGTCTTAGGCAGTGTCTCCAGCCGAGTGGCCACTGAGAATCTGCACAGCTCTGTGCTTGGGACCCAAGGCCCTGGTGGCGTGGGTTCACAAGGGGATCTCCTGACCTGTAGGTTGTACAGATCCAGGGAAAACAAGTGGTTTCCCGCGCAGGGTAGCTCAATCACGAGGTGAGATTCTTTCAGCCCATTTCAGAGATTAAAAAACGGAGCTTCAGAAGGTTGTAGTTAGAGACAGAGTCTCACAAGGCCAAGGCCCAGGTTCCCACCTCCTGTCCACGTTTCTTCTGTATGAGCGCCTTCAGGGCCTGGGCTGCAAGATGACTTGCTGATAGTTCTCTCTTATGCTTTGATATTTTCATGGTCCTGTGCTAATTTCTCATGATTAAAATTCTTGTTATGTCACTTTCATAAAAGTTCAGTCAACTCTAGCAGGTTCTTCTACAGACCCCACCAGCATGAGAGTGCCTGAGGAGCCAACGTAGCTCGGTGGCCCCGTTCAGTTGGTGTTTAGGACTCGATCCTTAGCAATGCCTTCTCCCTCCTGCAGTTCAGTGCCGCAGGAGGTGTGCTCACTGCGGCCCACTGGAGATGCAATACGGCACACTGCTCAAAAGCCCTACCCCAAGTTGAATGGCCCACACTCACACCTCACCGCCCTCCCCAAGTCCCTGTGAGCAAGCCATTTAACACTTAACTTCTCACCGTTTCCATCTGCTTTCCTATTTAAGAAGAGGGTAATTATAGTGCCAACCTCACAGCGATGGTGTGAGGATTAAGCAAATAATGTTGGCAATGCACCTTGCATCCTATTTGGTATAGACTTAGTATTTGGTACCTGTTAGCTGTAACGATGAAGACGATGCTTGGAGAGGCCTTGATCTGTTGGCCAAAGGTGCTGCTTCTGAAGTTGGATTCCTAGCTCTACCACTTACCAACTACAAGACCTTGGGATATTGACTCAACCACTCCAACTCTCCGTTCAGTGGCAATAATAATGACACACAGCTTTTAAGATTATTTTGGGCTAGGCATGGTAGCTCACACCTGTAATCCCAGCATTTTGGGGAGGCTGAGGCAGGAGGATTGCTTGAGGCCAGGAGTGTGAGATCAGCCTGGGCAACATAGTGAGACCTCCATCTGTACAAAGAAAAAAAAAAGGATTATTTTGTACTATTTTTTACACAACACCTTTTCTCTCCTCCAACCTCCTTCTCCCTTCGTAAACACGTGCCACTTTTGTGGACATCTGACCCGGTGCACCTAGCAGGCCAAGACGTTATGTGGGGTGATGGTTCATAGCAGATCTGGCCAGGTCCTCTAATGGCCAGGCTCTCTTCTCATATGCCACACTGCTGTTTCCCTCTACCTTTGGGGTAGAATAAAGAACACGCTTGGTGTAAGTGGGACTCCTGTTTCTCAATACTCCAGAACAAGATCTCATCACAAACTTTCCAGTTGTTGATGGTATTTCCATTTGGGGAGACTGCCTAGTTTCTGGCCCACAGGTTCACAACATATAGATTTCTGTGCCTAGTGATGGCTGTGCTTCTTCCCAAAGGTGATAAAATGCCCCCACTCTGCGGTGGTAGCCCCAGACGAAGAGCTTTTCTGCCATAGAATCTGCCATGACATCAACTCATAGTGGTGTAGAAGAGAAGAGAGCAGGGAAGGTATGCTCTCTCCATTAATGAAAACAATGGCTGCCTTTCATTCAGTGATTATTATGTGATTCAGTTACATGAATTATCTGTCTAATCATCCCTCTAAGAGGGAAAAAATCATGTGATTTATGGCCCTGTACTGATTTTTAAGGGGAGCGGATCTTGGCTTGCTGAAGCAGGGAGATGTGTATGGGCTTGCTGGTTGGGAAACTGGGACTGGAAATGAGCTGAGGCCTCTACCAGAGAAGAGAGAGAAACCGAGAGTTCCGGGCGGCGGAGGAGAGGAGATGGACCTGGAGGTGAGGGAGTGAGGACACAAGGTGGGGCACTGGGCAAGGAGGGAGAGCGGGGTCAGGTCCTGGGAGCCAAGAGGAGAGACGGGGATACTACATCGAGTGGGGTCTTCCTGTCAGTGCTGAGCCCAGCGCCTTGTTAGGAATCTCACTGATGCTTTTGTGTGAGTCAATTATTTCCAGTCAGTAAATAGAAGTGAAAATTTCGGCTTCAAAGCTGTTGCAGAGTGAAAACAAGAGACAGTAAGCAGGGTTAGCAGATGCATGAATTCCATCTCCCACATTTTAAGATAAAGAAACTGGGAGTCCCCAAGGTGGCCATTGGGTCATTGAAGTTTGGTGCGGGCTTCCACTGACTTTCAGGCTTGTATATTTACACACTTTGCTAAATCGTGCAACGTCTCTGAACATGGGCCATCAAACTCAAGTACACAGACCTTATTTAGAAGTAATATCGTAAGATACTTTTGGGGTACAAATTAGACGTAGATTAGTTCCAATCCTGGTTCTGACACATACTGGCAGGGTACATTTGGAGAGTTTACTTCACCTGTCTGAGTCTCGGTTTTCCCTTAGGTAAAACATCTGCTTCAGAAGGTCAATGGGAGGATACCATGAGGTCATTCTGGAACCCTCACAGCACAGTGCTCACAGAGAGTAGATGTTTCCATTCTTACAAGGCTGTCATTGGTTATTGTTACATATGTTGCAGGTGATAGTATCTTGTCTATTTCACTAGCCTGGCATGGGATTAAAGCACCAAGATCTCATCTCTCCTTCTGTCATTGATTGGTTGGTTCACTGATGCCCCCACTTATTTCAAAAAAAAACTATACTACTAAAAATACAAAAATTAGCCAGGCGTGGTGGCGGGCACCTGTAATCCCAGCTACTTGGGAGGCTGAGGCAGGAAAATCACTTGAACCTGGGAGGCAGAGGTTGCAGTGAGCCGAGATCGCACCACTGCTCTCCAGCCTCGGTGACAGAGTGAGATTCCGTCTCGGAAAAAAAAAAAAAAAAAAGGATTTGGGACCTCTTCTAAGAGCTTGCTTTTTCACTATTTAGTAAAGCTGTGGCATCGGATCGTGCCTCTTCCGGCCTCATTTCTTCTCATTTCTAACTCAGTTAGCATTTCTCTAGAGTCTGAGACCCTCTCATCTCTTTCCTTCAGAGTTGTGGGAATTACGATCTGCAGTGTTCCCAGATGTGACCCACCAGGTGTCCCCCCGGGATGGATCTCCCACCCACCTCCTCACTCACTGTGGATCTGACCTGGCACTTCCACACTCAGCCTGTGGTGACGTGTTTCATTCTTCTCTTATGCCCAGGGCTGCATTGTAAAGCCCTTATGCACTAGAATCATGCCCTCCTATTCTCCGTACCTAACCTGTGCCTGGAAAACAACAGATACTCCAGAAATGGGTGGGTGTTTTAACCAGAATATCTCTAAGACCCTTTCAACTTGGACTCTGTAATTTGAAAGTAAGATTCCCACAGTGACCCTGCCAACACCTAAATGGAAAGACTATTTTCTCTTTCCTCAGACACTTTCAGACACTTCAAATTTAGCCACTTGGCTCTTTTGGGAGAATAGTAAACCCCAGAGCAAAATTCTGGGCACCAGCTACAAGTAGGCAAAAAATTTATTTCACAAAAACATTGCCCTTAGACCTTCTTGGTCGTCGAATTCAACCTTCTGCCTCAAGTAATTGTACCTGAACTACCTTAGAAAGATTGGAAAATGGAAACTTGCACCATTTATAATAGGTCAGGAATGAAGGGGGCAGAATTTAATACATCGTTTGTGTTTGGTTTTATGTTCAGATTGTTTCCAATATTGTGTTGAACATCCACATTCATGAATCCCACCTTTGATTTCTTTCTTTTGTTAGACTTCTTGAAGTGGAGTTACTGGGTCCAAGGCTCCAATGAACACTTTTAAAACCCTCGATAGGCCGGGCGCGGTGGTCCATGCCTGTAATCCCAGCACTTTGGGAGGCTGAGGGGGGTGGATCATTTGAGGTCAGGAGTTCGAGACAGCCTGGCCAACATGGTGGAACCCCGTCTCTACTAAAAATACAAAAAAATTAGCTGGGCATGGTGACGGGCGCCTGTAGACCCAGCCACTCAGGAGGCTGAGGCAGAGAATTGCTTGAACCCTGGTGGCGGAGGTTGTAGTTGGCGCTACTGCACTCCAGCCTGGGAGACAGAGAGAGACTTCATCTCAATTAAAACACACAAACAAACAAACAAAAAACACTGGATAAATATCGTTCTGTTGCTCCTCCCACAGACGGTGAACGAATGTACATTTCCTCTCGCTGGTATGCACGCCACTCAGGAACTATTTATTTTTGTACATCACAATTTAAAAAGCCAAGAAAAGTGAGATTGCATTACTTTCCACTTTCATCATTTTGACTACATCAAACCCTTTAAAGTCATATTACTTTTTATAAGCCTTCTGTGGGCCTTAAACTGAAATGGAGAAGATGCAGAAAAAAACCCACATTAGTCATTACAAATTGGAACCCAGCCACCGTTCACTGCGCCCACTGCTCACTCCGGTCCAGGCCGCCTTATGTCCTCCCAAGTCACCCTGCTTCCATCCTGACCTGCTCAGTTCATCCCCTATGGCTGCCAGCATTACCCTTCAGACCGCATGGGAGGGGCTGGAGCTGTTTTCTGCCAAAGTCACCTCAACCTGAAGTCACTGGGGGAGAGGAGCGTAGCTGGGTGCTGGGGGATGATGGAGGCTTGACTGCTAGCTAGAGGGTGGAGGCTCTTCAGGAGGCAGGTGTTGGCTGAATTTCTCTCCTGCGTGGAAGACTGAGGGTGAGAAATAAGATTTCCCCTTCAAACACCTCCCATCCTGAGAAGTCCCTAGAGGCACCTTTCTATAAGGAAGACCCGCCTGCATTTTCCATTATGCCTCGAGTAAAATCTAAATCCTCCCAACAATGCGCCACATCACTGGGCTCTACCTTTTTCTGCGACACCAGCTCCCCCATTGCCCACACTTCTTCCTTCCCACCCTCTCGCCCTGGATGCTCTTTGTTACACCGGGTTTCCCATGGCTGTGTCCTCGTCATTATTTCCGCCACCACTCAAGCGTCATCTCACCACCCCCTCCAAACCCTCCCGGCCGCCTAGCCAATGCTGCACCTCCCTCGCACACTCTCCACTTACTTCCAGTGCTGACTGCACCTCACTTCCTGAGACTGTCCTGTCTTTCAGCTTACATGTTCATGATCTGTCTTCTCCCGCCCGCGAGCAAGATTCCTGAGGACAGGGATTCTGTCCGTCTTCTTCTCTGCTCTATCTCAGCATCTCGAATCGTGCCGGATACACTGGGGTTTAAAAAAAAAAATCAATGTGTTTGTAACTAACAAATTATGTGAACACACAAGTTTTTAAATAACTAACTATATCAATATGTCTATTTATTCTATCAAGGCAAGAAGTGGAGCTAAACTACAGCCATGGTCTTGGAATAGTTTCTTCTTTAAATGGCTTAGACAAAGCTGTGACAAATGTATGTCAACTGTGATGTGTCTGGCTCGTGACACCGCTTAATTATTTGAATTTGTTTTCTCATGGTGGCAGATCATATTTTCCAAGAAAGCTGCCGTAACAAATCCCATTCTACTTGTTCTTCTTATATTGTGACATTGACATTCCCCCATCAAGTGGTGTCCCCTCTTTTTGAACCTGAGTGGACCTTTGTGACAGCTTTGACCAACAGATGCAGGAGAAGTGATGCTATGTAACTTCTGGATCTGGGTCACAATCAATGCCAAGCCTGTTCTCTTTGCTCTCTTGGGGTGCTCATGCCTGGAGCATGGTCACCATGCTGTAAGGATGCCAGGTGGCCATATGGAGAGGCCACAGGTGGATGCAGCTGCTGACAACCCAGCTAAGGTCTCAGCCAGCAGCCAGCATCAACTGCCTGCAGATCCTTCCAGCCCTCTGGTGTCAGGTTACCCCAGCCTCTGAGCTGCCCTTGCTGGTGCTGCGTCCAGCAGAGAGGAGCTTTCCCTTCCATGCTCCATCCAGACTGCATATTTGTGAGCTGAATACATGACTATTGTTTAAGCCACTTGAGGTTTGAGGTTGTCAGTTACACCAAAACAGATAACTGATCCACCCCCTCACTTCAATGTAAGGGGTATACAGTCCAAATAGACACGCCTAAAAGAACCTGCCTGTTTCAGAGAACACTTCTACTGGGAAGGGATTTTGTGACTAAAAGGAACAGATGTAGGTGATGATTATCGGTGGTTGCTAAAACCATTACATGCAGGTTGATAGGAACCTTGACAGTGGATAGATTAGGCTGACACCATCTAAACCCACCAATCCACTTTAACAGACACCACGAGCCACATGGCGTGACGCGAGAGCAAGTACATGGCACCACGTGCAGTGGATTCTTGCCTAAGACACATGGAACCTGAATCTAAGACCTGTAGATCAAACTAGGAGTCTGCAAGAAATACAGGAGACTAAGGAACATGCTAATGGCACCACGAGGATACAATCAGCCTAATCCAGAATATGGGATGTTTTCAGACAGATGACCCAGTTCCCTCCATAAATAAATAGACAAGAATTAATAAAATGGAGGCGAACCATTATCAGTTAAAAGACACTCAAGAAACATAAATAAAATGCATGGGTTTTGTTTGAATGCTGATTCTTTTTTTTTTTTTCCTTCTTTTCTTTTTTGAGACAGAGTCTCACTCTGTCACTCAGGCTGGAGTGCAGTGGTGCAATCTCGGCTCACCACAACCTTCAACTCCCTGGCTCAAGTGATTCTCCTGCCTCAGCCTCCTGAGCAGCTAGTACTACAGGTGCACACCACCACACACAGCTAATTTTTGTATTTCTTGTAGAGACAGGGTTTCACCATGTTGCCCAGTATGGTCTCAAACTCCTGGGCTCCAGAGATCTGCCAGCCTTGGCCTCCCAAAGTGCTGGGATTACAGGCGTGAGCCACCTTTCCCGGCCTGAATGCTGATTCAAATAAACGAATTTCACAGAGGCATTTTAAAGATAATTATGGAAAACTCAATATGGACTGGGTATTGAATGATATTAAATAGTTATATTCATTTTGTTGGGTGTGATAACAAGAGTATGTTTTTTTAAAAGTACCTCAGTACTAGAGACAGGCACAGAAGTATTTATGACTTCAGATGGGATGTCTGGTATTTGCTTTAAAAATATTCCAGTGTGGGGAGGAAGACACAGGAAACCAGGGCGGAGCACTGTCCCGTGTTATCACACTGTTTTGTGCATTCGAATATTTTCATCATAGATAATTTTTAAACTAAATGTAAGCTCTTCGTGAGAGGTAAACGTAGGTAGTCATCACTTTTAACACAAAGTCGCTTGTGAGATTTGCCACCGGTGATTGGCCTTGGAGAAAGGGGCAAAGTCAGGCAGCTAAGGCCCAGTACTCAGAAGCCTCAACTGCGGCCTAGAGCCTTCATCTATAGTGGCTCTCAACTGGTGCCCTCCACAGCCAGGACCCTGCCCAGGAGCTGTGAGCTCAGAGGAGGAGGGCAAGGTGGCCAGAAACGTGATGACGGCAGAGAGAGGAGCCAGGGACAGGCAAAGGAAGCAAGTGACAGAAATCCCAGGCCTGCTGCTCCAGGCAGAGAGAGGGCTGCTGGCTCCTGCAAAAAGAAGCAGGGGTGAGGCAGGAGCCAGGAGAGCAGAACTCACCCTCCCCTGCTGCCCTCCCCGCGGCCCTGGCTGTAGCCCCAGCGTCTCTTCCTGGGGCCATGTCTTCACATGGGGACATTTCTTCCCAGCTCGGCCACCGAGAGGAATGGATTCCTCCAGCATGAAGAATCCTCCCGCCCAGCCTGGATCCTGGAGCCACGGTCACTGTGGCAGGAATGCGGCTCCTCGCTGGCCTGGCTAGGGCTGGATGCCACACTTTGCCCTCTCCCCAGAGCCAGAGAGGTTGGGTCACAGACGCTCCTGAATGGGCCATGCAGGGCGCAGGAGGAATTTCGCCTTTGGAGGAACAAAGGGGTGTTCAAAGTTAAACGTCCACTGCAGTGACCATTACAAATTGTGGTTTAAAAAAATCATAAACTCAACCAAAAGAGGAACTAAGAGAAGGAGGGAAAGAAAGGGCTGGGGTCAAGAATAATAAAATCCCAAATAAGAAGCACATATCCTAAAAGGGAAAATGAAACACAACAAGGGTTAGGAGGGTGGGGTGGGGGAATGAGGAAGCGGGGGGCACAGCACGAGACTCCCAGCCAGGACAGCCCAGGCAAGGCCCCGGCTCCAGGTTCAAGGCCCCGAGGCTCGCGTTTGCTGCAGCGCGTGGCCGCCTGCCCGCCGGCCCTGCCCGGGCTCTGCCTACATTCTCGGCATCTTCAGCACAGTCACAAGCAGCTGTCAGATTCCTGCGAATCCTGGGGGTGGCCTTCAAACCGGGAGAAGCAAACCCAGAATTCAAGGCTGGCCCAGCCTGGCGCCTCTCGGCGGACTACGGGGACGGCTGCGGGCGGTGGTGAAGACCGCAGCCGCCAGCAGAGGGCAGTGGCGGGCCAGCGTGGCCAGGCTCAGAGGGCTCGCTCCTTGCTGTCCGGAGCCCCGCGGGCAGTGTCTGCCTGTAACTTTCACCCCCGTGCAAAGCTTCCAGCTTCCTGTGCAAGGCAGATGCAACGTGGTGCTGCTTTTCTTTTCGTCAAGGGGATTTGAGACTTTTCCTCTGCAAATGGTCTGTAGATATCAAGTAAGAAATGGACTGTCCGGCCCCATCCCTCCCTAGAAGAGGATTTTTCAAAGTGCCATTTTTAAAAGTGGCCTTTTAAAAGGCCCATTTGATAGGATTGGCCTTTTCCGCGCCAGACATCGTGCGGAAGACATCGTGCCAAAGCTTTCCCTACCTGAAACCACTTAACTCTGAAAAAAGGTATGATTATCTCCATTTTTCAGAGGAGGAAACTGAGGATCAATAAAGTGGAATGAGTCGTGTGAGGTGGCTGGGATGGGATTTGAACTCTGGTTTGCTGGGCTCCAAAATTCCTTCCACTTAGGCCACATGGTTTTCACAGGTCCTCAGTTCCTGCCAGTTCTCATCCTACCTGTTCCTTCTGTTTTTAACTCAAAAATCTCCCCTATTCCCGTGGAGTCTACCGCTTGGACTGGGAAACTATCAGAAGGATGCAGCCCCCTTGAGTTGCTCTTTGATCCCTAAAGCAGATTATCTGTCAACAGCTTTTATGCAAAGAGCACCCAAGGAGGATTATAGACGTGAATCACTGAATGAGACCCAGTGTCTGCTCCCAGCACCATCTGTTGATATGCAGATCACCGGTGATCATTGATCAGGACAAACCAGCTGCGGCTGCTGTGAAGTTAACTCCTGAGACTTGAGAGGCTGCTCTCACTTCTCTATGGGCGCACCTGGCCCGAGGCCGTGAACTTGGGCAGGCCAGCATCATACCTACGTCACATATTCTAGCAATGACAAACAAAACTAACCAAGCTAGCAAAAATGAGCTTGCTTCCACTTGTTTCTTTCCCCCCAAAAAAGCGGGCGGGGGATGGTTGACTGATGGGTTCGTACTTGATTGAGCTGGTAACGTCCCTGATTAGTTCACACTCCTTAAGAGCTGGGTTCCATCATTCTCTATCAATTCCCGGCATTAAAAGTTGATCCACTAATATTCTGGTAACTAGTCTCTTCTGTTTGAAATCATCACTCATTGGCCATTCTAAGTTCTACTCCAGTTGAAAAGCTTGATCCCACTTTGGGAGGCCAAGGGGGGCGGATCACCTGAAGTCAGTAGTTTGAGACCAGCCTGGCCAACATGGTGAAAGCTGTCTCTACTAAAACTACAAAAATTAGCCGGGCATGGTGGTGGATGCCTGTAATCTCAACTACTCGGGAGACTGAGGCAGGAGAATAGCTTGAACCCAGGAGAAGGAGGTTGCAGTGAGCCGAGATCGCACCACTGCACTCCAGCCTGGGCACCAGAGTGAGACTCTGTCTCAAAAAATAAAGAAAGAAAAGCTATCCTAAATGTGCTTTTTTTTACTGAGTTAAATTTCCTATCCTTACCTCCCAACCCCTGCCCCAGGCACAGGTGGGGCAGCTGCGGGATGAGTGCAGTGTCTCTGCCCATGGCATGAGGAGAATTTCTGTCCTGGGTCAAGACACGGAAAGAGACATAAAAGGGGTACTCCCACCACCTGCAGGCGGAGCCTGGTTTTTGCCAAAGTAGCCACCTACTAGTGTGAGGAACGCAGCCAACCTGGTCACTGGGGAGAGGAGGGAGCACAGTGGGTGGGAAAAGGAAGCTTTATCACGAGCCAGAAGACGGAGGTGCTTCAGGATGGAGATGTTGGCTGACTTTCCTGTATGGAGGTAGACATGCCCCAAGTAAGAAGCTCCTCCCTCCAAATATCATCTACCATCTTTTGAGAAGCCTCTGTAAGAACTCAATAAAATGGGAGTGTGCCTCAAAAGAGATTTCATTTTCAATGCAGTAATTAATTATTGCTCTTTTCCAACTTTGCACAGCGGTGAAGATGAATTGGATTGTCAGGAAATTTCTTTGAGCTTTGTTAAAAATTAGCTTTCTAAAAGTAAAAAGTGTTTAAGTCAAAACTTCAGGGCTCACATTTTTGTCCTTATGCAGGAAAATTATTTTTGTTTCCTTTTCTGTATTCTGCTTGTTAAATAATTGCACCAAGCTGGCAGGCGCTGCAGAAACATAAAGCAATGCATTTATTTTTAAGTCCAATGACCTCAAAACAATGAGTGTGAATGTTCCTAATCAAAGATGTCTCCTCTTTTGGGGTTATTTTTGTTGCAGTCCCTACACTTCACACTATAATCAAAGCCCATTATCTCAGCCTTACAATATTTGTGTCTCAGAATCTAACGATGACTGTGTCTGGCACATACATCAGGAGTTGCTTTTAAAGATGTGCAAATTGTGAGCTTTGCTTTCACCTCAATCTTGCATATTTCATTGGAAACCACTTCTTTAACATCCAAAGTGTGTCTTTGAACACATTAAAAAAATAAAATGGATTTCCCAACAGAGGTTATCTGCAAGGCAAATTTCAATTTTTAAGTTAGTTACTTTGAGCAATGCATTGTTAATTCTTTCAAGTCTCTTGGGTATAAAGTAGTTATATGAAAGTTCACTAATCTAAGCAGGGTCTAAACTAATCTTTACACCTCCAAATGCTCAAGGAAAAGTACTAAGGGGAACCTACTAGTGGGAATATCTGACTTATTTAACATTTTCTGGCTGCTTGGCTCTGAATCGAATATATAAAGTTGCTTCTTGTAACCATGTCAATTTGAGATAGTATGTGTACGTTCAGTCTCTAAAATGTATCCATTATCTTGAGACCCCTGATTTCAGAACTTTGGGAGCCTCTCTTTCCACAGCTGGCTTCTTTCCAGAGGAAGAGGAAGCTTAACATTACCATCTCCTTTGTTGATATCCCTAGTCTGAGAATATTCCTCCTTAGAGGTATTTACAGTAAACTTTGATGCATAATAGTTGATTGCAAGAGATAAGAGAATGTCTGGCATTCCAGAGATCTGTGCGTCTCCATGTGGTTACTTTGCTGAGAGTCTCAGAATCAGGCCTGACTTACGAGTTCATTTGTATTAAAACGGCAAGCCCTGGTGAACTGATGAGGCTACACCGTGGCTGGAGGGGAGCAGGTGCTGGTGCGGGGGAGGGCGGACGCTGAGTCAGAGACCTGGTTGGGACTGGGGTTCTGCCCTCTTCCTAGCTGTGCGGCTCCAGCCTCCTCACTCAGCCACTTTGAATCTTAGTTCTTAAGCATCAGCAAAATGGAGGTAATATTCTCCATCTCCTAGAGTTATGTGGAAGACTGAGATGCAAATGTAAAGCATTTAGTTCCAGATACAAAGGAGTTGGCCAAGGACTGGGAACTATTATAATTAAACTGATCAGTAAGTGTCCAGAAAATCGATTTCTGCCTTTGGCCCTAGGTTATGAGCTTCACCCCTCCAGAGTCCCAGGTAAAGCGCTTCCTCAGTGGGCTCAGCCCCAAGACCTTCCACCTGGACTGACGTGTTCCTCTGAATGCATCCTGTCCTTGAGGGTGGAGGCTTCACAGAGTGCATGATAGCAAGTGTAACACCAGCAGCTTCCTTCTCCTGTGGGCTTCCTGAGTGCTGGGAATCGCGTGGAGTGCTGGTTCATTCTGGTTGCACAAGTGTTAGTAGATTGCAGTGGTGAAGAGCTGAGCCTCGGGATCCAGGCTGCCTGATTTAAATCCTGGCTCCAGTATACCTGGTGGTGTAAGACTTCAGGCAACTCACCTTCTCTGCCCCTCAGTTACTTTACCTGGAAAGCGGGGCTAACAATAGTACTTATCCCTTAGGGCCACGGTGAGGACGAAATGTGGAATTCCTTTCCTAGGCCTGCTGTAACGAAGTACCACAAGTTTGGGTGGCTTAGAGAAACAGAAATGTGTTGTCTTTTAGTTCCGGAGGTCAGAAGTCAGAAATTAAGGTGTGGATGGGGCGTGCTCCCTCTGAAAATTCCTTGGTTCTTTAGCTTCTCGTAGCCCCAGGTGTTGTCTGGTTTACAGAGCCATCTCTCCCTCTCCAAACATCATCTTCCCTGGGGGCAGGTCAGTCTCTCTGTCCACATTTCCCGTTTTTATAAGGACACCAGAAATGTGGGATTAGGGCCCACCCTAAGAACTTCATTTTAACTTGATGCCATCTGTAAAGACCCAATTTCCAAACAGGGTCACATGCTGAGGTACCTGGGGTGAGGATTTCAACACATGTTTTTGGGGAAACACAATTCAATCCATAAGAGATGCCCTTAGAACACTACCTACAATATAGCAAGCGTCACTTGTGCATGGACCATTTTTATCTTTAATGCTCGTTGCAATCTAGCCCGGAGAGTATCATGAATCCCATTTTAGAGAGAGAAAAAGTGAGGCTTTGAGAAGCTGAAGATTAGACTCAATTGCCACAGCTAGAAAGTGAGAAGACCCTGACCCAAACTCCTCTGTCATCTCTCCACTGTAGCCACCATCTCCCAGAGGCGAACAGGACGCCCACAGCCCAGGTCCCTGTGCTGTCACACGTTGTTATAACCCAGGCTTCCAGCGGGTGGCCCCAGAGGCCTGCCTGCAACTCTGGACTCGGCGCTCCATTGAATGCTGCCTCTGGGCAAAAACCTGTAGGTTAGAAAAGAACGATTTCCAAGATCCTTCTTAGTGTATGGTAAGCCTCACTTATATCCCCACGTTTTGACTAAATTGATGTGCCTCAAATGTAACCCCATGTCTCCCTTTTCTGCCAGCTGTTTTGATCTCTGGTAGACACAACCACTGTCGCCTGACGGAAACACACATAGGCCTCAGAGAAATAAAATGAATGCCTTAAAAATTAAAGATTACTATCACTTTCTAAAGGTGGTTATACACCGGAATTAAGAAAGCGTTCATGCAATTGAGGAATTCCTCATCAGCTGTAGAACCTGATTGTTCAGCGATATAACCAGCTATGCAGTTGTTTTTCTGCATATATGTTTGGACACGTGAATACAATGTTGTGTTTTTTTTTAAACCGAGAGCTTTCACCTTGAAATCAGCATATGTTTCATATTCCAGAGTCCAACTGTAACCATAAATCTGTTATTGTCATGGAAAGTGAAGTGTGAAGAGTGTGATATGAGAAGCCGGGAGGTCCAGGTTCAGGTCACCCTCGTTCCCTTTACTTCTTCACCCCACCCACTACTTATTGGAATTGTGGCCTTGAGCACACACTCAAGCCTTTTACCCCCAATATATACAAAGGGCAGGGAGTTATTCCTCACCTCTGAAATTGCAGGGAGGGTATTAGACTAGGAGGCCGCCTGAGGTCCCTTCCATTCCTGAGAATGTGTGATACCATCAAAGCTCACAAGTACTTGTTCAGGGGACTCTCAGCTTGTGTGGTCTCTGATGTTTAGTGCAAGATCCTTGCCCAAGTGATCGACATGATTTTCTCAAAAAATCCACGTCTTAGGATTTTCCCTGGCCCTTGCACTGGAGAGCCTCTGTTTGCCTGTCTGCCCTCCTCTGGTTTCTCCAGCCTGCCTTGAGCCTCAGCAGGTGACCTTGAGGGATGGCCTCTAGGACAGTGGCTGGAGAGGCAGGTCCACTTGCTATTCACCACTCGGGGAGCGGAGTGGGTGGGTGGTAATGGCACGCTGCTGCCATTCCTCCTGGGTTGCTTCTTCATGCCATTGGCTCCCCTCAGCCCAGCCCACACCTTTGTAAAACCCCTGAATTAAACTCTGTGCAGCCTGTTTATTGCCAGGGCCTTGAGTGAGTCCAGCTGTGACCATCTCGAATTGTGCTAGCCCCGCATCTAGCACATCAGTAAGAGCATCTCACCTTTCAAAGAAGGTGAACTCTGAGTGTGGGGAATAGCAAAATGCCACATTTTACTGGCATGAGGACTATCCTAATTCCTACTTCAATAGGAAGCCCTCTGTCTTGGCTCATTCCCCTCCAGTCATTCATTCCCTCCCTCCCTCTCTTCCTTCCTTTCTTCCTTCCTTCCTTCTTTCCTTCCTTCTTCCCTCCCTCCCTTTCCTTCCTTTCTTCCTTCTTTCCTTCTTTCAAAAGTAGAAATAACTTAGGCTTCAAAATAGGCTTCCAAAGTTGAAATAACTTACTCTCCCATTTAATAGATTATTGAAGTTGTCTTTGTAGAAAAAGCAAACTTTCACATATTCATTCAAGTACTCAGGAAGATCAGGGTGATGAGAGCATTATCCAACAATAGTCATGCATTTGAAGTTTCTTCCTTCCTTTCTTCTTTCCTTCCTTCCCCCCTTTTTTCCAGCACCCTATGAGCCTGCAAATATAAGTTGAACAAGAACACTGGAGGGCTGAACTGCTTTTGAGAAAACTTTGAAGTTTGGAGAGAAATTTTGGAGGGGGTTGCTGTGGAGCAGAAAATAGGGAAGCAATGAGACAGTGAGATGCGCAGGCTGGGTCCTTGAGAGTGGTGGCCAGGAAAAAACCATGCGGGGAGGGGGGCAGTTGTTGCTGGAAAGACTGGGGATACCTTGGATGCCTTTTTTCTTATTATTTCAATAGGTTTTGGGGAACAGGTGGGTTTGGTTACATAAGTAAGTTCTTTAGTGGTGATTTCTGAGATTTTGGTACACCCATCACCCAAGCAGTGTACACTGTACCCAATGTTTAGTCTTTTGTCCCTCACCCCCTCCCACCCTTTCCCCCAAGTCCCCAAAGTCCATTACATCTTTCTTATGCCTTTGCATCCTCATAGATTAGTTCCCTCTTATGAGTGAGAATATACAATGTTTGGTTTTCCATTTCTGAGTTACTTCACTTAGAATAATGGTCTCTAATTCTATCCAGGTTGCTGTGAATGCCATTATTTCATTCCTTTTCACGGCTGAGTAGTATTCCATGGTATATATATATACCACATTTTCTTTATCCACTCATTGATTAATGAGCATTTGGGCTGATTCCCTATTTTTGCAATTATGAATTGTGCTGCTATAAACATGTATATGCCAGTATCTTTTTCATATAATGACCTCTTTTCCTCTGGGTAGATACCCAGGAGTGGGATGGCTGGATTGAATGGTAGTTCTACTTTTAGTTCTTAAGGAACCTCCACACTTTTCCACAGTGGCTGTACTAGTTTACATTCCCACCAACAGTGTAAAAGTGTTCCATTTTCACCACTTCCATGCCAATATCTATTATTTTTTGATTATAGCCATTCTTGCAGGAGTAAGGTGGTATTGCATTGTAGTTTTGATTTCCATTTCCCCGATAATTAGTGTTGTTGAGCATTTTTTCATGTGTTTGCTGGTCATTTGTATATCTTCTTTTGAGAATTGTCTATTCATGTCCTTAGCCCAGTTTTTCATGGGATTTTTTTTTCTTGCTGATTTGTTTGAGTTCCTTGTAGATTCTGGTCATCAGTCCTTTGTTGGATGTATAGATTGAGAAGATTTTCTCCCAGTCTGTGGGTTGTCTGTTTACTCTGCCATTTCCTTTGCTGTGCAGAAGCTTTTTAGTTTAATTAAGTCCCATCTATTTATTTTTGTTTTTGTTGTGTTTGTTTTTGTGTTCTCTGTCATGAAGAGATGTTGAATGTCTAATGTTCAGTTGGAAGTTCTTTGCATTGCCCTCAATATTCCCCTCCTCTCCAGACTGAATCCCCAATAAAATTCACCCAACTCATGAATATTTCATGTGAGGAGGTTCCTTTTTGTCATATAGGAGCAGGCTGAGCTACATTTCTAGACAACATATGTCCTGGAAGCAGGAGTATGGAGGTAGAGATGCCTGCAGTTATGTGCATCTCCTGGGGACTTGTGAGAATCTTGGTGGAAGTAGGATTGGAACCAGTCATACGGAGAGCTCAAGAGAGAGAGAGCTCCAGCTGATCTCTAGATTGCATTCATTTGTGTGACTCTCCCCCAATACTCATAGTAATATAAGTTAATATTAACAGTGCTCACTATGTGCTATGTATATGTGCATGTACACATATGTGCATGCACACACACTCTCTGCTTTGCACAATTCAGATATGCGCAAAACTGAATTACCACAGATTAAATAACGTCTGTTCTCCAAATAATCCCATCAAAAAATGGGCAAAAGTCATGAGTAGACAATTCTCAAAAGATGATATACAAACAGCCAACAAACATATGAAAAAATGCTCAATGTCACTATTAGGGAAATACAAATCAAAACCACAATGCAATACCACCTTACTCCTGCAAGAATGGTTATAATTAAAAAGTAAAAAAATGATATATGTTTGTTGGATGTGGTGAAAAGAGAACATTTTTACACTGCTGGTGAGAATGTAAACCAGTACAACCACTATTGAAAACAGTATGGAGATTCCTTAAAGAACTAAAAGTACAACTACCATTTGATCCAGTAATACCACTGCTATGTATCTACCCAAAGGAAAAGAAGTCATTATATAAAAAAGACACTTGCACATGCATGTTTATAACAGCACAATTCATAATTGCAAAAATATGGAACCAACCTAAGTGCCCATCAGTCAATGAGTGGATAAAGAAAATGTGGTATATATACACCATGGAATACTATTCAACCATAAAAAGGAATGAAATAATGTCTTTAGCAGCAACTTGGATGCAACTGGAGGTCATAATTCTAAGTGAAATAACTCAGGAATGGAAAACCAAATATCGCATGTTCTCACTTATAAGTGGGAGCTAAGCTATGAGAATGCAAAGGCATAAGAATGATGTAATGGACTTTGGGGACTCATGGCAAAAGGGTGGGATGGGGGTGAGGGATAAAAGACTACACATTGGGTACAATGTACACTGCTTGATGACAGGTGCACCAGGATCTCAGAAATCACCACTAAAGAACTTATCCACACAACCAAAAACCACCTATACCACAAAATCTATTGAAATAAGATATTTAAAAAATAAAAAATAATAATGTCAGTTCTCCAACAACATGATTCAAATTTCAGTTACCACAGTATATTGACTAAAATAAATCTGGCAACCCTAATTGTAGCTACTGTAGCATAAACTATAAACTTCCTTGCTAGTCCTCAGTCCACTAGGACTATTTATCACTATGCAAATAACAAATATGCATCATGATTGTTGGTCAATCACATCACTTCTTTCATAGTCTGCTGGTGATTGGCTGCTGCTTGTCTAATATTAGCTCATGCACAGACAGCAAAGCATGCAGCTGTGTTGCCTCCCTGTGTCCCACTGATAAACCCATATAGTTCAACTTCTAATGCATTACTATTGTTGGATAATGCTCCAGGTCCCGCTGACCCTCTTGAATACTTGAAAGAATATGAGCAAATTTGCTTTTTCTATAAAAACAACTTTAATCATCTATTAAATGGGGCAATAAGTTATTGCAACTTTTGAAGCCTATTTTTTAGATGTAAGTAAGCTGTATTTCAGACAGGTTATTGATGATACAATCGGAGATAATGCAATTTATTCAGCTAAGCTTTGGAAGAACTATGACATAAAACATGTAGCCAGAAACATTCAAGCATCACGACAGATAGGAAGAGCAAGTAATATGCATGGAGGATGGCAGAAACTCTTACTGTACTGGAAAATAACTTTGCAGGATTTGAATCAAATGTAAGTGGAATTATGGAAGAGATCATTGACCATGTGAATATTGACACTGACATCATTTACAAAGCTCTAGGTATGCAGCCCAAGGACCTTAGTGATGGTGAATTTATTGACATAAATGAAGAAAAAAGTTGTGAAAAAAAGGATGCAGTTGTCCCAGAGGAAGTGACACCAGCAAAAACTTCACATTAAAGAACCCCTGGAGCTATTTTATGACATTGAAAGCACAAAGGATAAGATGTCGAAAGCCAATCTAAACTTAGAAAGAAGATAACAATTCCCTAAGGCATAGAAAAGATGTTCACTCATATTTTGTTATATCTCTAGAAGAAGAAGCCAAGCACTATTCAAAGCATTCTTCATAAATTTCTTACAAAGAGATAGTGCCCTTTAATTCTCCATGTTTCTAATACTGTAAATTATAAAATACTCATAAATTATAATTGTACACTTCTTCCTTCATTTTCCTGTATAACTGAGAGTAGGAGAATTTTCAATATTTTGACAAACATTTTTAAGTGTCACAGAACAATCCTATTCCCCCCACCCCACCCCGCTGATTATTAAGATAGCTTTTCATGGTTTTGGCTTGCACAGCCATTTTTGTGGTTCGACACTGCCATGCAAAGGGATGACTGTTCACAATAATTGTTACGATACCCATTACTCAGATGAGGCAATGGAGGCTTCAGAGAGTCTAAGCTACTTGTCCAAGATCATGCAGACAGTAATTAGTAGAGTTTATACTTGAACCTATGCAATCTGGCTCCAAGATTCGTTCCCTTAACCACTGTGCCATATTATTGTCCATAGCAGACTGTGAGCCAAAGACAGAGACCATTTCTTTTTTATCTTTATATCCTTAGCATGCAAACATTATCTAATAAATACATGTTGAGTGGATGCAAAAAGAATAAAAGAGGTAAGGAACTATAAAAGGAATTGACATTGACTGTTTGAAAACAATGAGAAAAAATTAAGACTGATTGAAATCTAAGTAGTAGCAACCTTATAGATGTCCACTGTTAAAGAGAAACTTGGCTGGGCACAGTGGCTCATGCCTGTAATTCCAGCACTTTGGGATACTGAGGCGGGTGGATCACTGGAGCCCAGGAGTTTGAGACCAACCTTGGCAACATGGCAAAACCCTGTCTCTACAAAAAATACAAAAAAAAAAAAAAAAATTAGCCAAGTTTGGTGGCGCATGCCTGTGGTCCCAGCTACTTGGGAGGCTGAGGAGGAGGCTGAACCTGGGGAGGTCAAGGTTGCAGTGAGCAATGATTGCCCCACTGCACTCCAGCCTGGGTGACAAAGTGAGATCAGGAAGAAGAAAGAGAGAAAGAGAGAGAAAAGGAAGGAAAGAAAGGAAAGGAAGGAAAAAAAGGAAAGAAAGGAAAGAAAGAGAGAAAGGAAAGAAAGGAGAGAGAGAAAGAAAGAAAAAGAAAGAGAAAAAGAGGAAAGAAAGGAAAGGAAGGAAAGAAAGGAAAGGAAGGAAAGAAAGAGAGAGAAAGAAAAGAAAGAAAGAAAAGGAAAGAAAGAAAGAAAGAAAGAGAAAGAACGAATTTATTTATGATGCTTGTTAAAGATGGTAAGGCTAACTTTCTTTAAGGAGGAACCACTGTGATAGACGGAAGGATGCTGCAGTGGGATCCAGCAGTGGGAGAGAGATTGGGCTCCACTCCAAGTACAACAGACAAGTAGAGATTGACAGACAAGGAACATGGTGGGGTCAGCGGATGCAAAACTACTAAGAAGAAACATCAAGGGATTCTGGCCAATGAATTCTGGCTAGATCTACTCAACAGAACTCTTGCTGAAGGCAGGCAGGGTGGTGAGATATTGAGGGTGGTCAGATACCAAGCGTGGAGGATTATCACTAAACTGACTTAGCAGGATTCTTGCTCAACCTGGACTCTACAAGAAAAAGGAAGGAAGCCCAAGTTTGAGTCTAGTTGAGCAGAGGACTCAGAAGTCAAAGAGAAAGTCTCTGTGACCATGAGTTATAGGTAAGATGGACATATCCTCTACCTTCTCGTGAGATGTGAAGGCCAGCCATTTCTGAGATGAAACATATAACATGGTGCAGAAGTTTCTGGGGGCCTTGCTAAGAAACTTCTTGTGATGGTCACTACGTCGAACATGCTTGAGTAAGACTCTGTGGAATGAACACCGAAGGTGTCATATCCCACCCCCTTCATACAGCAGTTCTAGCTATGGGAACGATTCCAGGAGCTCTCTCTGAGAAAGGCAAACACATATTTCAAAGCCCCCAGAGTAGTCATTTGGAGGAGGAAGAGCTGTAGACATTCCTTACATCATACCTGAAAACCACTTGCAATTGTGGTGTTGGAGGATGTCAGGAAAGTTTCTACTCAAGCCTTGAGCAAAGAGACCAAAAAACCACACCACATCCAAGCTCTGTTTGGAAAGCACAACCAGAGAAAAACCCAGAACTGCAGTTGTATAAAAATAGATATGGGTCAGGCAGGAATATGGAGATGAGAGCTCGTGGGCTGCAGAAGCCAGTACATTGTGTTCTGTTCTGTTCTTTCAGCCACCAATTTTACCGAGGCAATAAAAATGAAAGAGCAAGAGAGGCAGAGGGTTGGTAGGGAAATCAGCTTGAGTCTGAGTCGACTTCGACTGTTCCAAGCACAGACTGCAGCCTTACTGTATTCATGGGAAGGCGGGACAAGATCTGAAGCAGCCTCCTCCTGCCAGCTTCCGGGAAAGGCTGCTCTTCCCAGAGCAAAGGAAGCCCTGGGGACAGCACACCCTCCCATCTCAGCTCAGGGCCCAATCCACCAAAAGAAGAAACCCAACTTTCTCCACAGGAGTCTGAGGTGACCTTCTTGAAAGCGCTCCACCTTATAGGAATTCTCTGGGAGAATGTTCTCTCCATCTCTCTCTCTGTCTCTCTCTGTCTCCCTCTGTGTTTCTGTCTCTCTCACACCTGTGCATGCATGCACACACACAATCCAGCCATACAACAGCTCTGCAATCCACAAGAAGCTCCTTATAATTTTCTACTCAGAGAGCAGAGAACAAAGAAGAATGAGTGAGTTTGGACACTTTAGAGTCCAGAGTGCTAAATATGTGCGTTGAAGAGAAGAGAGAAATTTTCACCAAATGATATGGGGTTTCTGAGATATACAAGTATAGATTATATGTACTTTAAAAACTGTTTTTTGGTTGCTTCATGCTTCCTTGTATGCAGCCTTGTGAAAACTACATCATGTGAAGCCTCCATTTATCTCTGGGTTTCATGGCCTTGTTCTAAAATGGTCCAAACAATTCAAGCTTGGAAGCAGAGATCCCTCCACCCCTCTCCCTCGGCATCTCTCCCTATTATTCCCATGTCTGATATCCCTGGTCCTTTCCTGATGATTCATTCAGAGGCTCTTCTTTGGTTCCTGACCTCAGGAATGATGCTTCCCACACCCCCTTCCAATTTTGCACATTTGCTCAGCTTCTTTGCACACCAGCTGCAGTTGAGATAACCTCCTGCACTTGGAAGGGCATCAGAGAACATCTCTCTATGAGGAAAGACTGTCCACGAAGGAGGCCTTTTCCTACAGATATGATCATGGTTATTTTGCCTTGTGAAAGGATGAGTAAGCATCATTAGGATAATACAATTTGTGACACAGAATGCAAAATTTTGAATAAAGGAAATAGATAAGTACTTTTACTTGTAAGAGGGGCTCTCTTAATATGATTCAACTTTCATATACTAAAAACGATAATATAGTTGAACCAATAGATTAGGACCCTACTTTTAATGAGTTGGTGAGAACATACTAGGAATTATCCTCTGCAACAGGGTGAGCGAGGGTCATCATAACTCTGAAGTTGTGGCTGCAACCTGTCCTCCTTCTCAGACCCAGCCCCGGGAAGCCTGGCTCTTTTACACAGAGGACCCTCTGTTGAGTATTAAATTACAAGTCTCTTGAGGATGGGCATGACATTTATTCAGATTGGAATCTCTACATCTATCACAGCCTACAATACATAGGACTATATATGTAAGAGCACTGAATACATGTTAGTTGAAACAATAAATAAAATAACTTCCTTAACCATTGCCAAAATTGCTCAACATCTTAATTTTATTTTATTTTTAATTGTATTAATCTTTTTAATGTGAAAGTTTTGGTCAAGATCAAAACACTAATTCTACAGCTTTGGGTGAAAACCATTTTTGCTGGGATCTCTGGGAGCACAGTAGCATAGTTTGTGGCCTGCCTTGCTTTCTGGGATGAAATGAAAGGTTTTTCCATTTGATATTTTTAGTGTCTATTTTCCAAATAGTATTTTATAATTTTTCTTTGTTTCTGTTTAAAAATAAAATTTTGGGAGGGGTGGGGAGAAGAAACAACAACAGTAAAACAAAGAAGAAAAGCCACTTGATTAAGCATAGTTAGGGAGCTCAGTGAAGCATGTTTCGTCCTGGTGCCAAATGACGCTCACTAAAATTGCAGCAATTTTTGATGCACTTGCCAATGTTTGTGTTATTTTTACTTTAAAGATGTAACAGATTGCTCCAAAATAAATAATTTAAGCCTAATGTTTCAAAAGAGTCCAAGCGTTTGCGTCTCTCACTTCTGGCTTGTCTTCTGGGACTAAGCTGTGCTCAACAGAACCAGCCCTCGTTTCTGTATAACACTGCATTTGAAGGGTTGTTTTCCTGCTTTGTTTTTCAAAGTTGAATCTATTTTTCGCTATTCTGTTCCAAACGTCATAGGTTTTATCACTGTTCAGAGCTGAAGCAACAACTCCTCTTATTTAAGAAAGGAAAGAATAAACGCTATAACAGCTAGATTGCTGATCTCACGGGAGGAGGGTTTGGAGGGTGCAGAGAGGGCTCTGGGGTGAGAATCTGAGACCAAGTCTCAGAGGAATCCACAGATGTCCATGCTAATTCATATTTAGACTTCAAGCTCTGCACAGTGTCCTCAGTGTAACTTAAAACAGCTGACTTGACAGGGTGACGTCACTCTAAATGACCCCACCCTCCATCAATTAGTGGACATCTAACTGGATTGTCTACCTTCATGGCACAGCTTAAGAAAAAAAAATCTGATTTTTTTTTAAAGTCAAAAGCAAATCTTTATGCTGTTCTGTACTTCCTAAACGAGCACGAATGGCTTATATGATCAAGAAACAAAGATAAAAATAGAAACCACCAGAACCGTAAACTGACAGCTGTGTTCTCATTGACATAGGCCGCCATTGTGAAGTCCATCAGATGATCGGGAACTACATGTGGGACCCCACCACCAACAAGTCCTTTGACATTGGCGTCAACAAAGACAGCCTAATGCCTCTCTGGTGGAATGGATCAGAACCTCTGTGGGTCACTCTGACCAAGGCCAAAAGGAAGGTCTACATGTACTACTGGCCAGGTGAGTGTGTGAACATCCATTCCAAATCTCAAATCATCATAGAGTCTCTGAGGACAGTCGGTGTCAAGTTACTGTTTGAAGACCAAGCCGTGGTTTGGAAAATGGGATCTTTATTTAAGAAATATGTATTGGCTGGGCACGGTGGCTCAGGCCTGTAATCCCAGCACTTTGGGAGGCCGAGGTGGGTGGATCACCTGAAGTCAGGAGTTCGAGACCAACCTGACCAACATGGGGAAACCCTGTCTCTACTAAAAATACAAAATTAGCTGGGGTGGTGGTGCATGCCTGTAATCCAAGCTACTCGGGAGGCTGAGACAGGAGGATCGCTTGAACCCAGGAGGCGGAGGTTGTGGTGAGCTGAGATTGCGCCATTGCACTCCAGTCTGGGCAACAAGAGCAAAACTCAATCTTGAAAAAAAAAGAAAAAGAAAAGAAATATGTCTTATGGGCACATTTTTGAAAAATGTGTTTTTAACTCTCTAACATCAGACCAGAGATAATGCTATTTCCTGATTCTCTTGACATAGCAAACACCACAGGATAGCTTGCTTTTTTTCATGTGCAAAATGTTGGATATACAGGAGAGAGAAATTATAGGGTGCTTACTTGCTTTACAAAAAAAAAAACAGTGTACCATTTCCATACGTCATTGAGCTCCTCTACAATATTGAAAAGAGAATTGAAAGCACTCGCTATTTTTTGGTAGTCCATGAAATGAAGTCCCTTTGTGTTAAGACTCCCATGCTACATCCTAGCTCAACGAGGTAAGTAGTCATGCAAACTGCCTCGGCTGCTGTGAGAAGTCCTCGGGACACCCTCATCTTGGTCACTGAATATCTTTCATTAAGGATGAGAGGATTCAGTGATAACAATACAACCCGCTTCCCATTGTCTTTCCATTGGTGGGATTCATTATTTAGGTAAGTGGTCAGTTTACCTTTCCCACGCCCGTGGCAATAGACACTTTTTTCCTGATTCTCAATGGTGTCATCCTGATGATGGCCATTATGGAGGAAGATACCAGGGGAGGCCTAGAACGTTGAAGGCATAAATGAAGAGCAGCCTGTAGGAGATGGGGTGAAGTGGCTGAGGGGGTCGAACTGGTCTGGATTGAGGACAGCGGCAGCCTGATGGGTCTGTGAGTGGGCGGTGGGTTGTGAGATGTGTAGTCTGCAGGGAGGGGGCAGTGGAGAGGGGGTGAAGGCCCACAAGGATTGCGTGGGCCTTCAGCAGGAGTTTGGAGGATGCTGGATAGAGGTGGGTGTGTGGGGAGCTGCTGGGGCACTCCAGGCTATGCAACTCTCAGAGGTACATGGAACACAGACACACGGAGACCGCGGAGGGCAGCCCACCACCCAGCTGTGGTGCGGCGTGGCGCGCACCGTACAAGCTGCTGCAGAGCAGTGGCCTCACCCGCAGGTGAGCTTCTGAAGGCCAGGGCAGGCTGCATGAATTCACAGCTGGGCCAAGCAACAAAGACATAGCCAGCACAGGCTCTCCCAGCAGACACAGCTTCAGGGGGGTTGATCACAATTTCTTCAGAAGACACCTAAGATTCCTTCCATAGCAGCCACCTCGGCTGACGCAAGACACCTTTGAGCAAAGGAAGAGGAAGAGTTTAGGAGGATTCCATTATCTTACAAGGAGATAACTTTTCGTGGAGTTGGACTAGATTTAAGGAAGGAAGTCACTGCACGGAGCAGGCTCATCAGGCTTGCTAGAGGAGCCAAATCCAGGGGTGAGTTTGACTCTTCTAGCAAGTGTGATGAGGTCAAAGCACAAAGATTTTGTTGCACTTTGAGGTCATTCTCAGAGGCATTATTATCAACAAATTCATACACAGGCATAGCAGAGGGAATGGATTGGGCACACTGCATTAGGGACCACCCGGAAACAAATCTGAGGAGCATCAAGATGAATGTGGCCAATACCATGAGGATTATCTTCCATGATAACTGGATAGTTTGACTTTCACTATCTTAGAACTTAAGTTTTTCCTCCTTTGAAGAACACACCCTCACACACAAAACCTTCCTGCCAACAACCCTTGAGCCCCCTCCACATAAGATCTCCTGGAGAGGGCCTTTCATCTGCCAGGATGCCAGTGCTACAGCCAAGTGGGAGGAGATCCTACTGAGGGGCAGTCGCCGTATTGCACACACTTCTCTCTGCAGCAGTACAGGGTATTATTATTGTGCTTTATCTCCTTTTGTTTTTGACAGAGTTTCACTCTTGTTGCCCAGGCTGGAGTGCAGTGGCATGACCTCTGCTCACTGTAACCTCTGCCTCCCCAGGTCAAGTGATTCTCTTGCCTCAGCCTCCAGAGTAGCTGGGATTACAGGCGTGCACCACCACGCCTGGCTAATTTTTGTATTTTTGGTAGAGACAGGGTTTTACCGTGTTGGCCAGGCTGGTCTTGATCTGCTGACCTCAGGTGATCCACCCACCTTGGCCTCCCAAAGTGCTGGGATTATAGGCATGAGCCACTGCTCCAGGCTTTTAGCTCCTCTTGGAGAATACAAATTTATATAGCACTGAGTGTCTAAAGAAATCTGAAAGCTAATTTGCATGAAAAATATCTTGTTGCTCCTCCAAAACAGCTCCTTCAGGATAAGAAGGGACCAATATCTTCCTCTGATTCACAGTCTAACAGCTAATGGGATGTGACAAAAATGCCTTAAGATCATTTACAGTGTTAACTGTCAGGAGGAAAGAAGCTATAAAGATAGCCTCCTAGAGTTTCCTCAGTGACCTAAATGAAGATTTGCTGAAGATCTGGCTGTGCTGAAGTCTTCATAGATATAGAATAAAGTCTCTAGTCTCTCAGACACTGTCTAGTCCTTCTAAACTGGATACTCAAATGAAACTCTCAGAGAGCCAGCTGTCTCTGCTGCCAGCCCAGCAAGGTGTGCCCTGGCACCCTCTCATCTTCCTGGGGGGCAGCTGCAGTATTTCTGGTTGCTGCTATCCTTTCTCTGTCTACCCTGGTTCCCTCCAGCCTCAGCCAATAGCCCAATGAGCACTCATGTGTCTCTGCAAGATTAAGTGAGGCGCAGGGGCATTTCTTCAAAACACAACTTGATTGTATTTTTCTTCTTAAATCCTCCTCTTCCTTCTCCACTCCCCACAGGATATTGTACAGACCTCTCGGTGAGGCCTGGAAAATCTTCGTTGCTCTAGTGAACTGGGTTATGACACGCTGAGTTTCGCCATTAAGTCAATATTTAGAAGTGCAATTTAGAAATGGCACTAGTTCAAGTCTTCCTGTCAGGTAGATAAAGCAGCAGGCTGAAAAATTGACCCACAGTGAAGAGTCCAACATACTCCACCTCAAGTCTTGAGGCGTTTAATATAGTTCAACAGGCCCTTTAGCACGCCACCCAGTGTTGCCATTGGAGTGCAGGGAGAAATATGCCTCTGGAAATGATCCCAGGCCCTAAGTCAGGGGAGGCCCCCCAAATCAGCCAGAAATTGTATATATGACCCAGTAGTGTACTGCAAGGAGTAAGAGCTGAGTGTGTGTTGTTCACTCACTTAATCCCTCCACCTTATCCTTCTAGTTGAATGTTAAAAGAATTGGCAGGGGTTGGGGGCGGTGAGGAAAAGACTCCAACATTCACTTCATATTGGAAAGAACCCAAAGCAGAGAATAACTATGGGAGGAAGGAGGGAAAATAGGGAATATGGGAGAATAGTAAGATATGGTGTAGAAATGCAGCTTGATTTCTTTGGATAAGCAGGGCCACCTTACATGCTGGCAGCAGTTTTTAAGTTTATTTTTACGACTATTGTAAAATACAAAAAAGGAATAAAAAATAGCAACCTTTTAAGAGTCTGTGCTTAAAACTCTTTGGAGTTCTAAGTTCACATCTCCCACCATGCATTTTGCAATGTTATCTCCCTACAGCCAAGCAGTAGGGAGGACTTGGATGCAACCACTCATATGCTCCTGGAATGGTGTTGGGTGTGGGTCTGGGCTCTTCTCCTGGCCTCTTCCTGCCCAGGGCAGGCCTTCAGACCAATAAGACACCTTCTATGTAGAGAAAGACACATTTCCACCTGGTTTCCAATCCCACACTTTCCAGCAGTGGGCTGAGTGGGGAGTTAGTGGGTGGGCATTTGACTCAGCTTCTATAAAGTTTTGCTTGTTACAATCAAGGTGACATCATCTGGATAATAGGAGGCATGCAGTGGCTATTGGTGAAGAATTATGGATCAGGTACAGCCTCTTTCTCTTTCCTGCCATGGTAGGTCCTTGACAACCTTCAGTCAGGCTGACCTTAGAAGCAGAGGCTCAGGCACAGGGAAAATTAGGAGCTCAGCATTGCTCATACAGAGGCGTGAGTAAACCTGATAGCTAAGTCACGGCCTCTATGCATGTGACACCAATCCTCTGGATAAAAACTGGAATTTTTTTCAGGCAGATGTCAAAACACTGCAAACACAAGTGGTCTGGATATCCACTATTTTTTAAATAACATTACCAGTTTGGCATTAGACTTTGTGGTTTATGTAATTTTAGGACTGGAAGAGGCCTTAGTCAAGGCATAATTTGCTGGTTCCTGCCCTCATTAGTCAAGAACCTCTTTAGGAAACTGATAAAAACTGTAAACGTCTTTCCAGAAGAATGCATCCACATCCACTACACTCACACTTTTGTTCTCATGTAGTATAAGAGATTACAATGCTGAGGACTGCCAAGCGGTCCTTGATGTGATAACATACACATACCTATGATAGCTAATTGATTTGGTTTTTTAATGCAATAGAAATGTGTTAAAAACTCATCAAAGTATCAACTGAAACCTAAGCTTCTGCAATTAATGTCTGGCAAGGGCAGGCTTGGGTCAAAATTCTGTAAGCCTCTTTGGGTTGAATTCACATTGCATCATTTCCTTTGTCAGTAACTTCGGCAAGATCTGCATCGCTGATGTTGTCTGTGTCAGCAAGAAAAGGATTGCAAATTCACATCTCAAGAGTGAGATTGTCTCCACAAAATGATCTTCAAAAGCATTCTGCAGGGTTTCTAGGCGTCGACCATTTCTGCTGCAGAGAAATAGAGGAGATGCTGCCTCTTTGGACTGCTGTCTGCAGAAGTGATTCCTGCAGTGTTCAAAAGTTTTTATAGCTGTCTAACCACATCCAATCTCCCTTTGCAGGATGGTATCTTGGCCAAAAGAGTGCATAGTTTTTTAGCAGCATCCATTATGTTGATTAGAAAGTTTTAACGAGAAATCCAGGGACGAACTTCCAACCTTCACAAATCATGGCAAATCCACTTCTTCACAAAACATCTTTAAAGGGTGTGACTCAAGGCCTTGGAATGAACTCTCAGGAGACAACCATGAGCAAAAGCAGATACAGACCCTCCTCACCTGCACCCCCTCCCGAGAACTTACCATCCAGTGAAGGAGATAGATGATCTAATACTTATCAAAATAAATGTAAAAGTACAGTTATCAAAAGTACAATAATGAAAAGCAAGCATGATGACATCATCTAATAAGGAGTCTAGCTCCCTCTGAGAGGGTTAACAAAGGTGTCCTTAGAAAGTGACACGAGGGGATGGGTAAGGTGGGAAGGAGACCCCAGACTCAAGGAGCAGCAGGTGCTAAGGCCCTGGATGGGGTGGGAAGCATGCAAGTTTCAAGACACTGAAAGAAGGGAGGAGAGGTGTGGTGTGGATAAGGTGGAGAGAGGCTGAGGCCAGGCCAGGCTCTAAGAGCCAAGCTGAATACTTTTTTTTTTTTTTTGAAACAGGGTCTTTCTCTGTTGCCCAGGCTAGAGTGCATTGGTGCAATCATAGCTCACTGCAGCCTCGACCTCCTGGGCTCAAAGGATACTCACACCTCAGCTTCCTAAGTAGGTGGGATGATAGGGGCACACCTCCCCACCCTGCTAAGTTTTTTACGTTTTGTAGAGATGGGCATGGGGTCGGGGGTGGCGGGGGTTTACTATGTTGCCCAGTCTGGTCTCGAATCCCGTACTCAAGCAATCCTCTTACCTCAACCTCCCAAAGAGCTGGGATTACAGGCATGAGCATCTGGCCCATGCTGAAGCATTTATTCTGATCGTGAAATGAATGAGAAGTCACTGGAAGGTTTTAAGGAAGAGCGTGATGGCATCATACTTGCATTTTGAAAGCACTACTCCGGCTGCAGCCTGAATGGAATGGAGACATCCAGGGTGGGTGAATGAGGGCAACTGACACATCAGGAAGTCACTGTAGAAACCCGGAGAGCAGGTGAGCATCGCTCAGACTGGGCAACAGAGGTGGTGAGAAATGGCTGGGTTGGAGGCACACTTAGGAATTGGAACTGCCAGGACCTGCTGATGGATTGGATTTGGGAGTAAGGGATTGGACGGTGACAGGCATGGCCCTGGGCTTCTTGCTCACAGAACTGCATAGATGGTGATTCTTCACTGAATCGGGTGGAGCTGAAAGAGAAGCAGTCTGAAGGCAGAGGGACATCAATTCGGAGTTGGCTCTGGGACGTCGAGCCGGCAGGTCTGAAGCTCAGAGAAGAGGGCTGGAGATACAAAGACGTGACTCAATGACGCATCAGAGGTCAATGCAGCTGTGGGAATGGAGAAGTTTACCCAGGGAGAGTGCAGAACTGGAAAGAAAAAAGGGTCCTGGACACAGCCTTGAGGAAATCTAATTGTTAGTAACCAGATGGAGGAGGGTGAGCCTGCAAAGGACACCAAGGAGGAGAGGCTTCAGAAGCAGGAGAAGCCCCAGCAGAGCTGTGAAAAGCAAGGGGAGGTAGTATCACTCTCTGCGTAGCCATCTGATGAGGGCCCCATCCCATCTGAGAGGCAGGGAGAGGCTTCCCTGAGACAGTGACACTACTTGACAACTGTTGACACACACTTGTTCCAGAGGCCAAAAGAATGCAAGACAGAGTGGGCATCGTGAGCATTTAATGTTGCTGAGCTGCAAAAAGAGCATCTGCATTTATTAACGGGGCACCCCGGCCAGCTCTGGACTTTGCGGCTATTTCATTTCTTTAACATTATAATTTCTGACTTTGTGTAGCAAGGATGCATTGTTTTTATAGCAAGAAAAACAATTCAGGTTGTTTCAACTAATTTCTTTCTTTCTTTCTTTCTTTTTTTTTTTTGAAACGGAGTCTCGCTCTGGAGCCCAGGCTGGAGTGCAGTGGCGCAATCTCAGCTCGCTGCAACCTCTGCCTCCCAGGTTCAAGCAATTCTCTGCCTCAGCCTCCCGAGTAGCTGGGATTACAAGCACCCACCACCATGCCCAGCTAATTTTTCTATTTTTAGTAAAGACGGGGTTTCACCATCTTGGCCAGGCTGGTCTTCAACTCCTGACCTCATGATCCACTCCTCCCAGCCTCTCAAAGTGCTGGGATTACAGGCGTGAGCCACTGCGCCTGGCCGTTTCAACTAATTTCTAAACATTGTTAGTCAACGCTTGAAAATTGGCTGAAAATGAACTGGGATATACACAAAAAAGAGAGGACAGGGTAAGTAACAGCAGACAAACTAAACCAAAAAAAAAAAAAAGAAAAAGAAAAACTTAAAATCACAGAGTCATGAATATTCCTTTTAAACCAAATTATTGTTTTGACCAAACTGGTGTGCTAACCAAATTATTTCCAGCCAGATTGCTTTGTTCCAAATTTGTTTCAACACAACTGCATAATACTCCATTTATTCTTGGGCAGTCACTGGCCCCTATGGGTTTACAGTAAGGAATTCCCTGACACGCATCGCACATCTATCGGAGGTTTTCAAACTGCATTCACTTGCCCTCAGCTTCCCAGTCAAGCTGCAGTGGCTCAGGGGCTGGGGAGGCAGGAGATGGCTGGAACTTCTTTGGGAAAAGAGTTTCTCTGAAAAAGAAATTTGGACATCAACTGCCTATGCCGTTCACTGATGTGTTCATTCCATGGTGGTTTTCTTGTGTGGCCTGTGTACATGGGGCACAGTCGGAATGTGCCACAGCCCTGCCACCGAGGAGCTTAGAGCCTAATTATGTAGCCAGGTGTGTCAAAAATAATCGCATCACAGCACAACGCGTGCAGCGGGCAAAGGAGACCAACCTCGGGCTTCATCACGTCTCCTTGCAGCTGTGTTGTGACCACTTCTTAAAATCAATTGAGCGCTGCCTCAGGAATGGAAAACAAAATGTGTCATTTGATGCTTTCATGTTGAAGGAAAAAATAAAGAAGAAAAAGGGGAGAGGATAGAAAGGAAGGGAAGGAAGAAAGAAAAGGAGGCAGGGAGGTGAAAGGGGGAAGCAGCAAGGCAAAGGAAGGAGGAAGGGCGGAAGAGAGGAGATAAGGCTGAAGGGACTCGGGAAGGACTGACGTTCCCTAGGCTGAGCGAGTCGTTCCACATGCAACGCTGCACTCAGACGCCTGCAAATCAGAACAAGTGAACTGTGTTTCAGGGTCTCTCCTTGAGGCAGTGGCTAGACCAGCGCATGAATGCGGGAAGGCCCTTCTCAGGCTGCTCACCTCCTCCTCCTCCTCCTGGCGCTCCACCTGGTCTGCCCTGCTGGGCCCAATCCTTCCCTGGGCCTGCCCTTCCTTCCTCAGTGCCCTCTGTCCTCCGCTGACCTGATCAGGAGATTTCAACCAGGGCCGGGGCCGTGGGCTGTCAGGCCACACACTATTTCATCCTAACAGTCCTCAGTGCCTTACATAAAGGAACGATGAGTACGGGATTGTACCCCAGGGTGGGACCCAGTGAAGAAGACCTTGTTGCTCTCAAGGTCAAGTGCCAGCTACACATCCTGAGGCCTCTCTCTGGGCTGATTTTGGGGTTCCAGTGTCCTGCCTGCTCGGAGCTTGTTTAGGGTGAAGAAGGTTCCTTCCCACGGAGAGTGCCATCTGACCTGGAGCAGGCGCTGGTAGCAGCGCTCAGGACCTGGGTGAGGCAGCCCTGCCACCTCCCTTTGCCTCCTACCTTAGTTAGGCCATTGGACTTGACGTCAGGCTCCCTGGGAAGCCTTGGCTGCTCCAGACTCCTGCAGAAAGAGGGGTCTCTCCAGAGAACCCCAGGGGAAAGGCTGCCCCCGATCCGTTCCACAGGGCTGGGGAAATGGAGTCTGAAGGAGCACGCAGAGGAAAGTGAGTGGCGGGGCTGCCGTTTGGGGCTGTCTGTCCCGTCCCGCCTGCGAGGTCCCTGCACTGGGACCTGGTTTCTGGCCAGGTCTGGAGAGGGCCTGGCACTGCTGGGGCTCCTGCTGGCCTTCCCAGCTGTGCCAGCCCAACTCCCCAGAGCACAGTCTGGGGGTGGTAGATTTGGAGGGAGGAGTCCTGGCAAAGTAACGAAGAGGGCTCCAGGTAGGTACCCACATATTAAATTAGCCCTCAGAGGAGAATGCCAGAGTCTGAGGTGTTTGGTGAGTGGGGCAGTCTGCACCCTTTCCGCATCATACGCCTTCCTCCTAGGCCTAGGCCCCATTCTCTGTCAGCACCAAACCCCTCCTAGAGCAGAAAGGTGGCTTGGGGGCCCGGGGGGCCCTGCCAGCCTCTGCTGCACCTTTCCTAGCTGAGTCTGTGGGCCCTTGGCTGTCTGATCCAGGGCGCTGTTAGAGGGACTTCGCTGTGGTGGGACAGAGAGGTGGCACTTTTGCCTCACCTGAGCCCTTGGTGTGCAGACAGCTGCGCCCCCTACCTGCCTGTCCCTCCTGTTCAGCTACAGTGTTTTCAGCACTTCACTGGAGCACTTGAGGAACTTCAGGGCAGAAGATGTTTTTTTAAAAAGCCAGAACATGGATTCCAGATCCATGCAGCCACTCACTCACTGCGAGGCGCGCAGAAATCCCTTAGCCTCTCTCTGCTCTTCCCTCCCCCTCTCTGCAGACCCCGCACTGGGCTGCAGAGGGGCAGAGGGCAGCAGGAGCCATGTTCCAGATTGCCCAGAGAATTCCGGGATTGGCCATGAGGGCCAATGAATGACAGAAAGCGGGGCTCCCAGGAAAGGGACGCACAGCGGGAGAGGCCACGAGGTCCATGGAGAAGGGGAGGAGGACAGAGCCTGATCGTGTCATGTCTCAGGGCTCACCCACAGAACTGAGGCAGAGGCGGAGCTGATTGACAAGGGCACAGGACTGGCTAGTCCAGGAGAGCTGGTGCCGGGCTGCTGCCCAAAAACTGCAGAGAAGAGGCTTTGCAGGGCCCACAGACACTGCTCCCGCCTTGCCTCAGCTCTTCCTATGAGTGGCTCAGAACCACCTGAGAAGGCTGGGAGACCATGAGACTCCAGTAGACATGAGGGATAAGGCCATTTGTAAGACTTGGGAATCAGAGATTCAAATTGGAGGGGTGAGGAAGGAATTCCTAGACAGGGGCAAGAGGTTCAGCAACCCTGATGAGCTTTGCATTAAAGGACTTGTCAGCATGTTGCATGCCAGGTAGGTTCAGTCTGCTGTGATCCAAATGCGAGGAAACCAGCTCCTCGGAGAAGGAGAAGGAGGCTTTGGTCAGGAAAACCGTGTGGTGCAGAAAGTCAAGAGGGCTTCCTTTGTGGGAAGCATGGAGTCACTGTAATCCTTTCAAGATTGAGAAGGTCATGAGGCACGTGCCTCAGACACAAAGACCCTGTGGATCGCTTATGTCAAGTGGCCTGTAGGGGCTGTAATTCCAGTCGTGGTCATTCATTCCTCTCACCTGGTCCCACTCGGAAGAAGTGCAGTCGCTGACCCTGGGCCAGGGATTTTTCCTGATCTAAAGCTAACCAGCAGATAGAGAGATGAAAGCGCGGCCTTTGGCCTCATTATGCCTGGCTGTAGTTTCACCATCTGCCTCCCTGAAGCTGAGACTCAGCCTGGGTATGGCACACGTTCCCTCTCATCTTGGTTTCCTATTAGTCACTTTGTGTGCCCAGTAGGTCATTTTCAGTTGAGTTTTCAGAGTCAGCGCTAATGGATGAGTTGGTTCTCATCTAATTTGTCTTCCTCAGCTTGCTCTCACCCCTGCACACAAGGCCAGTCTGCAGGGCCACCCTGCGCTCAGGCTAGCCCACCCTCTTCCTCCCTGCATCAGAAGGGAGCCACCGCCAAACGTCCCCCAGCCCCGTGGGCAAGGCCAACCCCAGGAAAAGTGTCTCTGAGATCAAAGGCCATGCTTTCCCCCAAGGACTTGTTCCCACAAGCTTCTGTGCCTCAGATGTATTTTCCTGGAAAAGGTTACGTGCTTCTAGGAGAGTTAATTGGCTTAGCTGTTTTAATAAGCTCTCTTGAGACATGCATTCAACAGTTGCACACCTGTCTCGCAACACATAAAATGCAGCGCACAGGGGTTATTGTTACAAGATGTGTCAAAGTTGGCAGGCAGCAGGAGCTACACTTGGAAGGGGAAACCTAGGCTCTAGGAAGTTTGGAGAAATGTAATTTTTATGGGCTCAACTTGGCGGTCCTTGGAGAGAGTTGCCAGGAAGCGAGTCTCCTTCAGGAAGGCAGTGCGCACAGTGGAAAGTACCAGAGCTAGACCCGATGGCTGGCAGGCCGGGAGACCTTGGGAGGTTCACCTCTCCCATAGGAGGCCTCTGTTTTCTCAGCTGTAGATGAAGGGGTTTGAGGTACGATGGCAGCTACAGCTGTGAAAGCTGTAAATTGCACAGGATGCCACATCTATGGGGGGCATCGTCCGTATTGTAGACGTTACAGATTTGCATATTTGTGTTGACAATTTTTGGTCCAAGCCAAAAAAGTGTTATAAAAAAATAAGTGTATCAAAATAATTTTCTAATGGGTGGAAGTTATATGTTTTGAAGAAGAAATACCTTATCATCATCATTATTATTATTATTTTGCACAAAAGCCTATGGGTTTAGTGACAGCTGTCATTGATTGTCCTTTAAGTTCTCACTAATGCTCTATTTTCCAATCAGGATGTAGAAGACTGCCCGAGATGGGAATACCCAGCAAGAAGGCAGACTCTAGACAGAGATAAGAGGAGGTCCTAAAAACTGAGCCCTAATTAAGGGCATTTCCCTGCGATGTTCCCTGGGAATGATGAGGAAACAAGACAGAATAAAGCTAAACCACGCCCTCAAAGTTGTCATGAAACCAAAATCTTGCCCCAAGTCCCTGATTAATGTTTGAAATTGTGAAAGGCAGCCCATCGCCCTTGTTGCCGCCTTCCCCACAGATCCCTGAGGCAGAGATTCAGAAAGCCCTGCTTTCCTCAGTCATGTTGGGGGGACTTGCAAGATCTCAGCTGACCAGATTCCATGCTCCCTGTGGAGCCATGAAAATGGCCCGGAGGCAGCAGCCTGCGAGGTTGAGCAATGCTCGCCCACTTCACAGATTGAGCCTGTGGGAGATACAGGAGAGGGGCCCACAGACTCCTGATTAGACAGCTGCCTCCTGGGATTCACACAACACTCCCCCTCCAGTCTGATTTCCATCAGATAAAAACTAGAGAAAACGAAACAAAGCTCCCACGCAAATTCACCTCGGTTAAATGTCTTCTTTTGAGAAGTGTCTGTTCATGTCCTTCGCCCACTTTTTGACGGGTTGTTTGTTTTTTCTTGTAAATTTGTTTGAGTTCATTGTAGATTCTGGATATTAGCCCTTTGTCAGATGAGTAGGTTGCGAAAATTTTCTCCCATTTTGTAGGTTGCCTGTTCACTCTGATGGTAGTTTCTTTTGCTGTGCAGAAGCTCTTTAGTTTAATTAGATCCCATTTGTCAATTTTGGCTTTGGTTGCCATTGCTTTTGGTGTTTTAGACATGAAGTCCTTGCCCATGCCTATGTCCTGAATGGTAATGCCTAGGTTTTCTTCTAGGGTTTTTATGGTTTTAGGTCTAACGTTTAAGTCTTTAATCCATCTTGAATTGATTTTTGTATAAGGTGTAAGGAAGGGATCCAGTTTCAGCTTTCTACATACGGCTAGCCAGTTTTCCCAGCACCATTTATTAAATAGGGAATCCTTTCCCCATTGCTTGTTTTTCTCAGGTTTGTCAAAGATCAGATAGTTGTAGATATGCGGCGTTATTTCTGAGGGCTCTGTTCTGTTCCATTGATCTATATCTCTGTTTTGGTACCAGTACCATGCTGTTTTGGTTACTGTAGCCTTGTAGTATAGTTTGAAGTCAGGTAGTGTGATGCCTCCAGCTTTGTTCTTTTGGCTTAGGATTGACTTGGCAATGTGGGCTCTTTTTTGGTTCCATATGAACCTTAAAGTAGTTTTTTCCAATTATGTGAAGAAAGGCATTGGTAGCTTGATGGGGATGGCATTGAATCTGTAAATTACCTTGGGCAGTATGGCCATTTTCACGATATTGATTCTTCCTACCCATGAGCATGGAATGTTCTTCCATTTGTTTGTATCCTCTTTTATTTCCTTGAGCAGTGGTTTGTAGTTCTCCTTAAAGAGGTCCTTCATGTCCCTTGTAAGTTGGATTCCTAGGTATTTGAAGACATTTATGCAGCCAAAAAACACATGAAAAAATGCTCACCATCACTGGCCATCAGAGAAATGCAAATCAAAACCACAATGAGATACCATCTCACCCCAGTTAGAATGGCAATCATTAAAAAGTCAGGAAACAACAGGTGCTGGAGAGGATGTGGAGAAATAGGAACACTTTTACACTGTTGGTGGGACTGTAAACTAGTTCAACCATTGTGGAAGTCAGTGTGGCGATTCCTCAGGGATCTAGAACTAGAAATACCATTTGACCCAGCCGTCCCATTACTGGATATATACCCAAATGACTATAAATCATGCTGCTATAAAGACACATGCACACGTATGTTTATTGCGGCATTATTCACAATAGCAAAGACTTGGAACCAACCCAAATGTCCAACAATGATAGACTGGATTAAGAAAATGTGGCACATATACACCATGGAATACTATGCAGCCATAAAAAATGATGAGTTCATGTCCTTTGTAGGGACATGGATGATTGGAAATCATCATTCTCAGTAAACTATCGCAAGAACAAAAAACCAAACACCGCATATTCTCACTCGTAGGTGGGAATTGAACAACGAGAACAACACATGGACACAGGAAGGGGAACATCACACTCTGCGGACTATTGTGGGGTGGGGGGAGGGGGGAGGGATAGCATTGGGAGATATACCTAATGCTAGATGACGAGTTAGTGGGTGCAGCGCACCAGCATGGCACATGTATACATATGTAACTAACCTGCACAATGTGCACATGTACCCGAAAACTTAAAGTATAATAATAATAAATTTAAAAAAAAAACTAAAAAAAAAAAATTCACCTCAGAATAATTAACTTTGCTCCCTCTAAAACTTTGCTAAATCTGAAACTGCTCTCTCTTCCACGCTCCATTTCTTTGCCATTGTCATTTATTGCTGGCCGTTGCCTAGCCAGTCATTTATTCACTCTGGGTTTTAACATTAGAGGTAAGGGCAGATGTTTTCCCTTTTGGGATTTCACTGTGGAGAGACCATTCTGCAGAGACGGAGCAGAAGGATTGCACCTGTCCAGTCTCCATCCACTTGGGTTGCAGTCCCATCCCTTCTCAGAGACACATGACTTCCACCCAAATGAACGGTGTCTGCAGGACTTGCAGTCAGAGCACCTCTGATGGGTGGAGATAGGACCTTCTCACCCCATTATCTGAGTCTGTAATCATCTTAGTAGATCGTAATTAGGATGTCCTATTTGCCCTGGCTTCGAAGTTTCTTCCTCTCTCTGCTCTGCACATAGAGCTTTAGTTGGGGGATAACCTTGAAGAGAATCCCTTATGCCATTGTCAGATGGATCTCACCTCTTACCTCCAACTGTCAACATCACTTCGGGCCCAGTTGCTTCCAGGATATCACAGTTCCCATAGAGTACAGCTTCTGCTGCCTAGTTTCTGAGTTCAGGAGTCTTCAGACTTAATTCCCAGGGATTTCCAAGAGCAAGATTAGTTTTAAAGAAACCAATTCTAAGATCCTCAACGTCCATACCTATTGCTAAAGTCATCCTGACTAAAAAATGTTCTTTCCTGTTATATGTAAGAAAAAGATACCTCTCACTCATCAAGAATATTCCTAAGATGCATTGACATGGTATATAAATGCCTTAGCACCAGACAGATGGTTCAAAATATTGATGTAAATGTTGGAAAGTGAGTGAATCCAGTAACAAAATAACAGAACTTAAAAGAAAAGATGTTTCCAGTGCTTGCTTTTTAATTATTTAAGAAAAACTTAATTGAGTTGTCAGCTGAAATGTTGTTTTCAAATGCATGATGATAGATCACTGTGTGATTTTGGCATTCAAAGAAGCAGTTCAAAGAATTAAATGACATTGGTACAAAAACTCCTTCTATTTCTATATATTTATTTATGTGAACAACTTTCTCAGCACTTACATTTAATGATTAGAAATAGCATTGATTCTAAACTTGTCTCATTCTAGAAATCAGTCATATTTATCCATGAATATACAAATTAATGTTTTAAAGCACACCTACTTCTTTCATTAAGACATGCATTTCTAATAAAATGTAAAGATAATTTCTAAAATTGTAACCTTTTATGTTTAAAAATTATTTATTGAAATGTGGGGTTCTAGTTGGTACAATGCCCAGCTAAGTTGTTTTGAAACAATGCATCTCTCCAGGAACAACTAGAAAAGCTGCTGGCCTGCATGCATGTGTGCATGTGATGGACCAGAGACATGCCAAGACCTGGAGAAAGAGGTGCATCCAGCAATGGTACCCATCTCTCCTTCAGTCAAATGCTGATCAGAAAAGCAGCAGTTGAGAGGTCAAGAGACATGGCAGCACTATTGGTTAGGGGAAAGGACAAAAATTGGAGTTCAGGGCCCACCAAGGAAAATAAATCTAGTAAAAATCCAGACTTTCAGTTGGAACAGTAAAAAGCAACACCCTAGCAGTAAGAATAAGCTAGAAATAGACAAGGGGCAAGCCTTCATAAAGACACAGCTAAGCTTCAAATCATCTTAATCCTTGACAATCCACTCTGGATTAAGGTAGTCTGCTCATAGCCTAAATCCTCACCATGAGCAAAACTGTGTGCTCACTGGAAGATAACTACATATCCTGTTAAGTGGTATTTACAATTTTATGCATATAATATGTAGTATTCAATTTAAAAAAACAGATTATAAGAAAACAAGGCCTGACTGAAAAACCAAGAGAGAGAAAAAAAGCAGAATAGACCCAAAACCACTATAGGCCGGGCACAGTGGCTCACGCCTGTAATCCCAGCACTCTGGGAGGCTGAGGCAGGTGGATTGCTTGAGGTAAGGTGTTCGAGACCAATCTGGCCAACATGGTGAAACTCCATCTCTATTAAAAATACAAAAATTAACCAAGTGTGGTGGTGGGTGCCTGTAGTCCCAGCTACTCAGGAGGCTGAGGCAGGAGAATTGCTTGAACCTGGAAGGCGGAGGTTGCAGTGAGCTGAGATTGCGCCACTGCACTCCAGCCTGGGTGACAGAGCGAGACTCCATCTCAGAAAAACAAAAAGAACTCTGATAAAAGACTAAATCACAAAATGGAGACCTGCAGTAGTAAATTAAAATCTTTTTTACAAAGGGAACTCTAGAAATAAAGACAGAGCTATCCAGCTTCAATGTGAAGAGGCAAAAGGATGAACAAGGCAGAAAAGAATGTAAGAGACATGCGGGATATAGTGAAGGGGTCACAGCAGGAGAGGGAAAATGGGGCAGAAGTAATATTTGAGTAATAATAATGGAGAATTTCCCCAAACTGACAAGAAATACCAAACTATACATTCAAGAAGTGCTGTGAAACAGGAAAGAGCATCATGGATTTCAGAACTGGTGAAAACCAAAGACAATGAGAAAATCTTAAAAGAAGCCAGAGAAAATTGTTCAGTGGGGCAATAATAAGACTGACAGCTGACTTTCCAACAAAATATTTGAATCCAAGGAGACAATGGAATGAGATCCTCAAAATGATATGAGAAAACAGTGATCAACGTAAAATTCTATATCAAGTGAAAATATTCTTCAAAAATGATAGCATAGTAAACTGAGACAGCAACCATAGAAAATATAGAGATAGCAAACTGAGAGAACTCATTGCCAGCTAGAGTAAAGGAAATATTAACTTCTTTAGACAGAAGGAAAATGATCACAGATGGAAGCACAGAGATGGAGGAGGAAATGAAGAGTAATAGAAAGGCTGAGTGTGTAGGTAAATTTAAATAAATAATAATACTAAAAATCCCTTTTTTGGATTAAAATCCTGTAGAGAATTAAAGTACATGACAATAGAAGCACAGAAGATGGGAGAAATGTAAATTTCAGAGTTAAAGTGTCTGAATGTTCTTGTATTTTCTGGGAAGTTGTGGAATGAAATTTATATTTTAATATAAATTTTATATTTATATAAAATTTAATAGACTAATAGACTTTAATAGACTAATATTTCCATTTTTATCATCGCTGGGGCCCTTTGCAAGGAAGAGGTTAATCAAAGTATACAAATAGCAAACTAATAGAGGAAGGGAAATGGCACAATAATAATAATGTGTACTTTATTCAAAAGAAATTAAAGAAGGAGAGGAAAAACTATCAAATGTGTGATGGATATGAAATGTAGTTAATTGGCTGATTTAAACACAAAAATATCAGAAAATACATTAAATGTAAATTTTAATTTTTTTACTAATATTTTGTTAAATATTTTAATGAATCAGAATTTATATAGTGTTCCATTTACATAAAATTCAAAACAGGTGAAGCTAATGTGCAGTGTTAGAACAGTATTCACCCTTGGGTGAACAGTGATGAGAAGGGAGCATGAAAAGGTGCCCACACGTGATGGCCATGTTCTGTTTTCTGACGTGGGTACTCAGTACACAGCTGCCTTTACCTTTTAACAATTCACTGAACAGTACCCTTATGAATTATTCACTTTTTTGCACCTATGTTAAATTTTGATAGAAATTTACTTTAAAAATGACTATCATCAGACTGGATAAAACCAAAAACTAATATAGGCTACTTATAAAGACATACATTAAATATAAGTATGCAGAAAGTTGAAAGTAATAGCATTTTTAAAAGACACATTGCACAAAACACTAAGAGAGCTGGTGCAGCTATAATAACATTAGGCAATGTAGACTCTAATGCTAGAATGTTTTTAAGTTAAGGACATTTCATGTTGATATCAATTTTTATCTGCTAAGAAGATGTAACAGTTCTAAATTGTAATGTTCCTAATTACACACTCTCAACATAAATAAGTCAAAAATGGGAAGCACTAAAAGGAGACACAGGTAAATTCACAATAATAGTGGATTTAAACACATCTTTCTCAATAACTGATAGAATAAGAGAGCAAAAAGTTAGAAAGATACAGAAAATTTACATAACATAATTAACATTTTTACCTGATTGAATTTACTAGAACTCTGCACCTAGCTGCTGAATGAACATTATTTTCAAGTATACATGAAATATTTATCAAAAATGGTCATATGTTAGCCATAAAACCTTTCTCAACAAATTGAAAAGGTCTGAAATCATCAGAATGTGTCCTCTGACTGTCATGTAATTAAACAATAATCAATAATAAAAATAAAAAAATCCTCATACATTTGGAAAATAACCAGACCTCTAAATAACTCCTGATTCAAAGAAGTAATTGTGAAAACTTAGAAAAATCTTGAACTGAGGTATAGTAAAAATGCTACTTATGATGTAGTGGCATAAGACGAATGCAGCTAAAGCCATCCTTAAAAGGAAATTAACAGGCATACAAGATGCATTAGCTAAGAAGACCAAAAGTAATTATTTGTCTCTAATTCAAGGCAAATTTAATTATCCCCAAATGTAAAGAAGAAAATCATGATGAGCAGAAATGAATAAAATAGAAAATAAACATACAACAAAGAAAACTGACAAAGCCACATTTGTTTTCAGGAAAAAAAAACTGTTAAAGTGGATGAAAACTTGACAAGGCTTATAAAGAAATAAAGAGAGAAGACACAAATAGCCAATAATAAAATGAAAAAAGGGACATCAACAGAGAACCTGTAGACCGTAAAAAGCCAGTAATACAGTGTGAAAATGTTACACCAATGTATTTGAAAGCACACATGAAACAGACAGATTGCTAGGGGAAACATCACCAAAACAGAAAAAAAGAAATAGAAAATTGGAATACTTCTGTATCAGTTTTAAAATTAAGTCTTTAAAAACCATTCCTAAAATAACCCAGTATTAGACACTCCACTAGTGAAGTTTTCAAACATTTAAGGAAAAAATAATAACAATCTTACAGAAATTCTTCCAGAGAATGCATAAAGATAAATCAAGCCAGGCATGGTGGTGCACACTTGTAATCCCAGCTACTTGGGAGGCTGAGGCAAGAACATCCCCAGAGTTCAGGAATTCAAGACTGGCCTGGCCAACATAGTGTGATACCAGCTCTAAAAATAAATAAATAAATAAATAAATAAATCACTTCCATAATGAGGTTAGTGTAATCTTGATACAAAAATGTGACAGACATTAAAGAAAGTAAAATTACAAGACAACCTTTTTCATGAACATAGATAGAAAAATTAGAAACAAAGTATTTGCATCCTGAATCTATCAATACATCAATAGAATAATATATGCCAACCAATTGGGTTTATAAAAGGAAAACCCAGGTTTAACATTGAAAAATCACTCCAGCCTGGGTGACAGAGTGAGGCTCCATCTCAAAAAAAAAAAAATCAATCAATATCATTTACAACAGTAATAGAATGAAAGAGAAAATCATCTAATCATTTCAGTAGATACATGAAAAGCAATTGATACAATCCTAAACTAGATTTATTAAAATAAAGTTGGGTAATTAGTACACTGCACCCTTAGTGTGATAAAGGATATCTACCAAAAAAAAAAAATGACAGCAAACATCATAGTTTATGGAGAAATGCGTTCAGGACTATGGTAAGGGTGCCTCCTAGCATGACTTCTATTTAGCTTTGAACTGGAGGGTCCTTCGGGGGAGCAGGGGAAGATGACAGGGATAAAACAATTAAAAAGGCAAAAAACTGTCATTATTCACAGATGACTGTTTTGGAAAAACCCCAAAGAATTCACTTTTAGAATTAATAAGAGGCATTTTGATATAAATTCAAAATTTAAAAATTATTGTATTGGTATCAACAGAAAACTGAGAAAAAATTAAAAGGTCAATACCATTTATAGTAAATTCAAATACGTGAAAGATGTAAGAATAAATCTAATAAAAATGGCTCAAGAACTTAATATCAAAAAGCATTTAGAGAAATGTAAAAAGACCTAAATAATTGGAAAAACATGTTTATAAACTGGTAGTCTTAGTATTTTATCAGTTTTCTCAGAATGGATCTACAGATTCACTGTAATCCCAATCAAAATCTCAACTGTGTGTGTGTGTGTGTGTGTGTGTGTGTGTGAATTGACAGGTTGATTCTAAAATTTATATGAAGTGCAGACTCCAGAATAGCTGAAACTATTTGGAGTCAGATGAACAAAACAGGAAGATTTACTCCATTAATAGATACAGACCTACTTTAAACTACAAAAAGTAAGACAAATTGTATTTCCACAAGAATAGTTAAATAGACTAAGGGTAAAGGTCAGAAATTCCTGAAATAAACCCACAAACATATGATCCAATACCTGATTTATGACCGTGACACTCCCACAAAGTGATAAAAGATAGTCTCCAAAAAATTATGATAGATCAATTGGAGATTTTATATATATATATATATATATATGTGTGTGTGTGTGTGTATATATGTATATATGTATATATATGTGTGTATATATGTATATATGTGTATCTATATATACATCTTCTGACTATCTAATACCATATATGAAAATTAATTCTAGGTAATTCCTGATGGATTGTAGATCTAAACGTAAAATGGAAAACATAAGGCTTCTATGTTTAGAAAAATTTGGAACTGAAGAAAGAAAACATAGGTGAATATCTTCATGACTTTAGATAAGAAGAATATTTCTTAAGCAGGAAAAGATAGCACTAACAGTGTAGAAAAATGACTGATGAAGTCATTAAAATTAGAAGCTTCTCTTTATGAAAAGACATTACTAGAAAGGACAAAAATAATTACAAAGTATGAGGAAATAAAACAAACAACGAGTTGATATCTGGAACATATGCACAATTCCTATAAATAAAAAGGAAAAAGTCAACTCAATAGAAAAATATGAGCTAACACTTTACATAATTGGGTATCCCAATGGTCAATAAACATATGTAAAGACACTCAGCCTTGGTAGCAAAAAAAAAAGCAAAATAAAACTACAATGTGAGAACTCATCATATCCACTGTGATGGTTATTTTTATGTGTCAACTTGACGGGTAGAGGGGTCCCCAGATTAAATATTATTTCTGTGTGTTTCTGTTGGGGGTTTCCAGTTGAGATTGACGTTTGCATCAGTGGACTCAGTAATGTATTTTTCCCTCCCCAATGTGGGTGGCCATCATCCAATCCCTTGAGGGCCTGAATAGAACAAAAGGCTTAGGAGGGAAGGGGTCACTCCTTCCTACCTAATCGCTTCAGCTGGGACATCCATCTTCTGCTCTCAGTTCTCCTGGTTCTCAGGCCTTCAGACTGAATTAGGACTGAATTAGGACTGAATTACAACCACCAGGTTTCCTAGATCTCCAGCTTGTGGATGGCGGATGGTGGGACTTCTCAGCCTCCATAATTGTGGAAGCCAATTCCTCATAATATACCTCTTTATATATATATATATGTGTGTGTGTGTGTGTGTGTGTGTGTGTTCTATTGGTCCTTGTTTCTCTACAGACTCTTGATAGTCACAGACACTGAAATGGAAAATGGGTAATTTTGAAAACCAACAAATCCAAGTGTTGATGAGGATGGAGCAACTGAGTCTTAGAAAGTGCTGGTAGAGGCAGGGCGTGATGGCTCACACCTGTGATCCCAGCACTTTGGGAGGCCAAGGCAGGTGGATCACCTGAGGTCAAGAGTTCAAGACCAGCCTGGCCAACATGGTGAAATCTCATCTGTACTAAAAATACAAAAAAAAAAAAAAATTAGCTGGGCATGGTGATGGGTGCCTGTAGTCCCAGCTACTCGGGGAGGCTAAGGCAGGAGAATCGCTTGAACCCAGGAGCAGAGATTGCAGTGAGCTAAGATCACTCCACTGCACTCCAGCCTGGGCGACAGAGGGAGACTCCATCTCAAAAAAAAAGAAAGAAGAAAGAAAAGAAAGAAAGAAAGAAGAAAGAGAGAGAGGAGAGAGAAAGGAAGGAAGGAAGGAAGGAAGGAAGGAAGGAAGGAAGGAAGGAAGGAAGAGAAAGAGAAAGAAAGAAAGAAAAGGAAAGAAAGAAAGAAAAAGAAAGAAAGAAAGAAGAAAGAAAGAAAGAAAGAAAGAAAGAAAGAAAGAAAGAAAGAAAGAAAGAAAGAAAGAAAGTAAGTGCTGGTGGAAGCAAGTTGAAACAATAGCTTTACAAAACTCTTTGACATTATCTTATAAAGTTGACTGTATACGTTCCCCAAATCGAGCTCTTCTCTTAATGCGTGTATCCTAACAGAAATGCATACCTATGAGCACCAAAGAAAGTGTACAGAAATGTTTCTGTCGGCATTATCTACTATATTTGAACACTGGCAATGACCCAAATGTTCAACAACTTTAGGATAGATAAATAGTGATACAGTCACATAACGGAACTTCTGTGTCCTAATTGGCATATTACAAGGCAGTTGGAAATTAACACTACAAAATAAGTTTTGGTTCCTTATGACAAAAGCAACATTTATTTTAGAAAAGTTAGTTCCATTAAGATAAGTAATAATAAGAATAGAAAGTCACCACTCTCTCTCTCTTGTCAGTTAGGACTTGTCTGCTGCAAATGATATAGAATGTAGTTTAGACTGGATAAACACAAAGGAATTGATTTGTATCATATAACAAGGAGTGCTTTATGTGGTTCAGACACTGACCAATGTCATTTTTAAAACCCAAGCTCTTTTTTTTTTGTTTTGTTTTGTTTGATTTGGAGTCTCGCTCTGTGGCCCAGGCTGGAGTGCAGTGGTGTGATCTCGGCTCACTGCAAGCTCCGCCTCCCGGGTTCACGCCATTCTCCTGCCTCAGCCTCCCGAGTAGCTGGGACTACAGGTGCCCACCACCACGCCCGGCTAATTTTTTGTGTTTTTAGTAGAGACAGGGTTTCACCGTGTTAGCCAGGATGGTCTCGATCTCCTGACCTCGTGATCCACCCACCTCGGCCTCCCAAAGTGCTGGGATTACAGGCATGAGCCACCGCGCCCGGCCAAAACCCAGGCTCTTTATATCCCTTGCCCATGTCAGCACATCGGCTTATCCTCATGCTTGTTGCCCTATAGTTTCAAGGCAGCTGCTGCAGACCCAGGGATCCTGCCCTCACAACCGCATTCCAAACTGGAGAAGAGAGTAGCTTGGCCAGCAGCACACCTTGTCTTTCATGAGGAAGCAAAGCTTCCCACCCTAAGCTCCGCACCCAATCTCAATGCCACTTCTAAGTCAAATGACAATTCCTACCCACAAGGGGACCTCAGGAAGTGAGGAAGTTTTCCTCTTTATATTCGACAAAACAGAAACAGAGAAGGGAGTTTAGAATCACTTAAATCAACCAAAAAAAGTCTGCCAAACCAGTCATTGAAATTGTGTCCTTTCTTCTATTTTGTTGTATTTACTTCTACTCTTTTTTGGACATAAACCTGCTTTAAATACTTCCAAAAAGGAGATCATCTGTTATATACTATTTTGTAGCTTTTTTCTTTCAAAATATTATGCCACTAAATAAAATGGCATAATTATTTTAACGCCTGCATATTACTTCATTATGTGGATATGCTATAATTTAACCATACCTCTATTATCAAATCTTTAAATTGCTTCTCAGTTTTATAAATAATATTGTAATAAAGATGCTTGTATATACAACTTTATTTTTTAGAGTATGTTTCTAGCAGTGATTTGCTAGGCAAAGCATGTAGACCATAGAAGTTGTCTGAGTTTCACAACAACCTTAGTCTCAATGGGTAACAGTGACCCTGAAATCCATGTCTAGGTGTATTTTTCAAACACAGGTCTTGATGCGTAGTGGATGGGAGTTCACTTGATCCATAAGTTGAAACGTACTTATGGAATGCTAATAAGCATTTTTTTAAAAACACAGAACAGAATAGAAGAAGAAAGTATTTGTGTACATTGCCTATAATTTGGTGAAATTTTGTTTCTGGTGTGTGTGTGTGTGTGTGTGTGTGTGTGTGTGTGTATGTTGGGGGGGTGTTTGTGTACTACGTCAGTGCATTTTTCCACGGATTACAGACAAAAAGTTTTCAAAACTTTCCAATAGAAGAACGCTTACATGCCTCCTGATTTCCAGCATTCATTTCTTATTTCTTTTTCCTGTTCGAGAAGTTCTAGAACAGTAATAATAAATTACCATGGTGATGATAGCATTCCTGATTTGCTTCTCACCTAAATGAAAATGCATCCCTTGAAGTTTTGAAAAATGTAGAGTTTTCACTGTTGTTAATAACTAGCCTGTCGGTGAAGTTTTCATTTCCTCTTTACATCAAGTTACATAAAGGTTTCTTTTTAATTTATAGGCAGTTAGATTTATTGGTGGTTAATTATCATGACTAATTCCTAATTTTATTACCCATGATCAGATAGTATGCAATTGTGGCCTACAAAAATTCTGCTTTTTGGAAGTTACTGAGATTTTCTTTTTGACCAGAATATGATCAGTTTTTTCAACAGTTATATTCGAAAATAATGCACATTCTATGCTAATAAGATAAACTTTTCAATATCTATTGAATCCAGCCTATTGATACTAACATTCAAATCCTCTAGATTTGTATTTATTCTTTATGTCTTGAACTGTCATGAAAGTTTTCCACCAAGTTGCAATTTTGCACGTTATATTTCCAAGATTTCTTTGTGTGTGTAGGTTTTTTTTTTTGCCCATTCTTTTATATCTATTCTTCTGTGTCATTTTATTTCAAATGTGCATTTTGTAAATAAAGTTGGATTTTATTTCTTACATCATCTTGACATTCTTTAAAAATAGGCTAACTGCCCAGGCATGGTGGCTCATGCCTGTAATTCCAGCACTTTGAGAGGCTGAGGCAGGCAGATCACTTGAGATGAGGAGTTTGAGACCAGCCTGGCCATCATGGTGAAACCTCGTGTCTACTAAAAATACAAAAATTAGCCAGGCATGGTGGCATATGCCTGTAATCCCAACTACTCAGGAAGCTGAGGTAGGAGAATTGCTTGAACCCGGGAGGTGGAAGTTGCAGTGACCCGAGATCGTGCCACTGCACTCCAGCCTGGGTGACAGAGTGAGACTCTGCCTCAAAAAAAAGTAGAATTTAATCTATTCACAATAATTTTGAAGTTAATAAATTTGGTTTTCTCCTTTTTTATTCATTCAGTATTAATGCTTCCTGGTTGCTTCCTTTTATTCACTTATATGTACTTTGATATTTGATCAATTTTTTTTGTTTTTTTCCTTGATGACTCAAAAGCTATGCTGTTCTGTATTTTCAAATCTTTTAAATCAATATCTAGAATGAAACATTATATATTGACTATCCCTTCCCTTCATCAACAATGAAAATGCTTTCTCTTCCTTCCCTGGCACTCTCTCCCAATTTCTGTTGACATAATTTGGAACTTTAGACCCAGATTATTACTTTAAAAATGCTAAGTATACACCTTATTCTTCCATAAAATATTTTCACATAACTACCTTAATAGTTATCACTTAGGCTTAACGATTTTTTAAAAATTATTTGGATATGGAGTTTCGCTCTTGTTACCCAGGCTGGAGTGCAATGGCTCAATCTCAGCTCACTGCAACCTCCACCCACCAGGTTCAAGGGATTCTCCTGCCTCAGCCTCCCAAGTAGCTGGGAATACAGGCACACAGCACTACGCCTGGCTAGTTTTATATTTTTGGTAGAGGCAGGGTTTCACCTTGTTAGCCAGGCCAGTCTCAAGCTCCTGACCTCAGGTCTTGCTTTTTTATTCAGCCTGACCCACCTCTGCGTTTTAAATAACATATTTAGTCCATTTATTTTTGATGTAATTATTGATGTTTTGGAGTTTAAAACTCTCATCTTCATACTGTTTTTTTACTTGTCTTAACTGTTTTTGTTCCTCTGTTTCTCCTTTCCTATCTTTTTTTCACTAATTGAGTACTTTTAGAATTCTACCATATCTTCTTTATTAATCTTAGATTTTATTGTTTTTTTCCTAATGGTTATTCTAGACATTTCAACACACATCTATAACTTATTTACATCTACTTTAAAATAATATTCACAAATGACATGAGTTTCAAAATTTTATTATATAATGCCATTTGTCCACATATGCACTTTTTATATTCTTACTGTCATATGTTTTACTTTTACGTATGTTGTAAAGTCCATAATATATTGTTATCAATTTTGATTTAGTCAATAATCTTTTTTAAAAATGTATTTTATGTTTAACCTTTCTCACTGACAATTGTGCCGTCTATGGATCTGATTCTGTTGATTATTTTTTCTCTTAATTATGGGGCACGTTTTACTGTTTTTAGCATGTTTCATGATTTTTTATTGTATGTTGGACATTGTGTGAGAAAGAACAATAGAGATAATATGGTAAATAATATTTTCCCCAGAAAGACCATATTTCTTCCTATTTCATTCCTCTAGGGTGGCATCCAAATCAATCTAATCTGTAGCTGAGCTGGGTCTGCGCTTTCCTGAAGATTTAGTTAGATTCATTTTTCCACTAGTGTCACAGGTGAGAAATGATAAGGACGATCACTTTAGCAAGTCTTGCAATTTGTCCAGTGCTTTACATAGAGAATTCATGCTGCCAACTTCTTGGGTCACTGAGGAATTCTTTTTCTCTCCAGCATTGTCTACAGCTTTCTGCAAGTTGGAAGATCCCTTTCCACTCTGATGTATGTCCTTAGTCTTTGATAAAACTGTTGCTTTGCACTCAGTGAAGAGTTTGTGTACTTTGGGGGAATTTCTCTTGATTCTCCTATCCTACCTTTAGCCTAGGTAGCCACGGTAGGCTGCTGCCATGATGTTTGTTTAAATTAAAATTAATTATAGTTTTCGAAAATACAGAAGTCCATAGCACTATAACAACAGCTCCACTTTGACACATACTGCCTCTACCTGTACTGTAGAATTTTACATGTAATTAATCAATAAAAAAAAGTTTGTTTTCTACTTTAACCTGAGGCAAGGGCAAATTACTCAGGTGAACTGTATTACTGTGCCAGTGTTAAGTCCAGATTCATTTTATTTAAGTAAAGGTATTAAGAGAACATCTGTTTGATAACATTAACAAACATATTTATTGTTGCTCGTACCAAAAACATTTATAGTTTTATATTATGTGCAAACACCAAAAAGGATGCGTTTCTCTTATCTGCAAAACCATGGTCATACTGCATTACTTACAATTTACATACAGATGTGTCAGAGATGCTAGAAGCAGACACCTGGTCACACTGTACATGACTGTTAAACTTTTAAAGGGTGGGTGATATCTTATTTGCTTTGGGGTTTCTGGCACTGAGCACAAGGTGGATACAGAAAAAATAGCTTTGAGAGAGCAATAACAATTCACAAATCACCTTCAACAGATAAAACACTGGTATCTAAAGTGATATAGTCATTCAAGATTCCACTGACATTTCTTACTCTAATGAATATTTTCCTGGAAGTCATGAGCAGTATTTATTTCTGGGTCACCTAGCCTATTTTTCCCTCTCAAAAAACATGTTTTGGAAAAGGAAACTTCCTGCTTTTCTAGTTCTGTCACAGTGATTGTAGGAGCCCTTGCTCTCCCTGAATCCAACATATCAAGCAGAAAGCAATAGGGTCTCTCATGACACACCCAGGTCTTGCTATAGTATGCCAGATGAAGGGATGCTTTCTGGAGGCTGCCCTGTCATCTTTTAAATCAGCTGTAACCAGCTGGCAGATGTACCCAGGGGTGGGGTTGATGTGCTTCCTGACAGGGACTCCTTCCTCCTTTCCTCCTGCGCTCCCTCTGCCCCACTTTTACTTACCTCACCTTGGAAATCATTTTCCCTGGGCTACAAGAAAGAGCAGCATCTGGTCTCCTGGCACCATTGTCTGGCATTTTATGGTACTTACAGTTCTCTACACATACAGTGTTGCTCAGAAGTTCTCTGAACCCTTGGTCAAGCTGCTGTCTTTGCCTGGGACTTCCTCCCAGCCCACCTGCATCCCACTGCCGTGGCTAAATCTACAAAACTGAGCCCAACATCGGGACCTGAGGAAGGCTTTCAGGAGGAAGTGATGCCTGAAGTCAGTGCCCTTCATCTGATTCCCACAACACCCAGGAAGCATGCACCTCCCTTTAGACTTCACATACCACACACTTTCCTGTGTCCCCTCCCACTAGACTAAACTCTGGGATGCTCCCGGAAGGAGACCCTACCAGATCCACTCCTGTTTCCAGTACGTCTGAACATAGTGACTCGGTCATAGTAAATGCCCAATAAATATTTACTCAACTAGCAGAAACCAAGGTGGGCACATCCCTCTCCTGTTCTATGTTCCCTAATATGGATGGGTGTTTCTCGGCAGAGCAACTACTTCTACTTGTCCAGGAGTCTGGGGCAGAAAAGCTGAGTCTGTTCACATCGGAATGAGTTTGATTCTTTCACTCTGTTTTGGGCCAGGCAAGGGTACGGCTCAGACCCCATTGCTTGAACTCACTGATTCTTAGCTTGCCAATTTGGCAGAGTACCTCTAAGTCCAGTTAGCTTTTGTATAATGCCACAGGATAGTAAAATATTTATTTTATAATCCTCTGACTAATCAGATGCTACCTAATACTTGATTCTAGAAGAGGCAAAAGTACACTAGAAGACTTTGTTTTCATGAAAGACTTAGATTCATGAAAAATCTATTGAAGAAATTTTCAATTGAGGTATTTGTGTATATTGATTAATTGTGTTTTGTTTCAAATTGGGAAAGACAGTTGTGGTCTAATTTTTGCCAGTCTCTGATGTGGGACACCAGTGTTGCATAGGAATGACATTTGAGAACCTCTGCTCTGGTTATGCAAAATTACAGTTAAATACACCACTTATTAGCAATAAGTTATTTTAGTTCATAAAAATACTCAACATTTTTATTTTTGATTTTGACTAATGGTGTTTGCTTCCTGAAATAGGCTCATAACTCGACATTACTTATTGAAGAGAGTAACTATTTGCCATCTTTTTCCTTCTCAGGCTGTGAGGTTGAGATTCTGGGTGTCAGACCCACCTACTGCCTAGAATATAAAAATGTCCCAACGGATATCAATTTTGCCAATGCAGTCAGCGATGCTCTTGACTCCTTCAAGTAAGTGTCCCAAACTCTAGCCACACCATTTTCTTCCTTGTTTCCAGGACTGATCATGGATCCTAAAGTGAATTAAGAGGGCTTTGTGGAGATGAAATAATGTCAGAGAGTTGGTGAGAGTCTTGCATAGTGATTGTTAACTGCTAGTAGGGAGTAATTGTGAGCAAGTGATTTCAGGCAGGGGCAATCTCTGGAAATGTTGAATTGAGAGCAGGAAAATCCCTAAGGGTTTGAATCTCCTTTTTTATGTTGTTAAACAACGGAGAAACAATATAAATGTCATCATTTCCCTAAGCATTAGTCAGTGAACAATTGTGTCTCTGAAGGTACTAATCAGTATTTGGCAAAAAGGAAGGATATGTGGTCAAATAAGTTTGGGAAAATTGCCTACCCTACCCCCTTCTTGTACCCATGTACAAAATGCATGGGTATATTAGAACACAAAATCTGTTTTTTCCCTCCCACATGGAACCATGACACACAATTTGAAAAATGTAGGAATTAGTAATGCTCTCTTGTATAGCACACAAGAGTCTGTCAAGGACACTGATCAAGACAGTTCAGGACAAAGCCTGAAGTCAGTCTCAGAAATCTCTGGAAGTGGAAGTCAAGATGGGAGCCCAAGTGGGAGTTTGCATTAAGTAGAGATCAGCAACCGAGAGGTTACAGATGCTGGGGGCTTTTGAGTTTCCAGGAGTGGACTTGAGGTCACTGTGGACACTGAATGGGTTTCCTGTGTGCGTCAGGCAGAAGACCCACCATAATCAGAGCAAAGAGGCTGGGGACAGGACCTTCATCCCCCCAAGAAAAGGAGCCTGGTTTCAAGCTGGGCATATCCGAGAACCAACATACCCAGGCACAGTGTACAGAGCACTAGCACGAGCCACATGAAAGGGCCTGTCCCTAAAACTGCCTCAGATACAGAGCTGACCAATCATAGATTTTCTTCTTGCCACGCCCTTCCGATGCCATGGTGAGCAGCAGCCACCCCCACAGAGCTGTGAAAGCAGAAAACAGCACCCTGCCTTCACTGCTTCTTAGAATGATTCCACTTCCACGAAACCTATCAAGAGGGTCCAGGGAGGTGGGGTTCATAAAGGTTCATGCTCTCATTGACAGGTCGGAGAGAAAACAGGTTTAAAACACATAGAAATGGAGAAATAATTGCCCGTGAGTGCTGGAGAACCACACAAGGATGAGCCGGTATATTGCGCTGCAGTCTAGTTTTGTGCGAGTGAAGCAGAATAGCACAGCACGTGTAGCAGATGAGTGGGGCTGGCACTTGGACATTGCTCCATGTCTAACCAGTGCTGTTTCCAACATATCCAGAATGCCAGCCATCCCCACAGGCCATGGCTGTGCCAAATATGAAATTTCGGGTTAGAGTTGTCATACAGATACCTCCAAATAACCCAACAGTCTGTTTGGCAATGTCATCCTTTTTGCATTCATCTTATCTTAACAGCTGATGGATTGTCACTCTGTACCACCCGGTGATTCACAGGTGGGTGAGCACAGAGCACACAGCCATGAGAATCCCAGGTTGGCACTGGCCTACTAAGCAGTGCCAGTGCAGGTTGGCACCGGCCAGTCTAAGCAGACTTCCCTGTCCTGAGAGACACCAGCATGCAGCGGGGAATAAGTGCTGGGCTCTGTTTCCTCTAGAGAAGCTATAGAAATGCATCTTTACCTTGGAGAATATTTAGGAATGGGGAAGGTTCTGGTGGTGGTGGTGGTGGTGGTGGTGGTGGTGGTGTATGAGTGTGTGTCTACCATAGGTATTGGGTTCCACCAGGAAGAAAGGGCTACAAAGAACCGGAAGCCCAGGAAAGGGTCCCCAGCTAGGCTGCCACCTAATGTGCCCTGGCATTACCATACTGCCCAGCTCCACGTATTTAAATTGTGGTCTATGTAGATGGCCTTGAGCTCCATGGGTTGGCATTCACATGGTCTGCAATAAGAATGATGCCCTGGAAGCAGTGAAGGCCTGGGTCGGATGGAAACCAGGTCAGTGTAATTGTCTCATGGGGTCTTCATATTGCCAAAGTTAACAGGGCCACCAGAAACAGCCCCTTTGGGTAGTAGGTGGAAAGATGGAGACCCACTACCTCTAAAGCTAGGAAGCTCTTGACATGTGAGAAAGAAAAGAATAATAATAGGCTGGATGATACTGCCTGTGGAAGACAGTGAGATGACTTGGGCCTCCCCTGAAGACACAGGAAGCCCCTCCTTCAGCCAACCTGTGTGTTATTATTAGAACATGTCTCATCACCTTCTTACAAAGAATAATAAAGGCCTGAAAGTTGTGGGTCAACATTTTTCTTTGAAAGAAATCTAACCTTTGTCTCCTTCAGGAATGAGGTGAGTGAAGAAGATGTCCAGTCTAGAACAGTCTAGACCAGTCAAGAGCACTTTGCCTGTAGCAGCTTGTCCATGCAATCATGTGGCTCAAAGGAATCATTAAGTCTCTTGGTATGTGTGTCTAGCAAAGATGTAGGCTTATTGGTCTGTCCATCAGAGACCCTTGAAAGAGGAGCATGTCTAGAATGCCACAGCTCACCTCTTGACTTCTGTTCAGCTCTACTGCAAATTCCTAACTATAATTTGAGGAACACTTGGAGTTTTCATACATGAGTGCCCAAACATGCACACACATTTCTCCAAGTCACTACAAGACTCACAGAGTGTGTTTTTTAATCCACTTTGCTATTAACTTGAGAGGCAGAGAGAATGGAACCCAGGATAGATGGGCTTTGACAGAAAGCAGGAGAGGCTGTTAAGATCTTGAACATAGAGGTCTGCTCAGGGACATTTCAGCAGAGGATCTATGTCAGCCTGTGGTAGGAAAGAGAATCCCTCGCCCAAGTTTGATTCAGGCATTCCTTCCAGTGCTCATAACGCATTACTGACCCCAGACATATCCTTGTGAAATGCTACCTTTGAATTTGGACAACTTCTAGAATAGGGAAAAGGAGGAGGGAAGGGAATTAGTGCTTTAACAGCCATTGGCTAGTATTGTGTCAATGGGCTTGATATCCAGTAACCCACTTGGTTCTCATGTCCGTGGTATTGTGTAGGCATTGCTCTCCCCACCTTACAAAAGAGGCCACTGGCTCTCTGAAGGTTAAATACTTCTTGGACCTCACAAGCCAGCCAGTGGTGGAGCAAGAGCCCAGCTCTTTCCACAGCGGCTTAGGGCTCAGACTCTGGAGGCCTCCTGCCTTGGGGACACGGTGCCTGAGAACCACTCCAGGGTCAACTCCTCAGTCCTCTACCCTGATCTCTGCCAGCTCACACCTCTAAGACACCCTGAAATTGAGACAGCGACAGGGAGTCCAGACGCGCCTCTTTGCAAGTGTTCTCTTTGGGGCCATCCTAAGGCCTGGGGTTCTGCAGCCTGCAGCCCAGGCACCGGAGCCATGTGCCTCCCACCACACATGGGCAGTCTGCAGGCAGTGCCCCCCACACACGGCCCTTTTTCCTGGCTGAAAAGGAAGCAGGGTTTGTGATCTGCATCACTTACTCCCATCCTTCTGGAAGTCCGATTTGCAGGATATTCGTGGTTCAGTGGGCAGGAAAAGGTGCATGGTGCTAAAGCTGAAATGAGCCTTGAATGGCTCATGGGGTTGGTGGAGGAGAGCAGGGGGTCACAGTGGGCCGGACAACTGCTTCCAGGCTTGTAGAGCAGACTCACTGTGCAGCTTCACAAAAGTGTCAGTCAGGAAACAACTTGGCTGCCGGAACAGTGGGCACAGCCATAGGCTGTGTATAGATATGGTCCTTTGTCAAGCTCCAGGCTACTGAAGACAGCTCTAAAGGACTGCCTTCAGGATCCCAGAGCCTCAGTGGTGCCTGGACTAATGAAGGAATGGATGACACAACTCTTTCCACGGGCCACCAGGAAGCCAGCTCCCCTGTCCTGGCCTGGACCCTCCTCCCTGTAGAGTACAGGGAAGAAGGAGCAGGAATCAGGCTGGGGCTAGGAGACTGGCTCCTCATGCCTGCTCAGCCACATACTCAGGAAAAGCGATCTAGGGCCACCTGGAAGGAGGAGAGAAATGGGAGGCATTTCTTCCCCTCCCCTCCCTTTTACTATGTGTCAAGTGCTTTATACACATCAGCTTGTTTAATACACCATGTTACCCTTTGAGTAGTGTATCAGTTCGTTCTCTTGCTGCTAATAAAGACATACCTAAGACTGGGTAATTTGTAAAGGGAAGAGATTTAATTGACTCGCAGTTCTACAGGGCTGGGGAGGCCTCAGGAAACTTACAATCATGGCAGAAGGGAAAGCAGACGTGTCCTTCTTCACATGGCAGCAACAAGGAGAAGTGCCAAGCAAAAGGGGGGAAATCCCTTTATAAAACCATCAGATCTCATGGGAACTCACTCACGATCATGAGAATAGCAATATCATGAGAATAGCCCCCATGCTCCAATCACCTCCCACTGGATCCCTCCCACAACACATGGGGACTATGGGAGCTACAATTCAAGATGAGATTTGGGTGGGGACACAGCCAAACCATATCAAGTAGGTTTTTCAGATGGGAAAACGGAGGCTTGGAGATAATCTTGCCATTTATCTGAGGCCTCGAGGTTAGTTAGAAGAGAAGCCAGAGTTTGATCCCGAATTTGTCTAGTTCCAATGACCCTGTCAAAAGAGAATTTTCAAAATTAAGACTTGTCATATGCTCAGCACATCTGGGTATGAGGAATATGCCAAGGTTCAACATAGTTTCTTGCTGAGGGGAACCAGGAGCATGACAAAGTTGCTTATAAGGAGTAAATGAGACACACACACACACACACACACACACACACACACACACACACACACACACACACCAAGAAACAGAAGGATGGAGAATGATGAGTGATAATTATTGTTTGATGCAGATATGCTTAATAATATAGAGGATAATCAAACCATAATGTTAGAGCTGCTTTCTCCATCAGACAAAAATAATTTTCATCTTATCAGTTTCCTACAAGCTAACAGCTACGTTTCCGGAGTCTGAACTCCAATCAGTAGTTCAGTCTGGTGACTCAAGCAAGCTTATTAGACAGTGCTCACCATGGCACTGAGAAGACAGGCAATCATACTGTAGGCTTTATTTCTAAGTTTTGGATCATTTTTCTTAACAGTCAGCCACTTTAGTAAGAAAAATGGAAAGAACATTAAGAACTTTTTACATGGCAAAGAAATCAGGACAGAATCATAAGGTGATGGGAGACTCAGGTGTCCCTGAAACCCCAGGGCTAGGAACCCCTTGCAGCTCTCAGGTGACTGTGCTGGGGGCCACATGTCCTTCTAGAATGGTTCCTGGACCTTAGAGCTGTCAATGGCCAGTAGTAGGTGGGCAGGCATGACTACTCGTCACTCCTCACCCAAACAATTCATTGCAAATGAGCTGACCTGGGATGGAAACCAGATCCCTGTGGAAAACAGCTGGCAAGCAAGCATGTGTCAGCTAAACTCCAGACAGGCAAGAGGTCTCAGCCCTTGAAGACATAGGGTCCTAATGAGTCAATGAAATGTCAACGTATCATCCTTTCACAAAAGACATGTGTATAATCCCTGAATCACAGGCATCACAAATCCAGGATTCCCAGCATCTGGGGTTGACAGCTTCCTGACCAAAAGCCACCAGGTAAATTGCCACACATAATGGATGATGTGGAGGTTTGTGAATAGAGTAATAGCCTTAAGGAAACCAGGACAGGAGTGCTGCACTAAGGAGAGGTATCTAACATGAAGAGACCTAGAATTAGTTCATTCGTTAAACTTTAATGCAATGGTAAACTTTATTCATGAAAACTCCTCACTATAGTAAGTCACCACTGAGTTTAATCGGATTTTTCCCTACATGTAAGCCCACTCTGGAAGTGTGGACACCTAAACAGATGCCATACTGTGTGAACAGGCACATCTGAAATGCTAAATGTGCACGTACCTAAAGCAATGAAATGCTGAGGCTTATCCAAAGGACAGATTTTATGGAAGCTTCACTATGTTCAAAGACTGCGAATTCTATGTTCAAAGATTGCAAAGAATTGCTCAGGACCAGCAATTCTTGGTTCAGTGTGTGCTTCTCCCTTGGAGATCTGACCTCATTTATTTTAGGGTATTGGCTTTGTCTGGCCCAGGGACAAGGTTTCGGGGGGCGTGAACACCTTCAGAGAGTGCTATGGGGGTGATAAGGGAGCAAGCTGGCGGGGGCCTCCCTCACCTATGCCTCTCTCCTCTGTCCCTCCAGGAGTGGCCGGGCCGACCTGGCAGCCATATACCATGAGCGCATTGACGTGGAAGGCCACCACTACGGGCCTGCATCTCCGCAGAGGAAAGATGCCCTCAAGGCTGTAGACACTGTCCTGAAGTACATGACCAAGTGGATCCAGGTGACCTGAAGCAAAGACACGTGGCCTGGCCTTCTCTCTGTCACCCTCTGTTTGTCTCCTCCACAGTCACTCCTGTCAACATCTTCCCTCTTACTGCTAAAGGCCAATTGGGCCAGCACAGGCTTTGACGAGTCCCTTGGCTTCACACAATGCCTCCTGCGATACCAAGTGATCCTTTGTTCCACAGCCAGGCCAGTGAGAGAGACTGACCTAGGTGTGCTTTCTCGCCTGGCTCAGCTGGAGAGACACCCAGCTCTGTGGACTCCTAATAAGTTTGGTAGCAGCTTGACATGTAGACAGGTTCCAGTCCTGATTCTACCTTACGCTTTTGCTGAATGACTACAAGTGTTCAGTTTTGTTTTTACCTTTGCTTTCCCTTCCTGTGCTTTATCCTGTACATCTGTAACATGGGCACGTGATAGTTCTCAAACCAGCACACAAATTTGTTGAAAGAGCCAGAGAAGATGCAGAGCGTCGACCTTAAAAAGCTGAAAGTGCTGTGTAAGGTGTCAGCACGAATTGAGTGGGACTGAGCCTCACAGTCCCCTCCGCAAAGGGCTTCTGTTGTGGTTTTGAACTGGGTCTCACCAGGGCAAAATAGTAGAAGATTAAACACAGAACTGAGGAGATAGCCTTTCTCCTATCATTTGTAGTTGACAAGGTTTTCTGAGTGCACGAGCCTCTCTGTTGGTGCCGTAATGACTGTCTTTTCCCACCCCACAGGAGCGGGGCCTGCAGGACCGCCTGAACGTCATTATTTTCTCGGATCACGGAATGACCGACATTTTCTGGATGGACAAAGTGATTGAGCTGAATAAGTACATCAGCCTGAATGACCTGCAGCAAGTGAAGGACCGCGGGCCTGTTGTGAGCCTTTGGCCGGCCCCTGGGAAACACTCTGAGGCAAGACAGACCCGTGGGGGGCGGAGGAGGGCCATGTGGGCCCTCGTGTGTTGCCATCTGCACTGTCTTTTCCTTGTAGTTTTTTTGTTTTGTTTTGTGTGTGTGTGTTTGTTTCTTTTTTTGAGGCAGAGTTTCACTTTTATTGCCCAGGCTGGAGTGCAATGGCGCGATCTCGGCTCACTGCAACCTCTGCCTCCCAGGTTCAAGTGATTCTCCTGCCTCAGCCTCCTGAGCAGCTGGGTCTATAGGCATGCGCCACCATGCCCGGCTAATTTTGTATTTTCAGTAGAGACAGGGTTTCTCCATGTGGTCAGGCTGGTCTCCAACTCCTGACCTCAGGTGATCCACCCGCCTCGGCCTCCCAAAGTGCTGGGATTACAGGTGTGAGCCACCACGCCCGGCCTTTCCTTGTAGTTTTAATACTGACATACAGAGCAGTGTCAGGAGCTCGGGTGCTGGAGACAGATGACCTAGTTTACCTCTCACTCCCTGAGTGACCTCTATCAAGTCTCTGTTTTTTCTTCTCTGAAATGGGCATGATGATACCTACTCCATTGAATGTCATGAGAATTAAATGAGATCAAGGAAGCATCATACAGGCCCTCACCAGGGCTGTTTGTTTGTTTGTTTTTTGAGACGGAGTCTCGCTCTGTCGCCCAGGCTGGAGTGCAGTGGCGCTATCTCGGCTCACTGCAAGCTTTGCCTCCCGGGTTCATGCCATTCTCCTGTCTCAGCCTCCTGGGTAGTTGGGTCTACAGGCGCCCGCCACCATGCCCAGCTAATTTTTTTGTATTTTTTTTTTTTAGTAGAGACGGGGTTTCACCATGTTAACCAGGATGGTCTCGATCTCCTGACCTCGTGATCCACCTGCCTCGGCCTCCCAAGATGCTGGGATTACAGGCGTGAACCACCGTGCCCGGCCTAGGGCTGTTTTGTTATTGGCCCAAATGCAGCACTTCTCAGGCACATCTGGGGAGCATCAGCAGCATCCCTAGGCTGCCCTTTCTCAGGAAAGAGGCTTCTGCCAGGCTGATCTGTTTCTGTCGGGGAACAAGAGGGTAAAGAATGAAGGGAGCTGAGGCTGTATGCAGTGCCCAGCTCCTTATGTCAGGAGCCACCGTTCCCAGCTCTGTGTTCAGTTGGAAGCCAGACAAGCTCCCCACCCTGGCCTCTCTGCCTCCCTGTACGTGAGCATGGTGGTGCTGTCATAGCTGCCTCCTGGCTGCTGTGAGGGATATGGAAGCACGCTGAGCCCACTGCAAGGACAATGTATGTGTCGGTGACCATGATGATCCCCACCAGAGGGTGTGGTTGAGTTCCCACAGTGCCAAGATGGGGGACAAAGCTCTGCTCCCCACAGTCACTGCCCTGCACCAGGGATGACTAGACCTCTGCTTACCCTGCTCTCAAAACAAATATTCTGCCTGGCAGTAGCTGGTGACCTACCCTGAGAAGGGAGGAGGAGCAAGTGGCACCTTCTGCTGGCTGCTTGTCCCCCGAGTTCCTAGTCACTTCCCAATATGGGCTTTGTGGCTTGTCCCACTCCCAGATGAAACTGATCTGGGCAGGAAGCAACTGTCTTCCTGGGGGCAGGCGACCTGCTGCCCCTGGAGGTTGCCAACCACAGGGTACCAGTAGTAGGTCCTGGCCAGCCTGCTTTCTCTCTCCATCCTCACTGCAGCCATGAGTTGACTCTGGACAGTCATTAGTAAGGATGAAGCACTGGTGGAGGCCAGGGTCTCACCTCTTTAGCCCAATCCTTCTGCAAATGCATCCTCCTTTCCTTAAGAACTCCGGATTTCCTTAAGTAGAAAATCATAACTCACGGAGCCTACTGCCCTATAAGATCTGTCTGTTTGGGGTTGAGGAACACAGATGCCCAGAATGCCACTGCTCCCAGCCTTGCTCCATCCCCAGGGGGACAGTCCTTTGTTCTCAGGCTCCATGGTCAGGGACTGCAGGTGCAGGATATGTTTATGCAGTGTTCCCATGAGCTCCCAAAATATGAAATCAGAAACAATATTTTACACATTGGCAGGTTCTTGAAAATACATTCTGGGTTTTTTCTTTTTTTCTTTTTTTTTTTTGGCAAGAAAGATCATCCTTGTGTCCAATTTGGCACTTAGGAACGTGCTGTCTCCAGAACTTGGGCATCAACAGCTTTTGAGCTAGGGAGAGCGCCTTCCAAGGTACTGTTCAAGTCAGGCATTGCAGGCAGCCAAAGCAGTTGGTAGAGTATTCAAAAGCGGGGGCCATGTTTGGGCGACAGTTTGTCATGTGACGGACACAACAGTTTGTGAGACCTGCTGTGTGTCGCTAGATTTTTCACTTATACAAAATCCTTCTGCAAATGCATCCTCCTTTCCTTAAGAACTCCGGATTTCCTTAAGTAGAAAATCATAACTCAGGAGCCGTCAGAAACCATCCACTACATTATTTTACAGAGTTGAGTTGATAAACTCAATCTTATATTCAGTGATGCCCAGAAATATATGCCTGATTTGGCTAAAGGCCAAGTCAATATCAGTCAGTCGATTTTAATTTTAGCCATAGATATTTAAGTGGCTGCTACTATTAGAAATATGTACAGGGCCAGGCGCGATGGCTGACGCCTGTAATCCCAGCACTTTATGAGGCTAAGGTGGGTGGATCACCTGAGGTCAGGGGTTCAAGACCAGCCTGGCCAACATGGCGAAAACCCGTCTTTACTAAAAATACAAAAATTAGCTGGGTGTAGCAGTGGGTGCCTGTAGTTCCAGCTACTTGGGAGGCTGAGGCAGGAGAATTGCTTGAACTCAGGAGTCGGAGGTTGCAGTGAGCCAAGATCTTGCCATTGCACTCCAGCCTGGGTGACAAGAGCAAAACTCCATCAAAAAGAAAGAAAGAAAGAGAGAAAGAAAGAAAGAAAGAAAGAAAGAAAGAAAGAAAGAAAGAAAGAAAGAAAGAAAGAAAGAAAAGAAAGAAAGGAAGGAAAAAGAAAGAGAAAGAGAGAGAGATAAAAAGAAATATGTACAGGGCCACACTCGGTGGCTGAAGCCTATATTCCTAGCACTTTGGGAGGCTGAGGCAGGCAGATGTACAAAGTATGTACAAAGTTTGCATCTTCATCATGAAATTAGCAATGTAGTTAATGGCAAACAAGTACTAGTGCTTTAAAGATTCACATGCAGGCAGGATAGGCTCTAGGTCAAGTTGAAGAACAAATCCTCTTTTTTGATCTTTGCAATATTTAATATCAGGTAGACCAATTTCTTACTTTCCCTTTAATATCAGCATGGGAGTTTTGACATAATATTAGAGCATGGGCGTTTTGACATTATTAGAAAATGAATAAGGTGTGAAAGGTAATGTTACAGCAGACCCTTTATACTCAGAACACCTGAGAAATAGGACATTACCGTTACCTGGGACAGCTGTATGTCCTTCTCAGACCCAATCCCCCTTTTTGCCCCCTCAGAGGAAACCACTGTCTTAAATTATTAAAACCTCCGTTTACAGTTTTACCATATATGCTGTTTAGTTTTGTAGTTGCTCAAACTATAATAAGAAATATAGAATTGGAATAATTTTGCCTGTATTCTTCAGCAACTTGCTTTTCCCCCCACTAAAGCTGAGATCCCTGAGAGTCTTCCAGGAGTGTTTGTAGCTATAATTCATTCATCTTCAGTGCTGTAGAGTATTCCATTGCAGAACCACACCATGAATTCTTTCTCTCCCCCACTATTGCTGGGCATTTGGGCTGTTCCAGTTTGCAGGGTTCATTCCTCCACATGGCTACAGGTGCACAGGCTTGAGGGATTTCACTCTATTCCTCAGAGTCAACTTCTTAGGTGAGAGAGTGTGAGGATCTTCAGCCTTCCTGGATGAAGCCACCTTGCTTTTTGAGACAGACAAAAGTTTTTTGTTTTTACATATTCAAATCTATCAAGTATTTGGCAATTTCTTTCTTTGGTCTTATACGTAAGTTCTCCTCTCCCCTAGCTCCAGTAAATATTCACACATATTTAAGAGAGTGTCAAACTGATCACTCTTGATTTTCTTTGCAGATATATAACAAACTGAGCACAGTGGAACACATGACTGTCTACGAGAAAGAAGCCATCCCAAGCAGGTTCTATTACAAGAAAGGAAAGTTTGTCTCTCCTTTGACTTTAGTGGCTGATGAAGGCTGGTTCATAACTGAGGTAATTATGAAATATGTGCCAATTTATTCTCTATGCAAATTCTATAAAACAGTCCAAAGTTAAATAATAGTTACTCAAGTTTTTATACATAAAAGATTTTTTCACTTAGGCATCGTTTGTTGCGTTATGTCTTTCTTTAGAGAATCAAAAGTCTTGATCGGGTAACTTTGTAGACACAACTGTAGACGCGAACCCAGAGTCATGGTTTAGACTTCGTGGCTCCAGACTCGCTGTGTTTTAACAAACGGGCATTAACTCGATTACCCGGCTTACAATGTAACCTGTTCGCTTGAAAGTGGAACAATTACTGTGAACCAAAGCAATTGCTCAAGGGCAGTCAAAAGCAGGGAGAGGCTCAGCTTAACTTTCACCTTCAAGAGAAATGTTTGGCAAACGAGACTGTGAGTCCCCAGTTTGCCAATTTGATCTTTCAGAGGAGAATATCATGCATTTTTTGTCCAAACCTTAATTGCCTCATGCCTGAATGACCTCCACAGCCTCCTCCTGGTTGGCCTGGACTCTAAGCTCATCCAGCTCTGGCATCAGCTTGTGATATCAGGCCACGGTGGGGAGGCCCTGCCCTTTAGGGGAGTCTGCAGTCGTGTCATGTTTACAGTTCATTCCTGAAGACAGCATGGGTTATTTTAGGAATTTGAAGGTGGGTTGCAATTATTAGCTTGGTTCAAAAGTAATTGCAGTATGACAAAAATCACAATTACTTTTGCACCAACCTAATAGAACAGGCTCCAGGGTACATGAGAGTAGCTGGTTGAGGCCAACCAAGTGTAAGACCTAAGACTGTCAGTAGTCACCCCGGGGCATGAGGACAGGCGATGATCAGCAGGAAGGCTGACTGGGCAAGTGAGTGGGAGTCCGGGACATGGGCATGGGAAAATGGGGGTTGTGTGACATGTAACACACAGGTTGTGTGTTATGCAGGAAGACTGCGTGGCTTCTGGGTGCTCTCAGACAGAGAGAAGCACCTGGCACCAAGGAACTGAGAAGAGAGCAGATTCGGTTAGGGGTGTGAGTTGCGCAGAGCAGAGACCAGCGAGGTCCTTCTCAGGCAGCTATGGCTTCTCTGCCACGTGGTTTACAAGGTGAGGGTCCCTCTGTTCCCTAATGCCCTCTCCTCTACAATCCAAAATGCTTCTCATCACTTCATCACAGAGTGTGAGGTCACCTGGAGTGAGGTTAGGTTGGGATCACCAAATCATCACTTAGAGTGGTTTGCTCAGGACCTCACACAGAGCACATATGTGGTCAAGCAAGTCACCTGTCTCACTGTATTCCACAACGCCAGCCTTCCAGATCACACCAAAGGGCTTACTGTTTGAACTTTTTTCAGTTTATAAAATTCTGGCAGAATTGCTTGGAATTTTTAAAAGCAAATATGCCCTGAAGGTTAATCCACAGCCATCAGTAATTTCTTAGCTGGCTATTTGCATCCGTCATTACTCTGTCGTCTTTAGCTGAAGTCACCCGTGCTGAGAGGCTGGGTGGTAGGGAGGGAGAGTATAAGAGCGCAGAAGTGATCGGGCATCTTGGTGGAAAACAGGCTTAGGTAGGGGAGTGCAGGGCCAGAGGTCACTATGGAGATGCTGGATGACTAATGAGGTGCCATCTCAATTCCAGCGAGAAAGGTCTTGGTCCCCTGCAGTAGGATGTGACAGGTGCTGGGGAAGCAGCTTCAGCCCTGAGTCCTCTCAGTGAAAGTAAACATGGTATCTCAGCAGCCACACGTCCGGCATGAAGATGCAGGGCCTTCCAGTGAGTGATGAAACGCAGTGCTGGGAGACCTCAAGGCATCCGTTAAGACGCTCTTGGTCATAAATCACAGCCCATTTGATAAATGTGGCTTAAACAAAAAGGATTTACTATCCCACATAACTAGAAGTCTGGAGGCAGGCAATTCCAGGATTGCTGAATCCAGCAACTCAATTATATCATGCCCCAAGCAAGCTCTTCTGCAATGCTCTTGGCTTTCTTCAACGTCACAAGGTGGCTGCTGCAGCTCCATGCATCACATCATATCCCGTCAGGACATTCCAAAGCAGGAAAGAAAGGGCGTGGGTTCTGTTTGTATGTCTCCTACTTTTATCAGGGAGAAAAATATACATACCAGAGCCAGGGCCAGACTCAGGTTTTGTAGGACTCTGAAGATTATGCTAAATGGGATCTCTCTTTAAGAAGAAAACATACACAGTTATGAATACAAAATTAGGTACAGGGATTTGGAAGAAGTTCACACACATGAGGAGCCTTGGTGCATAAGCTGTAAATCTGCTTCTGCCCAGAACCCACTAGCGGCTTCCCCTCAGTCTCATCAATCAGCTGACTAGTGGGGCTAGAAAATTCCTGCCTTGGGTCAGCTTTGGTTCTGAGATCTGAAGTTGTGCTGAAGTGCAGACCAGGGGGTCCCAATCACAGGACAAAAGTGAAACAGAGGCCAGGAGTCAGGTAGACTGGGGCCCCGAAACAAAGAACAGAAAGAAGGGGTGAGGGGAGAGCAAGAACAAACGGCAGCCTCTGCACCATTCTGACTGGTGCTGGCCCACTCAGGATGCCCAGTGACACGTCTGAGGACACGTCCTCCTTCCCCTGGCTCTGCTTCCATCTCCCCCTAATCCTTCCGTCCCGTACTCTGCTGTGGGTCCAAGTACCTTCTCCCTTCCATCTCCCCCACATCCTCCCGCCCCACACTCTGCTGTGGATCCAAGTACCTGCTCCCCTGTAGGAAACCGACAAATCAGCGTTGACCATGTTATGTTCTATTATATATTACTTTTGTATGCATTGACAAATCACACACACACACACACACGTTTGTCTGAATAAATCAGAAGTGAGACCATCAGTTAGCAAGGGCTAACCAGTACTGTATTGTATGTCTTAGGGAGAAGCCACAGAACAGAAAGGAAGAATGCTTAGCTATTGACAATTATTAGAGCAGCATTTTAACATATACAATCACTTCCAAAGGAAGATTTGAGGTAATTTCAAAGATAAGTGAAGTAGAAACTTTAAAAAGAAACAAAAGAACATCAGAAATAAGATAAATAGGGTATGAAAAAATAAGATTAGCTCTGAAAGATGAGGGTTGCTCACTAATACACTATCCATGGTGGCTCACACACCTTTAATTACTAATGATAAGGGCTGCGAAATTCATCTTCATGTATCACGCCCGGATCCGTAGCAGCTCTAGAATGACCCCTCCCCCAAAGCTTCAATGACATGCATAGAAAGTTATTTTACACCTTGCAGATAATAAATACATCAAGAAAAATGTCTGTTTAAATTTTAGTCAGTGACAACTACTGCATAATAATAGCTCTCTTGAATTAAGTGCATCCCAGTTCCTGTTTCGAATTCTCCTGATGACTCTGCATCATGGATATTGTTAGTTCTTTTTGTTTGTTTGTTTTGTTTTTTTTTGTTGTTGTTGTTGTTTTGTTTTTGAGATGGAGTCTCCCTCTGTCACCCAGGCTGGAGTGCGGTGGTGCGATCTCAGCTCACTGCAACCTCTGCCTTCCAGGTTCAAGAGATCCTCCCGCCTCAGCCTCCCAAGTAGCTGAGATTACAGGTGCCCACCACCCTGCCCAGCTAATTTTTGTATTTTTAGTGGAGATGGGGTTTCACCATGTTGGCCAGGATGGTCTTGAACTCCTGACCTCAAGTGATCTGCCCGCCTTGGCCTCCCAAAGTGCTGGGATGACAGGCGTGAGCCACTGCGTCCCGCTGCTATTGTTAGTTCTGAAAATAACATACAGCCAAACAAAATGGAACACACATGTGGTTCTGAGCTTCCAAGAAGCCAATTCAAAGAGAACAATCAGTTCCATTAACATAACTTACAGCACCTATGTCCATGAACACAAATGTCTCTCTGGAAACTCATAATCGTCCCTGAGTCCTGAGAGACACTGAGATATCTTTTAATGACTCTGCAGTTTCCTAGACTAAAGATCTTAATCATTTTACTTCTATCCTGGAATTTACAAATTTTTATTATTAAGACACCATATGTAAAAGCTATAATTTCTGATTCTACTTTAATATAACATTGGGGCTTTATTTATTTGTTTTCTGAGAAATCCCCAAAACAAGTGCCCATTCTTTCTTTATTGGCTTAAACTTCTTCCTTTGACATCGTTCGATTGTTCTTTATCCTTTCTTGACAGCAGAGAATTAAAAACCCCATTCTATATCCTCGTTTCTGCGTTGTGCCAAGGCTATTAATCTCTCACTTTCCTATTCGCTAAACTTCTCCCCAAATGGTAAAAGAATGTTAAGTTTTGCCCTGAAACCTATACACCCATCCACAGTGCATGCGATGACGTTTCAGGGCTGGCTTAGACTTCACATCTGTGGCATGGCAAGACTCTCGGCCCGAAAGCAGCCTCTCTGGGTCTGAGTTCGGCTGGCAGATGAGACTGGTTTCTGGTTTAGCCATGATTAGGAAAACAGCTGAGTCAGGACATGGTGATGCTGGGTGACAGCCACTAGAGTCCTGTCCCCCACTCCTTTCTGCCTGTAGCCGCCATCCCAGAAACATGGAAGATTTGGTTTCCTTGGTAAAAATGCCCTTCCCCAAAACACACCAACTTTCTACCATAAATTTAAGTCTTGCAGACTCTAAGGCGGCTGCACTAACAGGAAGACTTAATTGAGTTTATCTTTTTCTTAGGATTTCTTAGAGAGGCGTCACTGAAAAAGATAAAGACAGAAACAGATTTTTTTTTTTTTTTTTTATTGAGACTGAGTCTTGCTCTGTTGCCCAGGCTAGAGGGTAATGGCGGGATCTCGGCTCACAGCAAGCTCCGCCTCCCGGGTTCACGCCATTCTCCTGCCTCAGCCTCCCGAGTAGCTGGGACAACAGGCGCCCGCCACCACGCCCGGCTAATTTTTTGTATTTTTAGTAGAGACGAGGTTTCACTGTGTTAACCAGGATGTTCTCGATCTCCTGACCTCGTGATCCGCCCACCTCAGCCTCCCAAAGTGCTGGGATTACAGGCGTGAGCCACCACACCTAGCCCTGACTAATTTTTCTATTTTTAGTAGAGACGGGGTTTCACCATATTGGCCAGGCTGGTCTCGAACTCCTGACCTTGTGATCTGCCCACCTCAGCCTCCCAAAGTGCTGGGATTACACACAGTCATCCAGCGGGACTGCTGACCCTGCCATAGCAAAGCAAGGGCCCCCAGTTTGCCTCTGCCCCTGCACTCTTTAATAAACCAGCTGGATTTCCAACCGCTGTCAGTCCTTTCTCCAGCCTCCTGTCCTGAAAGGAGAGAAATCTGAAGTGTTCTTATTCCCATAGGATAAAACAGAAAGAGGTAAAGCACAGGCTGCCTCCACAGGTCCAGCCTGAGCCCGTCACCCCAGCCAAGCTCTTTGCTTCAAGGATAGGAAATGGGCCTTCCTCATGGAAGTCCTGCCTGAGACCTGTTCCCTGTCTTCTGGAAAGACTTTGCCCTGCATCTTCCCACAGGGGATGAAGATCACACTCTTCCCCAGAGCACGGAAGTCCCGCCCAGGTTGGCTCCACCGTGGTTCTCAGTGGGTCACCCTGCCACTCCCTCCCCCAGGGGCCTGGGGCAGGTTGGGTTGTCACAATGTCACGGTGGGCCAGGGACACTGAGGAGGCAGGCTCGGCGATGCTAAACTGTGGGAGAGTCAGGCACAACACAGCAAAATGCCAAGTGGAGAAGGGCTGTGGGTAGTCTGCAGCAGACTCAAGCACGCTCTTCCATCCCCGACCGTGAAGGCCGTGTGCCTCAGCAATCGTGCACCTAGCGAACCAGCAGATATGTGCTGAGTGCCGACTACAGCGACGGCCAACGAGAAGTTCTAATTCCACAGTGGGGAGCCACTGGGAGTCCTTGCCCCCACTCCTGCCCTCCCTGCTAGTGAAGGCACTAGACACTAAATAAACACGCATGCCACACAAATAAGTCGCCATGGTAAGAGCTGTCATGGACACAGAGAGTGCCATGAAAGAGGGTACTGGGGTGGGGGCAACAGGAGACCGATATAGATGAGGGGCTGGGGGGGCCCTCTCTGAGAAGGGAGCTTGAGGCTGAAACCCAGAGGAGGAGTGCTCAGTGGTCAGGCGGGAAGAGGAAGTGCTCTCCAGGCTGAGGGAATGGGCTTCTTGAAGAACCTGAGCCAGGAAAGACCTTTGAGAGTGAGAGGAATGGAAAGAATGGGCCAGGTGGCCAAGTGTGGGGAGCTGGGAGAGGGGACGTGGCAACAAGATGGGGCTGCTTAGGTAAGCAAGGGACCATTGGGCCAGGACTTGGTATTTTTTATTTTAAGACTTGGTATTTTTGTGGCCGGACATGGTGGCTCATGCCTGTAATATCAGCACTTTGGGAGGCTGAGGCAGGCGGATCACCTGAGGTCAGGATTTCGAGACCAGCCTGGCCAACGTGATGAAACCCTGTCTCTACTAAAAATACAAAAATTAACCGGGCATGGTGGTATGTGCCTGTAATCCCAGCTACTTGGGAGGCTGAGGCAGGAGAATCACTTGAACCTGGGAGGTGGCAGTTTCAGGGAGCCAAGACTGCGCCACTGCACTCCAGCTGGAGACAGAGAGAGATTCCATCTCAAAAAAAAAAAAAACAACTTGGTATTTTTGATCTTAAGTTCAGTGGGAAACCACAGGGAATTTTTACAGGGGAGGATCATGATCCATCATCTTCAGGGTAATGTAATTCATAGCTCATGGGAAGAACAGAGTTAAATAACTGAGGTCATGAGCAGTTCCACGAAAATCCTTACACTGACCCACTAAACAGACTGTCAATGTGATTTCATACACCTTTAATTAGTAATACTGGTTGCTGTGAACAACAATCTTAATTTTTCTTGCCTGGATCATCGTAGACTTTGGAAAGAGCTCCCTATGGCCCTCCCAAAAGTTTCAATGACATACACATCAAGTTATTTTATATTTTGCAGATAATAAAAATATGGGGATTTTAAAAAAAATTTTGGTCAATAACAACCATAACAATAGTGGCTATCTGGAATGAAGTACCTCCTCAATTCACTCTCTCTGCATTGTGGATACTGTATTTACTGAGTTAATGGCGGCTCAGCATTTTAGGTATCTTGCCTATGGTTACAAATCTCTGAGCAACTAACCCAGGACTTGAATTCAAGTCTAGCCATGAAGCACACAGTCCCATCCAGTTCTTCTAAGATGTTCTAAACATTTCAGCAGAATGTTCAATGTGTTTCTAACATCGTGTTTCCCAGTTACAGACTCACCCTTCTGGCTTCTGTGGGGTCTAGAGCTACATCTTGGCTCCTTCACACTTGCAGAAACAGAAGTTCTACCATCATCCTTTTAAATTTTCTTGCTCGTGTCATACTGCAAAAACCTCTACAGTTGTTCCAAGCCCAATTTATCTCCTTTTATTCTTCCTTACCCCAACCCCTTTCTTTCTTTCTTATCACCAACATGGATGATTTGCATAGACCCGAACCAAAATTTTTCTGGTTGTGAAAACAATTCTTCCAGTGCAAGACTTAAGTGTTGGGAATTTAGTGGTCAGGGAGGGGTAACCGTGCTCGCCCAAGTAACTTCAATCAGCCTAATAAATAATCAGTAGAATCTCTGGAATGCCCTCTCTGTGCCAATCCCTCCCTGTCCTTCAAAGCCCAACTCAAACACCATCTCTTCCAGGAAACACTCAAGAGTTGCTAATGTTCTCCAGCTTGGAATTTCTGTAAGACCTGATGCTACATTTGTTTGTCTGTTTTGGACTCTGCCTTGCCGGAGTGGAGGCTCCCTGAGGGCAGGTCTTTGGCATCTTGACCTTTGTTTCCCATCATAGAACTTGTACACAGTAGAGTCTCAGTAGATGTTAGTGGGTGGTATGAATTATTAAATATTGAGACAGTTGATTCCTGACTACTTATTGACAGATTGTTCACTTGGTTGGTGTGTAAACCAGTCACCAAGTAAACAGAGAAGAAAGCGAAGTCAGGCTTTCAAGCTTGGTTAATTATTAGTAGCCCCAGAAGAAATTTCAACAGGGAAGAGGTGTTGAAAGTACAAATTCTTCTGACCTCAGTTGACCCAGAGCTACAGTCCAAGGGCAGGACACAGCTCTCCCCAGCCCTGAAGGGCTAATTCCTGCAGCCTCTCCTGGACAGTGTCCATTTTATGCCACCATGCTCACAAAGGTAGGATGGGGAAAGATTTCCCCAGAGCTAGGTGAAAGATCGTAGAACATGGTCTGGACCCCTGCCTGACTTGAGAGAAATGCAGCAAATTCAGGCCCAAGCTTCTAAAGGAGGCCAATATTTTTCTCCAGAGGAAAGACTTATTTTGAAAACTGGAAAAGGATATGAAATGCCAGGCTCAATTCTAAAGCCTGTGGTTGAATGGCTGTGAGGCCTGGACTCAAAATATCTGGGGAAATCAAGACAATCTGGAAAACGTGGCTTCGGAGCTTTAGTGACAGCTAGTGTGGTATTGTCCAGGCCTGCCTGAGCTTCAGAAAGTCAGATGTGGGGTGGGAAGCTGCATGCGTTCTGATGGTGACCAGGGCCATCTGTGGGAGCTGTGTGGGAGCACAGGCATACCCTCCTCAGCCTGGGCGCACTGCAATCAACGTGATTCAAAAAAAGAAAAGAAAAGAAAAGAAGAAAGAAACCCCATCCACTAAGTGCTTTTCTCCAGCGCTTTGCTCCACTCCGAGAATGTCTGCGTCGCCAGATCCCTGCTGACTTGGCTGCCTGCATTTTCCATTTCGAGGATCAAGCAGTGTGTGGCCAGGGGCTCGCTGGGGTCAGGCCAGCAGGCCGAGGCCTGAGCAATTACATTCTGTTTCAGAAAGACAGAGAAAGGGAAATGGTTAGAGGAACATCCCTTTGGAGCGGCATGTGGCAAACACATCTCCAAGGCTCATAACCACCACTCCCACGGGCTCCAAAGAGTCCTGCTGGCTGGAAGCCTCTTTGCAGGACAATTTAAAATAGCAATGCCACAAAATATGAGAAAGCGTGGTTTATAATAGAAACCATATCTTGACCTTCACACTAGCAGCAAAACCATCCAAGCCAGCCAAACTGTCATCATTTCACCAGCGTTTTCACTGAAGCCACCCATGACTTGAACATTGTTGGTGCCTTTTCTTAGACTGGGAGGATGTCAGAAGTGTATTGTATTTTCAGGGAGGTGGGAGGCTTCTGTTATAACCGTGTCCTAGAAGAAAAAAGTAGATTTTTATTAGGCCTCTAATACACCTTAGATAGGTTTCACCTTTTATTTTAATCTGACCAGATTTCAACGGTGTTCCCCAGTTCCCTGGAGACCTGTTGTGATGCCTCAAGGGAGAAAGGGAAGAACTTGGGTCCCTGACCCCACACCCCATGAGAATTATACTTTCAGTAGTTGAAAGGAGACACAATAGTCAAAATGTGTAACAACCAGCATCCCATGGGCGCCGGCCTTTGAGAATGAAGCACCTGTTGGAGCAGCTGGAGGGCCACCCTGGCTCCCGCCTGTTGGAAAGCAGCCCTGTACCAGCTGATCCTGTGCCTCATTCTGCAGTCCCTTGAAGCCCTTTGAACTTTCTAAGAGGGAGGCCCGTGTTGCTTGCCCAGTGCCACACAAAGGGACATGAGGCACAGTCCCTGATCTCAGGCACTTCTCAGAAAAGGACAATCATCCTTTCACATGGCCCATGGCAGATGCCAGGTGAGCAGCTTCTAGGGGTTCTCATGGCTGACTGCACATCCCGACCACCTGGGGGACATTAAGAAGAGATTCCTCAACTCCTCCTGACCTGCTGAATGCAAATATCCCGGAGCCAGGTCCAGGCTGAGCTCAGGGTGGTCCTTGAGCAGCCAGCATGGGATGCACCGGTGTGGACGGTGAGCACGCTGGTTTCCAGCAGGGAGCGACACTGTGGCCTCTGTGGGAAGGCCAGAGGGGCAGCACCAGGCAGAGCAGGAGGCACCAGGCAAGGCCCTGCAACAGCGCCTCTGCTCGGGGAGGGATGGCAGAGAAGACAGATTTCAACCCTCCAGCCACCTCGGGAGGAGACATTTAGGGATGCAGGACACAGCTGGAGGCCGGATGTTGGGCAGCTGTTGGCCACCAGCCTCCTCCGTTATTCTCCCCAGCTTAGCAACCATTCTCCTGTATATGGTGGAGAGAAATAGGAAGGAATGGGCAAGAAATATATATGATCATGTATTCCAAAAATGCATCATGAAAAGACAAGTAAATGCCCCTAGAGTTTGCCAAAGCCACACCTTGCCCATGTGAAGCGGCAAATAATAAACATGGACCACTCAGTGCTCCTCGCCTCGTCCTGTCCTTCCACCCCTCCCTCTGCCTGCACCTTCACTCCCAGCGCAGCCTCGCATTTCTGAGTGTGCTCCCCAGACAGCACAGCTCAGCTCAGCACTCAAAGGAATCCTACAATGCTGAATGCAAACGGATGGGCCCTGGCAAGTGTCGAACAAACTGTATTTACTGGGTTTCTGATTCGGAGGTAAAGCGCAAATGTTGCATTTTCTTTTCATTTTAATGCTAAGGATGATTGAGACAAAGGCCTGGTCTAGAAATTATAACTCTTATCTCATAATTATTCCTTGGCTTCCCAAATCAATGCAAGCATATAACAGGCATTATCATGGGGAGCTGGCGATGGAGTGCAGGCGCCCAGAGAGAATGCAGGCACCGGCAGGAAAGCGCGCAAGCCTGAAGGCACCCTCGCAGCGGCTTCTCACCGCGCGTCCTGGTGTGGGGCGACTTGTTTCTGGTTCCTTCCTGTTAGAAATGATTAACTGGTTGAGGGGCTCATCAAGGAGGGTCCTGGCATTGCTGTCTACCCCTGTCTAGAGGAGGGGTCCTGGAAGGCACTGGGAAGTGCTGAACATATCACCCTGGGTGAAGATGTTACCTAAATTCCTAATATAGTGCTGACTGTACAATGGCCAACTTGTCCTGGTTTGCCTGGGACTGTCCTGGTTTTCAAACTGAAAGCCTTGCATCCCTGAAACCCTCTCAGCTGCAAACCAGGAGAGTTGGTCACCCTGTTTGGTTGGCAAAACCTCGCTAGCAAAACAACCCAGTTCCTCTCACCTCCTGGCTCTTCCAGCTGTCTCTCTCTGATGGCAGCTTTCTTTCCATCTTTCCCACCCAGGTCATTCAAGGGCTCCTCCGCTCTTGGAGTTCCAGGATTCTGTCACTGCAGGACCCTTGGAGCGACCCCACCCTCTTTATTTGGACTCCCTGTGTGGACTCCTCATCCTGATTTCTCCTCCCCATCTCCCTACCCCAGTGCTACACACACACACACACACACACACACACACACACACACACACACACAAGCTCACACACATAAACATTAACACACACGTGCAACACAGACACACATAAACACACACTCACATATACACACGCACACACATGCTTACACTCATGCACTCACACACTCTCATACACAGGCACATACACACTCATGCACACACACATTCACACACACATGCACACATGTGTTTACATGCATGTAGGTTGCATGCACACAGCTGCGTCCCCACTGACTGACTCTCCCCTCGGCCTCCTCCTGTGTCCCCACTGCTGAAGGCCTCCCTGGGGCCTGAGCCTCCCTCCCTCCTTCAGGCTCGGGCACCCACTCCTGGCACTGACTTACTCTGGAGTCAATGCCCAGCAGCTGCAGCCCCCTTCCTCCCTCACTAAAGCTGAGCTCTGTTAGGGGAAGGAGCCGCCCTCCACCTCTGTGGCCCCGACCCCAGAAGCCTAGCTGAGTTCCTGGCACGAATCCAGAGCTCAGTCCACATCCGTAGAACTGAATAAACCGGCCCTGAAATCATGGGCTTCTCCCACATGCTGGCAGGGACGTTCCACCATCGCCTGGGACTCCTCTTACCTGGGGCACCCCACTCCTTCTCTGCCTGCATGGAGTGAATTCCCTCCCCACCAGTTGAGGAGTGGGGAGACACCCCCTCCAGCACACATTGCAGGAGAACCGGGTGCTTCCTTTCACCCTGGGAGTTGGCTGCCCACCCTACAGTGGGATCCCACTTAGAGGCCCCACTCTGCCTGAACGCACACACACAAGCCCACCCTCTACCCTTTTTTCTCACCTTCGGCCAGATCTGGAGGGCTGGGGCGCCTCCCCGGATGTCACTAGGTGGCGCTGTGTGGCAGTCCCTGGGCCCCGCAGTGGCTGGATGGGGTCAGCAGGCCAACCAGGAGCTTGCGGATCCACAGATGGACATTCCCACTGTGGAGGTGGAGAGGTGTGTGGCGGGCCCTTCTTCATGGGCCTGGCCTCAGCTGTATGCCCTTGAGAAGATAATGTGAGGTACAAAGCAAAGGTGCTAAAAGCCACTGGCAGAGGAAAAAGAAGGAAATCATGGCTGCAGCATTGTGAAATGAAGGCTGAGTCCATCACTTACACCACACAGTTACCTGTGCACCTGACCCGCCAGGTGGCTATGATTTTTTCATCAGTAAGAGCAATTGTTTTTCTGGGGCAACTTGTTATTTTAATAAAAATGAGTGGATTTACCTACGACTAGAAAGATCCAAAATCACTTTCAGGGCTGGGGTTTTTCACTGCTTTGTGTGTTTATTTGTGGAATCTAGGCTGTAAGTCTTAAATCAGGCCATCAGTCTTCACCTATCTTGCTTCTGTTCTTTGCCATGGGGCACACACAGACTATGAGGTTCATAATTGGTGAGGTTGTTAATAGCAAAAGTGTTCTACTTCGTGCTTCAGTGCTCACCGCCTTGTAGACTGTGAGAGGGAGAAGCAACACATTAAATCAGCTGACGAGACTAAATTGGGATGTGTTGTGATCATCACCATGGACAGATAAGGAAGAAAAAGAGAAAGTTAGAGATGCAGTAAGTGAAAGAAACCTTCCCATGGAAAAACACGAACCACAGCTGGAGAAGGAGGGACGAGGGATGCGGGAAACTCAGGAAACAGAGAAACTTGGAAAGCTGCAATGCGAGGGGGCGATTTATGGGGTGAGAGCAGATGGCTGTGCAATGTGATATGACAGCTAAATAAGCACAAGCAGGCTCAGCCCTCACAACCCACACTGCCCGGCTGCATACTGCCCGGGCACCTGGCCCCATGGCCAGGGGCATCTGCGGACCAGACCGTTGCCACCTATTGAACACCTATTGTGTGTCAGGGACTTAGCACACAGTCATGACATCCCCCACAGACCCTGCAAGGTGGCCAGGACCAGCAGGGAGACTGCAGCTCAGAGAAGTGAAACAGCCAAGATCCCAGAGCTAGAAAGTAGCAGCTGGAATTTAACCCACCTAACTGCACCAACCCAGTTCCAAAATCCTGTTAGTGCTTTGTGTCTGGCCACACTCCGTGAGTGAGGATGTGAAGTGCAAGGTGACACCTCACTGGCCGCTGCCAGCAGGAGCACTGCAGTGACCTCTGGCAGTGTGGAGTGGAAGGGGCCCAGGCACCGGGAGATAGATGACCTGGGTTCCAATCCCAGCCCTGCCTTGCACTAGCTGTGTGACTCTGACTGTCACTTAACCTCTCTGAGCCTTAGTCCCTTCAACTACAAAATGGGGCAAATGGTATCATCCCCACTGGGATGTTGTGATGGTTCAGTGGACGTTGGTGTCAGCTTATGGCGAACTGCTTGGCTCACTAAACACATGATACTAGTCTTGTGAGCCAACCTGTAAATTGCTGGTAGCTTAGTGGTCTTGATTCTACTCATTCATCACGACCAGCAAATTCTACCTCCTGCATTTGAAATAGTAAATATTTGTAATATTGAAACCTGCCTAGCAAGGATGGGCCGTTCGTCCTTGGCGAGGTCTTAGAAGAATGAGTGGCTTCTGAGGTGCATGGCTAGGCTTGTGCTCAGCTGGCTGCAGCCTCTGTAGGACTTGCAAAGCCTTCTCTCAGCCCTCTATTTCATAGCAAGTGATCAGCTGTAGTCTAAGAAAATTGGGTTCCAAAGAAAAGAAGTGTGTCGGGAAGTGATGGTTCCGGAACCCATCCCAAAGGAAGAGTGGTTGAGGGAAATTAAGGTCTGTGAAGCCTGGACAAGGGGAGCAAAGGTGCCATCTTCCAGTGTGCTCATTAACGGAGGAGAGGAGGCTGGCTTGGAGTTGCTCCCAAGGGCAGGGCCAGAAGGAAGAAAGGCAGGGTGGGCTGCATGGGAAAGGGAGTTGGGATTTGCTGAGGAGACCCTTCTGGGTCCGGCTGCTTTGCTAGGAAATGTGATTAGATAGATACTGGTTCCCTAAGATTCTCCATCAACTGGATATCCCGCCATTCGGTTCAATGCTGACAACAATACCTGGAGTTAGAGTGGGCCTCACAGGTCAAGGGGCTCCATCCCACAGGACAGCCCCCACTCAGAGGCCAGCCACAAGTCCCAGGTCCCCAGGCTGCCGGCACCTGCGTGTGATTTGGCTACATTCGAGGGGTCACATGACCCTACTTCAGGTTTGATCACTCACTAGGACAAATCACTGAACTCAGGAAAGCACACTATATTTAAGATGGCTGTTTTATTGTAATGGATGGCCCTTAGAGAGGCACCACATAGAGAGGCCCGTGGGAAAGAAAGCATGGGAGGTGAGGCACGCAGAGCTTCCACTCCCGAGGGGCTCCGGAACCGCACGCCCCGTGGGCTTCACGTGGGGCTTCATCGCGCAGACGTGAGTGAGGAAATCATGGGTCAGGTGATTGGACTCAAGTCTCCAGCTCCTCTTCCCTCCCCCGGTCTGGTTCCTCTGGTGGCCAGTCCCCACCCTGAAGCTGTCTAGCCCCCAGCCCCAGGACCCCTCTCAGTAGCATTAACTCAGGTGTGGGAGAAAGTAGCTCCTTATGAATGAAAAGCGAAAGACATTCTTATCCTCAGGAAATTGTACCCCTGGTTTTAGGAGCTCTAGGTTAGAAACCTGGGACAAAGACCAAATACATTTTTATGACACCGCAGATACACTTTAACATCCCTTCTGCCACTAACTTACTATATTTAGTGGCTCTAAAACTGATTACGGGAGACAATTCAGCCCCACGTAGGAAAACACCTTGTTAACCACAGCGCTTAGCAATCGAATAGGCTGCTGCCCGAGGTCTGAGCGGCCTGGAGCAGGAAGTGCCGCAGCGGAGGTTGGGTCAGTCTGGGTCAGTCGGAGCGCAGAGGAGGAAAGCGCCCCCCGGTGGAGTGGCGGCTTGGAGCAGATGCCCGCTCAGCGCCACGGTCAGGACGTAGTGTCATGTGTCTGCCTTGCTTGGTTTCAGAATCGAGAGATGCTTCCGTTTTGGATGAACAGCACCGGCAGGCGGGAAGGTTGGCAGCGTGGATGGCACGGCTACGACAACGAGCTCATGGACATGCGGGGCATCTTCCTGGCCTTCGGACCTGGTAGGCGAGGAAATGACCAGATGCTCTCAGACCCCATTCCCAAGGAAGTGTCTGTAAGGGGGGCTACGGGTGCCAGGAGAGGCTGCAGGGATTTCCTTACAGACCCTCTTTATGAGCCAAGCAGAGCAAACCCAGCCGGTCTCCATGAAACATCTTTTGCTGGCTTCCTTTCAAATGCTTCTTGGGTTTGGCAAATGTAGCCAAATACTTTGCCTTGTAAATTTTAAATCCTGAGTGCAGTGAAGAAAATGTATTCCACATGTTTGTGATTCATTTTTTACCTAATTCATCAAAATGTTATTTCATAGCTATCTGATGTCCAGGAAAGCTTACTGGACACCAGGTTGCTGACCGCTGTGAGTCTCACTGTTGATGCGATCGCTTCTCGGGGTCTGGCTCTTCCACGGTCCTTCCCGTCTCGAGCACCCACCTCAGAGAGGCTCATTTAGTTTAGAGTCCAGCCAGAAGCTGGGATGTGCTCAAGGGCACTCGCGGAAATGACCTTGAGCCTGACTTTGAGAATGAGCCAGAATGACGAGGGTTGCCTTGCATGAGAGCAAATTTGCTGTGTCTTTCTTGACCAGATTAATTCCTAGGGCTGGAGGAGAGGAGAGATGGAGAGGGCCTATCTGGTCATTTGATTTAACAGATGGATCCCTGCCAATTCATACTTTGGAAAAGTTTGCCAAACACTCTGAAGATCTTACTGCTACCTGAACACCCTCTTCTCCCAAAAACAAAAATTAAAAAGGGAGAAAAATCATCCAACAGCCATCAACCATCAGTTGACTGGTTCATGAGCTATCCTTCTTTCTTAGCACAGTCCGTCCTCCTGCACTAAATATAAGCAGCTTACCCTGATACCTGTATTCTGAATGCCTTTTTCTAGATGTTGGTCAAAATGTTTCAGCCCACAAAAGTCCATGTTTGCCTTTCAAATTATAGGTTACACATCACATCTACAAGCTCTGCTCATCTCTTCAATTTAGTAAGATCAAAGACGTATGCCAGCATCCCTCATTCAGCCTACCATCGTTCACTCTACTTTCCACAAAATCCCTTTTAGGAACTATGAGGTGTCAGTTTCTGCAACCTCCGTGGGTGCCTGAGCTTAGGAAACACATTAGTCCAAATCCCTTTCCACATGTGATCCAGGTTCCCAAGTCCTCAAGGGAGCATTAGAAGCAGTAGCAGCAAATTCATGGAGCACTAATAGGGTTCATGATGTTGGCCTAAGAGAGGGTTCTGAAGATGCCTGAACATGCTACCTTTAACCAGTGATAGTTATCAGGTGCTCCCTGTCAGCCGAGCCCCAGGTCAGATATGCAGAGCCCCAAAGCTAAAGGAATTAGGAATGGAGCACCCCGAGGGTAACTACTGGATTACATTGGATACATTCCAGGGCCATGGTCTTTCTTTGTGAGAACATTAGTCAGCAAGGCTTTCATTCAAAAGCATGGCACCCTCCATTCCCAGATGAGGGAAATAGGATCATGAATGCAAAGCAGTGGTCTGGGAAGGACTATATACAAGTGAGAGTCTCAGGAATATATATATCTATATATATATATAGATATATTTTTTTTTTTTGAGACAGTTTCTTGTCACCCAGTCTGGAGTGCAATGGTGCCATCTCAGCTCACTGCAACCTCCACCTCCTGGGTTCAAACAATTCTCTTGCCTTAGCCACCTCAATAGCTGGGATTCCTGGAGCCCACCACCACGCCTGGCTAATTTTTATATTTTTCTTAGAGATGGGGTTTCACCATATTGGCCAGGCTGGTCTCAAACTCCTGACCTCAGGTGATCTGCCTGTCTCAGCCTCCCAAAGTGCTGGAATTTCAGACGTGAGCCACCACGCCCAGCCGAGTCTCAGGAATATTTTAAAGCAGAACCAAATCTAGCCCCAAACCCCAAATTTTAAACAAGGTCCCCAAAGCTGCATTAGCTTAAAGTTAAAATTTGGTGAAGAGATTCTGTCCATTAACAGAGGCCTCCATCACAGGTTCCTGTAACACTAAAAGCGCCCAGTCTTTTACAGACAGATAGATGACCCCTGATGAAAATGGACTGCGCTAATTGCAAAATGTTTCCAGGCAGATACAGCGTGGAGAGCCTCCCGCAAACCATCACGTTCTGGCTCCAGTTCTCATGAAAGATTAAACAGCTTTACACACTGGCTGTTTACTGAGAAGAAAATTTAAGAGCAAGGCCTTTAATAGCTATCTGGCTGCACTTTGAGATAAAGGTGCATCCCTCCTGATTAACTGTATGTGCTTCTCCCTTAGGGGGAAAGCTGGGCATCATTGCGGCTGCCCAGATGCAGCCTCAGAAGTCAGTGAGTCTGGTCCAGCAAAGAGAAAGGGAAGTAATTCTGCAGGAGAGCCTCACTCTTGTTAATCCCAGTTTCTAATTTGAACAGTCTAATCTTGCCCTGGAGAACTCCACGTTTGAGATAAGACAGCAGGAGTGGGAGTCAGTGAGCTGCCTGCGAGCTAGCAAGCCCCACTGGGAAGGCAGCCCCAGGTGGCCAGCCACAGTGTAAGCCTGCAGAACCTCCTCTCTGTAAGAGACACACCTCTCATATCCAAAAAAATGTAAACACGCGAGGATAACTTGGACTCTCTGTCCATGTCTGAAATGCCATCTTCAGCTAGTAGAGCCTGTCTGGGTCCTCAGTTGGATCAGGCATTGTTTTGCTCTTCAGGAATTTTCTAAAAGCTTTCTCATTCCAGCCTGGATTATTTCTGCACTGAGCCCAAAGCACTATCCCTGCGCAGCAGGAGGCCACGAACTAGGTGGGATGGGAAAGAAATCTCAATCCTCCTTTATGCTTAAATGCACAGAATTCGATTTCATATTTCCAGTGTAAAAAGATAATATTTTCTAATACTTTTGTCAGAAGAATTTGATCTCAGTTTTTCCTGTGAAGTGTTAAAGAAGAGGATTTTTGTTTTGTTTTGTTTTTTAGAGATGGTCTTTCTCTGTCATCGAGGCTGGAGTGCAGTGGCATGATGGCTTACTTGTAGCCTCCATCTCCTGGGTTCAAGAGATCCTCCTGCCTCAGCCTCCTGAGTAGTTGGGACTACAGGCACACACCACCGCACCTAGCTAATTTTTTATTTTTGCAGAGTTGAGGTCTTGCCATATTGCCCAGGCTGGTCTTGCACTCCTCAGCCTCAAGCCATCCTCCTGCCTCAGCCTCCCAAAGTGCTTGGATTACAGGTGTGAGCCATAGTGCCCAGCCACAAATGGATATTTGAAAGCCTGTGGGACACCTGGGCTTACTCTGGTCCACTGCCTCACATGCCCTCCCACCCACACACAGCAAGGCATGGCCCCATGTGGCAGTAGAATTATCACATCCAGGTCACATGAGAAGAAGATAGAAGAGTTGCTTCCATGCCGCTGGAACAACCATTCCACTGGATTCTCGTGCTGCACTTGATTCCTCGGATAGGGAAGTGTAACTACCATCCTCATCTGATTGTCTGATCTGCCTGAGAGGGGCTGGGATACTGGGGCAGCCCTTTCTTTCTCCTCTCTGGACAGGTTTTACATTATTATTATTATTATTATTATTATTATTATTATTATTATTATTTTGAGACAGAGTCTTGCTCTGTTGCCCAGGCTGGAGTGCAATGGCACGATCTTGGTTCCCTGCAACCTCCGCCTCCTGGATTCAAGCAATTCTCCTGCCTCAGCCTCCTGAGTAGCTGAGATTACAGACACCTGCCACCACACCCAGCTAATTTTTGTAAATTTTGTAGAGACGGGGTTTCACCATGTTGGCCAGGCTGGTCTTGAACTCCTGACTTCATGTGATCTGCCCACCTCGGCCTCCCAAAGTGCTGGGATTACAGGTGTGAGCCACTGTGCCTGGCCAGGTTTTACATTTTTTAAAACTAATTTTTACTCTGAGGAGAAGCTGACCCTTATCCTCCATGCCCCTGAAGAAAAGTAAACCCTCCAGATAATTTAGAAAGTGAATATATTCAAACCACAATTTGTCCTTGTCATAAATATTTATTAATAATAGTAGTGACCATTTACTGGGTATACACAGTGTTCCAGGAACGATGACTTTCTATGCCTATTTCCGGAGGTCACCCAGCTAGTGCATGCTGGGTGCAGGCTGGCGGTAGAGCCCACACACCTCTTTATATTGGATTCAACTTTAATTCTCCAAAGGGAGCAAAACGTGCTATTTGGGCAGTTGCCCTGGATCTAACATACTATGTGGCAGAAGTATCTATATTTAGCTTTTTTCCAATTTATAATTCCAGGATAAATAGAGGAGCAGAATTTGGTGTTGATACCTCTGCAATATATTGCTGTGTGTTGTTGTTTGTTTGCTTTTTAACTAAAGTATTTAGGATTCTTTAGCAAAGCAATTACAAAGATTATTTCTAATATCTTAAAAAACTTGGCTTTACGGCCCCCAAACAACTCATTTCCTTCAAAAGTTGTAGGGGAACTAGAAAGCACAGGCACAGGCCTTTATCAATGGCTTAAATCTCCTCCCTGAATTCAACCTTAATGTAGCATTGGGTATTTTGTTACAAGCTCTGGTTTGGGGCCTAAAAGTGAAGTTGCTTTTGTGTATTACTAAAATCTTACATTCACTCTTTAAATGGACAAGTGCTTTGAATTCTGCCTCTCATCTGCCCGCTGTAGAGAAGAAGAAATCCCTTGATTGAAATCCCTCCAAAGACTTGTGGAGTCACCCTCGGCGTCCCTCACTCACCGTGCTGCGTGTGGCCACCCTACCTGTGTGTTCTTGCGTGACTCTCGAGCTTGGGGCCACTCTGGGCAGAGGCACAGTGGTCTTCTCCATTAGATCGCTCAGAGCCTGCACATGGATCCCTGATTCAGATACCAGTTTGCTCATTTTCCACATGGCTAATGTATTTTATCTGTTGGTAAAATGCTCCCAAAGAGTGTTCCACTCATCTTCCAAATGTATTTAGGAAACCATCGCCATGGCTGCTGAGCTAGCGAGCACCGAGAAAACTGCAGTTTCACATTCCATCAAGACCTGTGACCTCGATGGGGCAGCAAAGTGAGAAAACATTCTTGAGTTGCCGTGCGGCCTCTGCAGTAGACGCTGGCACTCTGGCTGTCGGTCCGGGCTAGATAGATGTTCTGAAAAATGACATAGCATTTAATTTGGTTAAGGGCAAGACAGTCACTCTGTGACCATACAGGCTCTGCTGTGCTCTCTGCAGACATGGAGCAGCATCAGATGGCACTTCAGCCTCCCCGCAGCCCCCAAAGAAAGTGCTGTTGTCACAAAGAGAGCACAGTTATGCACAAAGAAAGTCTGTTTGCTGATTACCTTTTTTTGAGACAGGATCTTGCTCTCTTGCCCAGGCTGGAGTACAGTGGCACTATCATGGCTCACTGCAGCCTTGAACTCCTGGGCTTAAGTGATCTCCTTACCTCAGCCTTCCGAGTAGCTGGGAGCACACCACCATGCCTGGTTTAAAAAATTTTTTTTAGAGATAGTGTCTTGCTCTGTCATCCAGGCTGGTCTCAAACTCCTGGGCTCAGGCAATCCTCCCTCCTCGCCCTCCCAACTTGCTGAGACTACAGGTGTGAGCCCCCAAGCCTGGCTCTGCTGCTTGTCTTTTAAAGAAATTCATCTCCATGAGCCATAGAAAGCTGTTTCCCTTTCTAACCTACAGCCTTCCGGATACCCTTCTATGTTCACACTCACTAGGCCACACCCCACTGATGGAGCTGATTCCCTAATCTCAATGTCACCTGCAGCCTGAATGTAATTCTTCTTTATTGCGTTCAGCCCACCTCTGCCCTGGAGCTGCCATGACAACTTGTTTGTTTGCCTTTCCCTTTCAGATTTCAAATCCAACTTCAGAGCTGCTCCTATCAGGTCGGTGGACGTCTACAATGTCATGTGCAATGTGGTGGGCATCACCCCGCTGCCCAACAACGGATCCTGGTCCAGGGTGATGTGCATGCTGAAGGGCCGCGCCAGCACTGCCCCGCCTGTCTGGCCCAGCCACTGTGCCCTGGCACTGATTCTTCTCTTCCTGCTTGCATAACTGATCATATTGCTTGTCTCAGAAAAAAACACCATCAGCAAAGTGGGCCTCCAAAGCCAGATGATTTTCATTTTATGTGTGAATAATAGCTTCATTAACACAATCAAGACCATGCACATTGTAAATACATTATTCTTGGATAATTCTATACATAAAAGTTCCTACTTGTTAAAAAAGATACAAACCTTGTTTTTCCAGAAGGTAGGAAAATCCTAGCTTTCCATTTGTGCAGTTATATGTCATTTTCTCCTTTCTTTTCACGTTACTCAGGATGAACTCTCTGAGCAGGGACCTGCTCCTGCAGCAACCAAACTTGGAGTGGTTATTGCAGACAGACGTGGCTCTGGGCCCCTCTCTGTCCCACCTTGCACAAAGGACCCCCTCAGACCAGGCCCTTGTCTGTGCCCTGTCCACACCCAGGAGCCATCCTCAGTGTCTGTGGCCACAATCCTGTACTGTTCCTTCCATCCCTGATAAAAGGAGGTCTACATGAAAGCAAAAGCTACTGTCTATTTCTGACCCAGCTCATGGAATTTTTTCATCTTATACTGAGCTCCAGAAAGGACGTAACTTAGCATGGATCACCAATCAATCAAAAAATAAATAAATCACTAAGGATTGGAGAACTCATAGAACAAGGTGAAAGACATGAGTGCCCTCCCAAAGTCTGAGTGCACGAAAATTTCTCTCTTGCCTTGAGGAGCAGAAAAGCTTCTGATGGACATGGGCTTCTGTGAGACTTATCACACATAGTGTATCGTGGCATGAAGCCCGGCACATAGCAGGCCCTGCATATTGATGGACAAATGGATGGCCTGCCTGCCTTCCCTGTCCGTTCACCTGTGCAAAGGCTTCCTCAGACATGCCACTCTGTGGCTCCCAATATAGGGTGCAGACAAGAGCAATCCCTGACATGACATTATAGCCTGGGAAAGGGCTGGCTCACTGATGAGAATGTGGAGGCATCAGCAAGGATCTCGGTGGGTTGCTCAGAGAGGTGATGCACTAAGCCTTAATCCTGGACACCAGTACCCCTGCAGCATGGCTTGCTCAACAACAGTCTTTGAGTGGCATAGAATTCCAAAGAAAATGGTGCTGGGTGGAGAATGGAGAGAGCATGATGGAGCAGAGTCCCAGTCACTGACCAACTAACTGGTCGTTTGATTAGGAAACAGTTTGGCCAAAGTACCACCTTTGAGACCTAAGTTCTTTTGATACCTTTGAGAAGAGCCACTGAGCCTGAGTTGAAATATTTTTAGCTTAGTCATCTGTGTTTGCTATAGGAGAAATTGTAACACAAGAAATAACTCCTTTTTACATGATCATTTATATCTATATACATATATATACTTGCATACACTATCACTGCATTAAAAAATGAGTTTGGGCTGGGCATGGTGGCTCACACCTATAATCCCAACACTTTCGGAGGCCAAGGAGGGACAAACGAACCCTTGAGGCCAGGAGTTCCAGACTAACTTGGGCAACACAGGGCGACCCCCATCTCTACAAAACATAAAAGATTTTTAAAAAATTAGCCAGGCATGGTGGCACATGCCTGTGGTCTCAGCTACTTGGGAGGCTGAGGCAGGAGAATCATTTGAGCCCAGGAGGTCAAGGCTGCAGTGAGCTTTGATCACACCACTGCACTCCAGCCTGGGCAACAGAGCAAGACCCCATCCTCCACCCCCCCCAAAAAATAGAAAGAAAAAAAAAGTTTGCACTAATTGAGGTACATCTGCAAGTGAGACTTTTTGTCAGGAAAAGGCAATATATCAGGTCTCCTCAGGACGATGGAGGCCTTATATGGTGTGTTACCTTGAAAACTGAATATCAACGTTCACCTTGATTCAGGAAAGCTGGGTGCTGTCTCCATGCCATGAATCATGAGAGCAAAGGATCACTGCTTAAAAATACTGAATTTACCTTCACAAAAGATTTCTAAAGATTTATGTAATGTGTTTTAAAAGCGCCAGTAAACCATCGGATCAATTGGAAAGAAGGCAACTCTTCAGCCTTTGTTATCTAGCTGAAAACAAATGACAACTTTCAAAACATTGGCAGTAGTTGTTGAAAAAGACGTCTATTGTTCAAAGTTTCTTTCTCCTTAAAGGACGGTGTTCCAATGAATTCAGTAGAGCCCACTTTCCTCCACTGTGGAGGAAGAATCCCTAAGAGATACTCAAATGATTAAATTAAAATTGGATCATCAAACTCAAGAGAGGCATAAACTTAGACACAGTCTTGCATTTTTGTCTTTCCTGAACTCTTCTGCCATTTTCCTCCTTCACTCGTCCTGAAAATCTGCAAGTTACATAATAAAACTTTAGATATTTGTCTGACAAAGTGTAATTACTCAACTGAATAAATGACTGAGAACAAGTTACAAAAGGAATCATGAATCCTGGTAAACAATAAAGAAGATTCAGACACTGAGGGAAAAAAATAAAGCTTTTTACTTAAATAATGCATATATTTTTTATGGCTTAATTATTTGGTGAAAATTTGTTCCCTTTTATTTTTGTTTTAAAATTACATTGTTCTCCTTAGGAAAATTCCACTTTCTCTAAATGTATTTTTTTCCATAGGACTAAAATCTGCTAGGAATATGTATAGACACTTTGTCTCCTGGATTACTTTTCAACTTCACGGCTGATTCCAGGACAAAGATAATTGGGTTGGTCTACCGAGGACAAATGAAAGGAATGAGCCTCAGATTAAAGATGAGATGACTTTTTAATAATCGCCATTCTGACTGGCATGAGATGGTATCTCATTGCGGTTTTGATTTGCAGTTCTCTAATGAACAGTGATAATGAACTTTTTTTCATATGCTTCTTGGCTTCATAAGTGTCTTCTTTTGAGAAGTGTCTGTTCATATCCTTTGCCCAGTTTTTGATGGTGTTGTTTTTTCTTGTAAATTTGTTTACGTTCCTTGTAGATTCTGATATTAGACCTTTGTCAGATAGGTAGATTGTAGAAATTTTCTTCCATTCTGTAGGTTGCCTGTTCACTCTGATGATAATTTCTTTTGCTGTGCAGAAGCTCTTTAGTTTAATTAGATCTCATTTGTCAATTTTAGGTTTTGTTGCCATTGCTTTTGGTGTTTTAGTCATGAGGTTTTTGCCCATGCCTATGTCCTGAATGGTATTGCCTGGGTTTTCTTCTAGGGTTTTTATGGTTTTGGTTTTACCTTTAAGTCTTTAATCTATCTTGAGTTAATTTTTGCATAAGGTGTAAGGAAGGGATCCAGTTTCAGCTTTCTGCACATGGCTAGCCAGTTTTCTCAGCATAATTTATTAAGTAGGGAATCTTTCCCCATGGCATGTTTTTGTCAGCTCTGTTGAAGATCAGATGGTTGTAGATGTGCAGTGTTATTTCTGAGGTCTCTGTTCTGTTCCATTGGTCTATATATCTGTTTTGGTACCAGTACCATGCTGTTTTGGTTACTGTAGCCTTGTAATATAGTTTCAAGTCAGATAGCATGATACCTCCAGCTTTGTTCTTTTTGCTTACAATTGTCTTGGCTATACGGGCTCTTTTTGGACGATTATTAAAAAGTCAGGAAACAATAGATGCTGGCGAGGCTGTGGAGAAATAAAATGCTTTTACACTGATGGTGGGACTGTAAATTAGTTCAACCATTGTGGAAGACAATGTGGCAATTCCTCAAGGATCTAGAACCAGAAATACCATTTGGCCCAGCAATCCCATTACCGGGTATATACCCAAAAGATTATAAATCATTCTACTATAAAGACACATACACACATAGGTTTATTGCAGCACTATTTACAATGTCAAAGACTTAGAACCAACCCACATGTCCATCAATGACAGATTGGATAAAGAAGATGTGGCACATATATACCATGTGATACTATGCAGCCATAAAAAAGAATGAGATCATGTCCTTTGCAGGGACACGGATGAAGCTAGAAGCCATCGTTCTCAGAAAATTAACACAGGAACAGAAAACCAAATACTGCATGTTTTCACTCATAAGTGGGAGTTGAACAATGAGAACACATGGACACAGGGAGGAGAACGGCACACACCGAGCCTTGTTGGGGTAAGTGGTAGGAGGCAGGGGGAGGGAGAGCCTTAGGACAAATACCTAATGCACGCAGGGCTTAAAACCTAGATGATGGATTGATAGGTGCAGCAAACTACCATGGCACATGTAACAAACCTGCACGTTCTGCACATGTATCCCCGAACTTAAAGTAAACAAACAAAAAAAAAAGACAAAATAATAATAATAATAAAGATGAGATGAGTGACCACTCTTCCTGTCCATATGCCTAATCTCTGGAATCCAATTCAATTAAGTTGTGAGGATCTAAGCATCAACTAGATCTGGCCCAGGGGATTCCTTTTAGCCTCCAACAGTCCTCACTTATAAGGTCCTAGTTTCCTTTACTTTTAAAGGGACCTTGGGAGTCCACCTCAGAGCCGAGTTCATCATAGACAGTAGTTTGCAAACTTCCTGGGCTTTTAAGCCTCATCTGACCCACCTCCAGAGATGCAGGTTCAGAGGGTCTGGGGTGGTCCTGAGATAGCACCTTGAAGTCACCTGGACCCAAGGCTTGGGTTTGCTCTGATAAGAGGTGGGTTCTGACTTGATCCTGTAGACCCAATTCTCCTGAAAGCTATTTCATCATCAGCCCATATCTCTAGGGGCCTCGGCTGGGTCAAGTGTTCAGTCCTTCTAAACCAAAGTAGATCTGCAGCCCCAGTGGTGGAGGGAGGACCCACAATAGGCAGACTCAGTTTCTCCACATCCCACTCCCTGTGGCTCTGAGATCCCCAACGGTGCTACAAGACACACTCAGGCATTATTCAAGACTCACAGCTATTTTATGAATTTTCCAAGAAAGTGCTTTGCACTTCTGTAAATAGCAAGAGATTTCCAAGTGTGATTGTGGGTTTTATCTTTGTAAGCAATTTGTGATAGACCAAAGTCAGCTACTGTAAATGACTTGCTAGAAAAAAGGAAGGAGGTAGCCTCAACAGACTTGTTATAAAACATTTAAAACTTGGTCTCAGGTGCGTGCTATGGAAAATATACTCGTATGTTGCTGTGAAATCATAAAGTAGCACCTAGTACAGTGCCTCAAATGTTTAATACACGTCCCGTAAATATGTGTTGAATAAAAAATGAATCAATGTCATTAAGGGGACTTGCTCAAACCTCAGATATCCTCTCTGCCTGCAGTTTCTCAAATTAAATGAACTTTTCACTTTTGCCTTGCTCTCTTTTCTTATTACCCAACTAACAATATAATTACGCTTTATTTCATGGATCTAAACATATTCTATCTCAGGCTTATAAATTAAGCATGGGGGAGGAAGGAAGGAAGGAAGGAAAGAAGGAAGGAACTGGGGGCGGGGAGGAGGGAATTACATTTTAAATATACTATGCATATTAACTTTTTAAAAATATAGCGCTTTATTGAGATTGAATTCACACACCATACAATTCATCCATTTGAAGTGTACAATTCAACAGCTTTTAGTGTATTCACTGAGTTGTGCAACTATCACAAACTTTAGAACATTTTTATCACTCCAAAAAGAAACTCCAAACCCATTAGTACACTAGCAGTTACCCCCATTTCCTCCCACTACCACCCCAGGCAACCACGAAACTGCTTTCTGGCTCTACAGATTTGCCTGTTCTGGACACTTCATAGAATAACACAATATGTTGTCCTTTGCAGATGGCTTCTTACACTTAGCATAATGGTTTCAAGGTTATAGCATGAATCAGTACTTCATTCCTTTCATTTACAAAGAATTATTCCATTGTATGGATATACTTCATTTTATTTGTTCGTTCACCTATGGACAGACATTAGTTTTTCTCACTTTTTTGATTTTCATCATGTGTTTCATTCATGAACACATTTTTGTGGACCCGTTTTCATTTCTCTTGGGTCTGTCACTAGGAGTGGAACTTCTGGGTCAGATGGTAACTTTATGCTAAACTTTTGAGGAACTATCAGACTATTTTCCAACTTGGCTGCCCCATTTTGCATTCCCACAAACAGTGTAGGAGAGTTCGAATTTCTCTACATCCTTGCCAACATTTGGTACTAGCTGTCCTTAATGACAACCATCCTAGTGAGTGTGAAGTGATATTTCACGGTGGGTTTGTTTGCAGTTTCCCAGTAATGAGTCAGGTTGAGCATCTTCTCATGTGCTTATTGGCATTTGTCTATCTTTGCTGGAGAAATTCTATTCAAATCCTTTCCCATGTTTTTTTGTTTGTTTTGTTTTCTATATAGGTAAACTCGTGTCAGGGGTGGTGGGTGGTGGTCTGAACAGCTTTTTTCATCACCCAGGTATTAAGCTCAGTGCCCATTAGTTGTTTTTCTTGATCCTCTCCCTCCTCTCACCCTCCATCCTCCAAACAGCCCCAGTGTTTTGTTTTTCCCCTCTTCATATCCATGTGTTCTCATCATTGAGCTCCCACTTGTAAATGAGAACATGCAGTATTTGGTTTTCTGTTCCTGTGTTAGTTTGCTAAGAATAATAACCTCCAGCTTCTTCCATGTTCCCGCAAAAGGCATGATCTCATTCTTTTTTATGGCTGCATAGTATTCCATGGTGTGTATGTACCAGATTTTCTTTATTCAATCTCTCATTGATGGGCATTTAGGTTGATTCCACATCTTTGCTATTGTGAATAGTGGTGCGATGAACATTCACATGCATGTGTCTTTATGGTGGAACAATTTATTTTACTCTGGTTATATACCCAGTAATGGGATTGCTGGGTCCAATGGTCGGTCTGCTTTTAGCTCTTTGAACTTTCTCATTTTTTAATTGGATTATTTGTCTTTTGAGTTGTAAGCATTCTTTATACATTCTGCATACCAGTCCTTTATTAGATATATGGTTTGCAAATATTTTTCTCCTTCTGTGAGCTTTCTTTTCACTTTCTTGATGGCGTCCTTTGAAGCAGAAAATGTTTAAACTTTTGATGATGTCTAACATCGGTTTTCTCTTTTGTCAGTTCTGCTTTTTGTGTCATATCTAAAAAGGCTTTGCCTAAGCCCAGATTATCATGAAGATTTACTCCCTTAATTTCTCCTAAGAGTGATAAAGTTTTAACTCTTATGTTTAGGTCTGTGATCCACTTTGAGTTAATTTTTGTGTTAGGTGTGTGGAAAGAGCATGACTTCATTCTTCTCCATGTAGATATCCAGCTGTCCCCGCAATACTTGCTGCAAAGCATGTCTGCTTTTTAGAGAAATGTTTAAATTATTCTGTTGACCAAAACTTATTTAAAAACAAAAATCCAAATCACTTCAGAAATTTAAATTTTGTATTTCTGGTTACACAATACTCGGTATGGAACACTAAAATGAGTATCCCATAAATTCAAGGAGAAATATCTTCTATAGAAGGTGAGCCCTAATGTTCTTGAAAACAGCTCCATCACCTGGAAGCACTGCAGAGGACCCTACCTTAGGATTCTGCACCATCTTCCAGCTGAGCCTGTGTTGAGGCCCCATTTCCACCACCATCCCTGGGACAGCCCGAGTCCAGTCTCTATCCAGCTTCACCACCCAAGTTCACCCAGGCTGTCCCAGAGCACTCTTATGGCCTCACCCTAGAAGCCAGTAACAGCCCCACAAGCCCCTTCTCCCCAGTACCCCAACTAGAAGTTCCACCTTATCATTCCACTTATCATTATGCAGTGACCTCCTATCAGGCTTCCTTGAGATCTTAAGGTTTCAGGTCATTCTCCTCTCTTCCACCCAAGGGGTTTTCTAACATGCAAGTCAGGCCAGGCCATTCCTTGGCTCTAAACTCTTCAGTGAGCGTCCATGGTCTCGACTTAACACTTTCAGCAGGGTTAACCAGGCCTGGCATGTGTAGGTCTGTCAGCCTGTTCAATGAGCGAATGATGATTTATTTTACTTGCATTTTATTGCATTCCTCACCCCCTGCCCTATTGTTATCCACCCCTCTACCCCACTCCACTTCCACTTTTTTTTTTTTTTTGAGATGGAGTCTCGCTCTGTTACCCAGGCTGGAGTGCAGTGGCACCATCTCGGTTCACTGCAACCTCCGCCTCCTGGGTTCAAGCAATTCTCCTGCCTCAGCCTCCTGAGTAGCTGGAATTACAGGCGCACACCCCCCACCCAGATAATTTTTGTCTTTTTAGTTGGCCAGGCTGGTCTCGAACTCCTCCTGACCTCAGGTGATCTGCCTACCTCGGCCTCCCGAAATTCTGGGGTTACAGGCGTGAGCCACCACACCTGGCCCACTTCCACTATTTAAAGTCTCTGCTTCAACATTTTAATCTAAACTCTGACCTTCTTATTTAACCCCATTTTCCCTCAATTACTTCACTTTTGTTTCCCTTTAGCACTGGGTAATGCTGTGGTTCACAATTATCTTTATTTCTATTTCCTTGCATTCATACACATTTTACTTTGCATGAAGTTTATTGCATGCTAAATATGCAAATAATTCTGTTTTTCTTCTCTGTCTCATAGTTTCCTTGAAAACAGTAAGCTAGCTTGTTTTCTCTCTTTTTAGGATGTCGGGGTCTGAGGGACCCTAATAATTGCCACCCCTGCATCCTAACTAATTTGAAAACTCATGGAGGTAGACACAGGGTATGGCAGATGGAGAGTAAAATATCCTCTTTCTTAAAACAAAGCTGATGGATACTGGAGAATATGGTTTGTAATACCTCACCTCTGAATTACACACGGTTGCCCACCAAGGCCTTGCACCTGTGAGACTCAGAGAACAGAGGAGCAGGAGACACTGTGAGCTCTGTGTGCACAGCTGGCCCTTCAGAGAGAAGCAGGAAAGGGGCTCCTTCTGAAGCTCCCCAATAAGGTAAATCACTTCTCCTCTACTGGGGAGACGAGGGTGTGAAGAGTGGAGAAAGGCCAGAGGTGGGAAACGTAGCAAACGTCCCTGAAAATAAAGTGGTGCTTGAAGTGGAGGCCCCGCCCCCTGCCTGCTTCCCACGGAGCTTCATTGGCCCTGGGAATACGACCTCCATGCACATTCCTGGCTCAGAGGACTAGAAGGTGCAAGGCCCAGAAGCAGCTTCCATCACTGTGAGACCTACTGTTGAAGGATCCAGCAAAGGCAAGATCTGAACAAGGCTCAACAGCAATGGGAAGCTGGTGGGTGTGGAAACTGTTAACAGTTGTTTATGGATGAACCACAGGCTCACCCTGGAGAACTGCAGTGTGGCCACAGTGCCTTCATGGTGACACATCCCAGGCTCTGCAAAGACAAGGGTTACGCTTGGGCGTGTGGGCTAGTTGAGGGTCTGAATTTGATTGATCAAATTCAGCGCTCTATTTCTGCATGGGATGAGCAGCTCTGCTTCTCACACCAAAATAATTCAAGGCTAGTAGAGTAAAACATCTTGTAGAGGGCTTTCAGACAACATCACGTATATCTGCATTCTTCTGCAGCCTTTCAGTGAAAAGTTTACGTTGGCCACTTGCAGTAGTTTGCCCTGAATCCTGAACTTAAATGCACCGGACACAGATTTCTGTAGTTCATTTTCAAGTCTTAGAATTAAGGATTTAACAAATGGTATACAAATATATGTAACTCTCACACACTAATATAAAATAATATGAAACTACTTTTGATTGCTTGGGGAAAAAAATCCAGTCATTTTTTTCATAGTTGCCTGATATGTATTAATAGAACCCGGCCCAGGAATGATTAAAGGCAGAAGTCTGTTCATACCTTAAGTAGGAAACACCAGCCTCTGGTTCACCAGGTGACAGCCAGGATGACAGCTGCTCATTTTGTTGAATACTGAACTCTACCTGCAGGTTATGATGTCTCATAGTCCTCATACGAGGGGTGGGGGTTGGCAGTTGAGAAACTGGATAGGACTCTTTACTGTAACCACGCATTAACGATGGTGCTTGTAATTTGTGTGGGAACCATGATCTTCAAGATCCTTCCTTCATTCTCATATATATGCTGCGTGTCACCAAGTAAAAAAACTATGGAGAGAGGTAGCATCTCCCCCAGTTATTTGGGGGGTTATACAAAACAACCACATTTATGTCCATGTTTCACGTTGCATCTCAGCCTTCGTCCCTCATGGCTGGTGAGTACTCCAAGAGTCCCGGGCCAGAATGCAGCTTCTTTGCCTGCTGTCACTGTCTGGGTCCCTGTGGCCTTGGTCTGGCAGGAGGAGCTGTCCAGAGGTCCATTCATAGGTGTCAGCCGTCCCACCTCCGCCAAACAGAGGCCATTTGTTACACATTCTCCATATTGACAAAGGGAGACGAGTTGTTGAGAGTCCAAGGATTGAAATCAGAAGCAGGAGGCAGGCAGGGAGGCACACGGAGTGTCAGGCCAGAAGGCCCAAGGGGAAGAAGGGTGTGATGGCAGCCTGAGGCCATGCCACCTTTCGAGGAAAGCCACGAAGAGGAAGAAGGCACAAACACACAGCTGTCCTGGGGTGGTTCCCTGAGTGCGGAATGCCTGCTCCAGTGTGTTTCTTTCCTGTACCACCCAGGGTGCTCACTGGACCAGGAGAAGTTCCATCACATTGGTGGTTCCAGGGGCCACCAGGACAGCTCAGGAGGACTCCTGGCCTGATCCACTGTCAGGGCCCCCAGCACTACTGCAATCCATCCCGCAACTCCCCTTCATCTCCCCTCCCACAGACCACCCATCCTTGCTTCTGTATTTGTCATCCTGCTGTGCTCAGATTCGGGGCACTCCAAGCTGAGCTCCACAGTTTTGCCATAAGCCCTTGTCCATAGGCATGATCCTATAAGATGACATTTTCCCAGTCATGCATCTTAGTTTACATCTTGGCAAAAAGAAAAATGATGACTTTCCTTTCTCTTAAAACTATGTTTTAATCATGTAATTGCCAGAAGAGTCCATGATGCCCTTGGCAAGTTTAAAACACAAACAATTGTATTTGATCAGAGCTGTCTGGCTTACTCATCTCTCCACATCCAGATCCTGAAGCAGCATCAGCACACAGCAGGCCCTCAAACACTGAAAGAATGCATGAATCTAGCCCTTAGAAAACGGTGTGCTGACTGTGTAATATAATTATTTGAAGTTCTGGAGCTGCTTCCGGAATAACCTGCCCCATGTGGAAGGAGTCCCTCCAAAGAAGCTTCAGACCTGTAGATACAGAAGAAGAGCACACACAGCACGCTTTGTTAGTTAAGCTGCGGCCCTCCCAAAAGATATGTTCCCATCCTTACCCCTGGTAAGGTACTTGTGAATGTGAGTTTATTTGGAAATAGGGTTTGTGCAGATATAATCCAATTAAGATGAGGTCACAGTGGATTAGGGTGGAACCTCATCCAATGACTGGTGTCCTTAAAGGAGAGGGAAATGTGGACTCAGTGACACAGAGAAGAAGGCAGGGAAGTGACAGACACAGACTGGAGCAGTGCAGCTGCCAGCAGAGGAATACCAAGGCTTGCCAGCAACCACCAGACGCTGGGGAGGTGCAAGGAGGGAGTCTCCACTCGAGCCTTCGGATGACTCGTGACCCTGTGACACTTTGATTTCTGTGGCTTAAAGCTGCCCAGCTTGTGGTCGTTTGTTATCACGGCCGCAGGAGGCTAACACACCCTTCCAATTATTCAGGAGTCAATCCAGCTCATCAAAGATTTTTTTGAGTCAGGGTCTCACTCTGTCGCCTTGTCCCTTCCTAGCTTCTAGTGGTTGCTGGCAAGCCACGGCTGCCATAACAAACTACCACAAACTACCACTTGCCCAGAGGCTGGAGTGCAGGAGTGTGATCACAGCTCACTGCAGCCTCCGACTCCTGGATTCAGGCCATCCTCCCACTTCAACCTCCTGAGTAGCTGGAACTACAGGCACACTACCACACCCGTCTAATTTTTAAATTTCCTGTAAAGATGGGGTCTCACTATGTTTCCCAGGCTGATGTTGAATTTCTGGCCTCAGGGGATCCTTCCACCTCAGCCTCCTTAAGTGCTGGGATTACAGGCGTGAGCCCACTGCGCCTGGCCTCATCAAAAATCTATGGAATTCCTCCTTCACATCAGTTACTGTACTGTATTCTGGGGATACACAGAAGAGAAAAATATGGTTACTGTCCTCAAAGAACTTACACTATCATTGCATTCTTCCATTTTTGTTTTGATTTTTGTCTTTTTTTGAGATGGAGTTTTGCTCTTGTTCCCCAGGCTGTAGTGCTATGGTACAGTCTCGGCTCACTGCAACCTCCGCCTGTGGGTTCAAGCGATTCTCTTATGGCAGCCTCCCAAGTAGCTGAGATTACAGGTGCCTGCCACCACGGCTGGCTAATTTTTGTAATTTTAGTAGAGACGGGGTTTCACCATGTTGGCTAGGCTGGTCTTGAACTCCTGACATCAGGCGATCCACCCGTCTCGGCCTCACAAAGGGCTGGGATTACAGATGTGAATCACCGCGCCAGGCCACATTCTTGCATTTCTGAGCAAATTGAATTTTCATGTCTATGGGACAAAATGTTCCTGTTGCAACAGGCAATGAATAGAGAGCATTTCAGGGAAAACAGGAGTAATGCAATGAAAGAAGGAACCTGCTTTCACGCAGAGGGGCTGGTAACAGGAAGCTCAGTGACCCGTGTTCCTGCTGGTCTCCTCACCTGCTGCCTCCTTCAGGACCTCACTCTTGGCCATTGGACGTACCGCTGCAGTCGGCTCTTTGCCTTGCCTGTAGAATTGTCTCTCAGCAACGGCAGGTTGCTGACCTGCTTCAAAGCCACCTTTATCTCTCTCATTCCTATAAACTGAAATTCCAAATTCTGCCTCCAACTCATTTCTGGGGCTTGGCTTCCCCTATATCTCTCCATGCTCCCTGACAAGTTTCACAGATGAGCCCCTGGCTGTGCCATTCTCAACTCTCTTGCGCTGGCCTTGTGTCCAGATGTCCTGCCCACTCTGTCTAGCAAACGTTTATCCTTCGGATCTTAGATGTTCTGTAATGCTGGTGCGCTTTCAGGTTCTTGCTATTGTCTTGCTTATCACAAAACAACTCACACTATATTGTAACCGTTTGTTTTCAAGTTTATTCTGTAAACAAAACAAACACTGAGATAGTATCTTTTCATTTGGGGGGGTCTCCTTCAACACCCAACAAAGGCTGCCACAAAATAGTTGATACTTGTCTGTTGAATAAATGAATGAATGATTGAATAAGTAAATAAAGCAAAACAGGTTAGGATGCTCTGGTCAGAAGATCACCTAAATTTGGACAGTGCTCCTCAGAGCAGGGATGGGTTGGAGAAGTTGGATGCAGAAAATGTTTTGCAGAGAGTAGCAGAACTGGAGAAGTGACAGGCTGCATGACATGAAATCCAGAGGGCAGGGGTTTCTTTCTGACGTTCCAGCAGCCTCCCTCTTCAGGCATATACTAAAGGGAGTGGAGCCACGGGCAGAGAGAAGAAAAGATGAATGAGCTCTGTCTTTACCATACTTAGTTCAACTTTTCAACTAAACTCTGGTACACACTTGTACTGTCATTTTTCCTACACCTTAGAAGAGACAACAGAAAGGAGCTGAGTCCTGAACACCCAAGACTTAGCATATGGAGGAGGAAGAATCCCACTCAGCATCTCCTTCCTTCTCACATCTTCAGAGTCAGATTTGCCTTTTATTACCTTTCAGCAGCATCGGGAAGTGGAAATAACCTTGTTTCCACCTCTCCTCTCTCCCCTGACGTTCTGCTGGTTAGAACGTCTGGCCCCAGGGTGATGTCAGCAGACGCGCAGGGAGCTGAGCCTCCACCCTGTCTTTGAAGGAGGGGGTGCTCCAAGCACCTCCTGCACTCCCACAGATGTGGAAGAGTGGCAGACAGGGCAGGGGCGCAGGTCCAGAGAAAAGGAGACGAGGAGGTCTCTTCCTTATGATGACGAGGTGGTACCCTGCATCACGAGGGTGATGTAGGGTCTCTCCTGCATCGTAAGAAAGCCTTGAACAAGCGCCCTCGCCCTCTTCTGCCATATGAGGACACAAAGAAGTCTCCATCTATGAGGAACAGGCTCTCTGCAGACACTGACTCTGCTGATGCCTCTGTCTTGGACTTCCCAGCCTCCGGAATTGTGAGCAATACATTTCTCTTATTTATCAATTACCCAGTCTAAGGTATTTTGTTATAGCAGCATAAATGGACTGATACAAATAAGTCCAAACAGGAGGCTTGCTTTGCGAACAGCTTCAGACATACCCTCGGCATATCCCCCACCAAGCTGTCCCCCAGTGGTCCCACATGCTATTTTCAGATGACCCCAAAGCTCCCATCAGATGGCCTCTATACACTCCTAAGGAGGATTGCTGTCTCTCTATGGGTATTGTATGATAGTCATAATGAATTAAAATTTTTGAACTAGAGTCACTAGTTCTCAAACTTGGCTGTCCAAAATTACTGGAGGACATTACCTGTAAGTACTGAGGTCCAGGCTCCACCCTGCAGATTCCGATTCAGAAGGCCTAGAGGGGGCCAAGTGCTGATATTTAACAAAAATTCCCACGTGATTATAATGTTCAACCAGGAATGAAAAACAGGAAAAAATTTAATAAAAGAAGAAAAATATTAGTAGATATTAGGCCCTTTTAAGAATCCAAAGGGAGCATTTACACTTTACATAATTTTAATATTAGAATTTGTGCAGATTGGGAAATTAATTGTGTTCTGCTATGTTGCATAAACACATCTAATGCAGCATGCTACAAGTTCTTTAGTACTTTTAATACCAATGTAACCAAAAAAGGGCTAGAAAATGGCTTCGGCTTTGAAACAAACCACACTGAAGATGAAAACACTCCTTAGAGTGAATCACAACTCACTTGGAGCCATGCTGTGGACCGTTTGCAATAGTCCTGATCAGAAGTATCTACTGGCAAAACAAGAAACAGCTCATTGGCGTAGCCAGAACACAATATTTGGGGGAGTGTAGTTAGAGAGGCAGCAGGTCTTCTTCTGAGCCACAAGATATAAAATTCTGTGGCTGATGAGATTTTATTTGTCTTTGGGGAAAACTGTCTCACCTATTTTATTCATCAGCTTGAGCTAAGAAAATTCAATCTAGCAAACAAATTAACACAGATCATAGTAAGTCCAGCAGGGACCAGACAACTTAATGTTGAGAGAGCTATTTAGAGTCAATAAAATGTCCTAAGCAAATACTTAATGAAGGGCTTTTAGGTCATGCAGGGTCAGACCCCTTACTTTGTAGGGAAAGGCCATGCTGAAAGCAGCTCTCAGGGCCGGCTCAGCACCAATAACACATAACAGAGCTGCCACTGCTGGGATTCTCAAAGACTGGGAAGGGCCAGCAGAGCCACAGGACAGCCAGTGTGAGGGTTGATGAGGCTCTTCTCTGAATCACTTCTAGAGGTTCTGGAGCTCATTCACATAGGCATGCCCATGATGGCGGACAGAAGTATTGTCTATTTTCTCCCCTGCAAATGCAGAATGTCCTTATCCCAGCAAAAGGCAGCTATCCAAGTCAAGTGTGGTAATAAAATGTTTTTCATCAAAACTTTGGATGCCAGTATGGGTGGTGGGAGAGAGAAGATGAACTTTTAAATCTTGAGAAATAATGACAGCAACCACAAAAAGAAGTATAAAAATTCTGAACTTCTGTGTGTCAAAAATTAAGCAAATTTAAGTTGAATTGATTCTTAAACAAGAAAAGAGCAAAGTGGAAAAATTTATAGTAAATATAATAAGTGGTCAATTTCCTTAATCTTTCCATTTCTTTCTTCCTCTTTTTTTTTTTTTTTTTTTTTTTTTTTTTTTTTTTTTTTTTTTGAGACAGGGTCTTGCTCTGTCATTCAGGCTGGAGTGCAATGGTGCAATCACAGCTCATTGGAACTTCAAGCTCCTGGGTAGCCGGGACTACAGACTCACGCCACCACACCCAGCTAATTTTTGTATTTTTTGTAGAGACAGGGTTTCGCCACACTGCCCAGGATGGTCTCCAGCTCCTGGGCATGAGCAATCTGCCTGCCTCAACCTCCCAAAGTGCTGGGACTACAGGCATGAGTCACCATGCTCAACCTCCTTAATCTTTAAAAAACTCTTATGAATCAAAAAGAAAATGATTAATATCTCAGTAAATAAATGAGTAAAGAACATAGATTACTATATACAAATAGTTTATATACATTTTTAAAATCACATAACTTCAAGTGTAATCAAAATTGTAAATAAATAAGATGCTAATTTTGTCCATGAAATTGGCAAAGGTTCTTTTCAAATTGCAGCAGGGAGCTGTCAGGCGTGTTGCCCTGATGGAATTCCATCCACATGGAATGACACATCAGAGGTGATACATGATCTCAACAATGTTAAATTAATGTATCCTTTCTGAGAACAATTTGGCACTTAATATAAGAACCTTGAAAAGTACATAACCTTGTATTCAGCATGGTTTTTAAAATGTTTTTTTCCCAAATTATTAACAACGAAATAGTGCATGTACATATTTTAGAAATCAAGCCAGGTGCAGAGGCTCATGCCTGTAATCCCAGCACTTTGGGAGGCTGAGGCACGTGGATCATTTGAGGTCAGGAGTTTGAAACCAGCCTGACCAACATGGTGAAACTCTGTCTCTACTAAAAATACACACAAAAAACCTAGCTGGCCATGGTGGTGCCCGTAATCTCAGTTACTCGGGAGGCTGAGGCAGGAGAATCATTTGAACCTGAGAGGCAGAGGTTGCAGTGAGCCAAGATCTCACCACTGCACTCCAGCCTGGGTGACAGAGGAAGACCTCGTTTCAAAAAAAAAAAAAAAAAAAAAAAAAAAAAACCAGTAACTCCCTGTTCCATTCCTTTAAGTCCTCTGGGTTTGATCTTTTAGCAGTTTTTGTTTTTCTTCTGGTATATATCTCCATGTTTTGTCTGTAATCAATATGTTTATGACATTATTTCTTACATTTTTGGACAGCATCTATTGACGCCTAGTGCCCGCTGCACTCATCTTTTCCTCTCACTGTGATTATTTCACAAGTTGTACTTAGAGTGATAATCAGTGTTTCAAATATTATGATTATGTCAACATTGTTCACTTTGCAGTGATTATTTCTTTTCTTAATACCATGTGTTTTTTCCTGGGTTAGCAACTGTCCTGTTTTATTCACTCATGTAGTTTTCTATACATTTATCTTTAATGATTTCAAGTGCTCTTTCATATGTGTCATACATGAATACATGCATCTGTTTCTGTAATAACATGAGATATGTTTTACTGAAAATTTTCACCTTCTGTAAAGCTGTGTTACTAAATGTCATAGGGTTTATGGAAAAAATGAGGTTAAAATAAGTGTCTCAAAACCTGTGCAATTTTATAATCAAAGCATTGACAAAAATAACAATTGGCACCTTTAGAGATCCCCTGGAGAATGTGTGTGGGTAGCTCATTACGGCTGTGATCTGCTTTAAGGATATGGAAAAGAAATGGTGGCTTATGGGTGGGCACTGAGATAGTATCTGTGGAAATGCAGCTCTGAGCACCAGAGGAAGAGCAACCTGCTATCAACTGAGAGCTGTGCAAGGCAGGGGATGTGCCTGGTGGAGACAGAGCCCCAGGCTCATTATGCTCATTTTTAATTAAAAAGAAATAAAGTTGAAAGAGATTCTGGGAAGGTAATAATGGCAGCAGAGACTGTTTTTTTTAAATCTCCCTGAATCCCCATATTAAAAATATTGAACAACAAAATCAACCAGACAGACATTTATAACAAAACTGAGTGACAAAGTATCCCCAAGAACCCCAAGATACAAGTAGATGGGGTCAAGCTACCAATAGCTATAAGGCCTGCATCATGTCAGTGTCTGTGAAGAAGGAAGGAGTTGAAAGCATTCATGAGGATTGCACCCCATGACCCAAACACCTCCCACTAGGCCCCACCTCCCAACACCGCTACACTGGGGGCCAAATTTTAACATGAGTTTTGATGGGGACAAACTCAAACCACAGCAAGGGTCAAATACACAAGCTTTATCCACAACAGAGATATCGTGAGGTTCCTCCAGGCTGGAGGAAGAAACGGCCTCATCTTCTGGCTTTGTTACCCTTCCAAAGTAGGGAATTATTGATGTGGACCTCAGAAGTCGAGACTTCTAAGTTGGTCTTAGAAGTCAAGCTGAGTCATCATCTGTGCTTATGACCGGTATTACTGGGCACGTGCATCCACCAGAAGCACCATGTCTACCCATGTCCATTAAGAGGTCCTCTTCCATGGTTTTCAAGTACACAGGATTGTCAAAGATCACACCTTTTA